>NC_000002.12:232944163-233247193 GCF_000001405.40 Homo sapiens | reverse complement strand
GGCAGTACCAAAGGGATTCAATTATCTTCTGTTGGTTTTTCTCTAGCTTTTATTCTTAAAATCTCATTTCCTATTATTCTTTTAAAAAATTATCTTAGTCTTTCTTTATTTCCACTCCTTTTCAGCTCTTCCCAAAATTATATTACTCAAAGTGAAAATAAACTAAGTTAACTGTGTTACTGTGTTAACTGCTGTATAAACCCGATAGCTGCTAGAGTAAACCAAAGGATAGTCAAGAAACCAACTAACACAGGTTTCCAGACACACCACTGAGCCTTCCAAACCTTATTTATTTATTTATTTATTTATTTTTATTTTTTGAGATAAGGTCTCACTCTGTCACCCAGGCTGGAGTGCAGTGGCATCATCTTGGCTCACTGCAACCTTCGTCTCCTGGGTTCAAGCAATTCTCATGCCTCAGCCTCCCGAGTAGCCGGGATTACAGGCATCTGCCACCATGCCCAGCTAATTTTTTGTATTTTCAGTAGAGACAGGGTTTCACTATGTTGGCCAGGCTGGTCTCGAACTCCTGACCTCAAGGGACCCGCCCATCTCGGCCTCCCAAAGTGCTGGGATTACAGGCGTGAACCACTGTGCCGGGTCCAAACCTCATTTCTTAATATGATAATAACAATGCCCCCTTATAGGCATATGTTACTTGGCTCTTTTGCTCCTTGTTTTTCTTTGTTTTTTTTTTTAGGGTCGTTGCTTTTGTGTATACACATATATGCACACGGCAGGAAATTTTCATTATAAAGAATCTCTGTGTACATAGATTAAACCACATGCAGGTCATGTCCTTCACTCCGTATATATGTTGACACTCAGATTTCATATTATTTTATTTCATTTTTTGAGACAGGGTCTTGATCTGTCACCCAGGCTGGAGTGCAGTGGCGCGATCACGGCTCACTGCAGCCTCAAACTCTCAGGCTCAAGCGATCCTCCCACCTCAGCCTCTCAAATAGCTGGGACTAATTTTTGTTTTGTTTTGTTTTGTTTTTTTGTAGAGACCGGGTCTTACTAAGTTGCCCAGGCTGGCCTCAAACTCCTGGGCTCAAGTAATCCTCCTGCCTCAGCTTCCCAAAGTGCTAGGATTACAGGCATGAGCCACCTTGCCTGGCAGATTTCATATTATTTATTTATTTTTTATTTTGTTATTTTTTTAGATGGAGTCTTAGTCTGTTGCCCAGACTGGAGTGCAGTGACTCGATCTCAGCTCACTGCAACCCTCTGCCTCCCAGGTTCAAGCAATTCTCCTGCCTCAGCCTCCTGAGTAGCTGGGACTACAGGTGCCTGCCACCAGGCCTGGCTAATTTTTGTATTTTTAGTAGAAACGGGGTTTTACCATGTTGGCCAGGCTGGTCTAGAACTCCTGGCCTCAAGTGATCCACCCGCCTCGGCCTCCCAAAGTGCTGGAATTACAGGTGTGAGCCACCATGCCTGGCCAAATTTCATACTTTTAAAATGATGTCTGAGGAAGTGTTATTATCCTTATACTACAGTACAAGCATTTTAGTAACATTTCAACTTTCTTGGAGATCTTTATCTCCTCTGCATATTGGCAGCCGGTGTCTGGAATGCCGGCCAGAGGATTCAACATGACACCTCTAGCAAGCTGGGAATGTGATCCGTGGTGGAGGTGGGGAGGCTATCTTCCTTGGTTTGTTTCTTTGATCTTTAAAGAGATGATAAAATTTCTCCTAGGCACTACTGCAATCTCCCACTACAAATAATAGTTAATGTTATGGAGTGATTTTTACATGTCAGGCACTGTGTTACGTGGATCAACTTATTTAATTCTCACAACACGATAATGTAGGTATATTAATATTTCCTTTTTGGAGATGAAGAAATAGACATATAGAAGTTAAATAACTTGGCCAGGCATGGTGGCTCATGCCTGTAATCCCAGCATTTTGGGAGGGTGAGGCGGGCAGATCACCTGAGGTCAGGAGTTCAAGACCAGCCTGGCCAACGTGGTGAAACCCCGTCTCTACTAATAATACAAAAAAATTAGCCGGGCATGATAGCAGACGCCTGTAATCCCAGCTACTCAGGAGGCTGAGGCAGGAGAATCACTTGAACCTGGGAGGCAAAGTTTGCAGTGAGTCAAGATTGTGTCATTGCACTCCAGCCTGGGAGACAAGAGTGAAATTCCATCCAAAAAAAAAAAGTAACTTGTCTGGTGTCACAAGTTAGGAAGAAGCAGAGCAACGTGTCTGGTGTCACAAGTTAGGAAGAAGCAGAACTAAGATACAGTCAAGGAAGCCTGGTGCCAGAACTCACCTGCTTCACCATGCTACTGGCTGTGTGTCAGGCTATGAGGGCTGAGACTGTTTTAGGTTGAGATTGTGTATCAGTTAGAATGTTTTTGATAGCAAGCAAAAGAAGTGCAATATGAGCTACCTTAAGGGAAAAAGGGGGGTTATTGTCTGGATTCAGTGTGCTGCAGAGACTGGCAGCAGAGATGTGGCTGGATCCCAGGAATCACTGCAACCAGGATGCAGATCAGCCAGCGTGCTCAGCCCTTTGCATCCGCTTCTCCATGGCTTGCTGCTTCCTTCTTCTCTTGTCTTGTGGCCCAGCCATTTGTGTTTCGCGGTTCTCCCATCCTCGAGGTAAAGAAATAGCTCCTCTGAAAGCTCCTCAGTACACACAAGCAGCCAAACAGAGCTGGCGCCTCTGAGCTCCAGTTCTCAATTCCTGGGAGAAGACTCTGATGGACCAGCAGGTGCCCGTATCTAAGAATCCTTGTGGCAAAGGGGCAGGCCAGTCTTCCAGGACAGCTTCCTTTGGATGGAGGGGAAGGGGCAGCTCCCAGAAGGGACAGGCAGAACACATCTTCTGTTTGGCCTGGCTAGCTCGCTCTTTCTTTCTCTCTCTTTCTCAATCTCCCTCTCCCTCCCTCCCTCCCCGCTCCTTCCTTCCTTCCTTCTTTCTCTTTCTTTCTTTTCTTTTCTTTTTTTTTTTTTTTTTGAGACAGAGTCTCGCTCTGTTGCCCAGGCTGTCGCCAGTGCGGTGGTGAGATCTTGGCTCACTGCAGCCTCCACCTCCCGGGTTCAAGCGATTCTTATGCCTCGGCCTTCTGAGTAGCTGGAATTACTGGCATGCGTGCCACCTGACTGGCTAATTTTGGTATTTTTAGTGGAGACAAGGTTTCACCATGTTGGCCAGACTGGTTTCAAACTCCTAACCTAAAGTGATCCACCCGCCTTGGCCTCCCAAAGTGCTAGGATTACAGGCATGAGCCACCGGGCCCAGCCTTCCACCTTTCTTTTGGTAACAGATTATACCCTCCTGCTAGTTAATGGTATTTCTCCATCCCTTCCTGCAACAAATTGGCCCCAGGGGTAGGCATAGGAACGCTTCTCAGTCACCATCCTCCACAGGAATTTTTAAAGTGGATCCAGGGGAGAGGGTCCCTTTTCTTCTTTGGTTGTGAAGTCTAAGGATCTAGATCTAGATCTGCTAGTGGCTGTGTCCCCTGTCTCATGAAAAGGCCAGTCTGAAAACAATGGAACAATCCTACAGAGAGAAGTAGAGATGAGAAGCCAGGAGCCCTGATGGAGTTAGAGTCCCTGGTTCCAGCCAGTCCTGCAACTAGCCCAGCCCTATTCTCCCCACCAGGACTTGAGCCAACACAGTCCCGCAGGTCACTTAAGCTAGTTTACACTGAGCTATTATCTTCACTCGCCACCCAAGACTAATACAAGCAGGCAAGCCTAAGAAAAGACCAGGGCTGCGCAGACAAAATGACAGTCACTAAGTCAAGCTTTTCCACTTTAAGATATTGACAAGGGGGAGTCAACCGGCTGCTCTGCCCTCCATGCAGTTTTTGTGTTTACCAGCAATCCATGTCCAAGCTTCTTGGGAAAAGTTTCTGGATCTGAGATCTCATGAACTTCTGAGTAAGTTAAGCTCTGCTCTAAATAATAGTATCTGCAGGTGGGAGAAATTTCGAATTAAAAAAATCATAACCCCCAAAAAAATCATAGCCCCCCCCCAAAAAATCATAACTCCAAAATTACAATTAGAAATATTAGAATAGGCAGGGCATGGTGGCTCATGCTTGTAATCCCAGCATTTTGGGAGGCCGGGGCAGGCGATCACTTGAGGTCAGGAGTTCAAGACCAGCGTGGCCAACATGGCGAAACCCTGTCTCTACTAAAAATACAAAAATTAGCTGGGCATGGTGGTGGGTGCCTGTAATCCCAGCTACTTGGGAGGCTGAGGCAGGAGAATTGCTTGAACCCGGGAGGCGGAGGTTGCAGTGAGCCGATATTGCACCACTGCACTCCAGCCTGGGTGACAGAGCAAGACTCTGTCTAAAAAAAATAAATAAATAAAAAATTAGAATAAACCTAGAATATTAGAAAATACTGCTGTTGTCATAGAACTATTTCCTCTTTTCCCCCTAAACAGAAAGTGAAGGGACACCATTTCAAA
Source organism: Homo sapiens (assembly GCF_000001405.40). NCBI lineage: Eukaryota > Metazoa > Chordata > Mammalia > Primates > Hominidae > Homo > Homo sapiens. Next base: position 233,242,744 of record NC_000002.12, on the reverse strand, counting down.
ACGCACTGTTCCAATGACTCACGAGATATGAATAGCTCTGCAGCATATCTAACCACTACTGCGTTCTCGTACAGCAGAACCAGACAGTATGCAGCAGTGGAATCTGATTTTGATTCAATCAATAAATAAATATCGTATGCCATGAGATATGGGTCTTTGCTTTAGTATCAAGTTGACATTTTGTCTTTATAAGGGCCAAAAATGGGAACACCGATTTGTCTAACTTTCTAACTTGCTCTGCAAATCTGAACGCCCAGGCACTTTGCCTTTGAGAGGCTGGTCCCCAAATCAGGAGAAGCCACCCAGGGACACAGCTTCCTGCAGAGATGGGGCTCCAGGACTGGCACCTCTGCGTGGCACGTGACATTCCACGCACTCCGGCTTTTTGTCTCCGAGCCTCTTCTTTTCAATAAGGAAATATTTCGATCCCAAAGTGCACACTGGACCTCAGTTTCTATGAAGCTTCCCCACAGCTAAAATTTCCTCAGAAATCCTTGCATATCTCCCTTCATTTTGTCAAATTGTCTGCATGGATAAATGGCTTCTCCAAACACCAGGGAGACCCCAGAGCATGGGGTTCTCCTGGAAGTGTGGGACAGTCCAGTCCAGGGCAGAACGGTCTAGCCTGTGAAGCACAGGAAGGACCTTGGAAAATGTTCAGTTGTCCTTTGCTTCAGGCTTAAGAGATCTGGCCCAGCCCTTACAGAGTCCACATTGAGGTGGAGATTCAGGAGTGGCTTCCATGGTCTTTTCAACTTACCCCTGAGCTTTCCCTAGGGCCTGGATCTGCCCAGACCATGGAGGTACATTCCTTAATCACACCCTGGTGGGCGGAGTAGGCCACACCCTCTCCCTTACACAGTCTCTCCCTCCCCACCTGTTTTATTTTCTTTTCTTCTTTTTCTTTTTTTTTTGAGATAGTTTCGTTCTGTCACCCAGGCTGGAGTGCAGTGGCATGACCTTGGCTCACTGCAACCTCCACCTTCCGGGTTCAAGTGATTCTTATGCCTCAGCCTCCTGAGTAGCTAGGATTACAGGCGTGTGCCACCATGCCCGGATGATTTTTTTTTTTTTTTAATCTGTAGTAGACACAGGGTTTTGCCATGTTGACCAGGGTGTTCTTGAACTCCTGGCCTCAAGTGATCTACTTGCCTTGGCCTCCCAAAATGCTGGGATTACAGGCATGAGCCGCCACGCTTGGCCTTCTTTACTTCTTCTTCTTCTTTTTTTTTTTTTTAAGACAGAGTTTTGCTCTTGTTGCCCAGGCTGGAGTGCAATGGCATGATCTCAGCTCACTGCAACCTCTGCCTCCTGGGTTCAAGTGATTCTCCTGCCTCAGCCTCCCAAGTAGCTGGGATTACAGGCATGCGCCACCATGCCCGGCTAATTTTGTATTTTTAGTAGAGACAGGGTTTCTCCATGTTGGTCAGGCTGGTCTTGAACTCCTGAGCTCAGGTGATCTGCCTGCCTCGGTCTCCCAAAGTGCTGGGATTACAGGTATGAGCTACCATGCCCAGACTTCTTTACTTCTTTTTATCTCTCTTCCCTCAAGGTCCCATCTCCTTGGTGACCAACATGATCCCCACCCCGATTAAGGTTTCTCAGTTAAAGGTGTGTGTATTGGAGGCAAGAGGAAGTGACCTTTGTGGTTTGGTCAGGAAGTGGGGTACTGGGGAAGTATCTAAAAGGCAATAAGCACTTTGATTCTTGCTAGTGACTCTCCTTTGCCTTATTAAGCTGTAAGAATATTTTTCTCCTTACAAGTCTTGACTTCTCTTACAGAAGCCCAGCACCCACCTCACACCCATTACCTTAATCTTAAAAGTTACCATCTTTTAAGCTTAAGGTAAACTCATCCTCTCACTCAAGCAAGAATTAAATTAAGTTACAATCTGCAGATTTGCGAACCTGAGCATCAGTGGATAATTATAATGATAATTTACAGTGGGGATTAGAGGGACAAGCAGCCTTAAGTCAGCATCTTGTGTCAGCAGTATTTACTCCTTGACATTTTAAACCAGGGATCAGCGAAATATGGCCCGCAGGCCAAATTCAGACAGCCATCTACTGTACAGCCCTCTGTGCATAGGAGAGCTAAGGGGTGGCTGAGGTGGGATCATTTGAGCCCAGGAGCTTGAGGCTGCAGTGAGTTGTGATAACACCACTGCACTCCAGCCTGAGTGATATATATATCTATATATATATAGATACATATCTATCTATATATATATGATATATCTCTATATATATCATACATATCTATATATCTATATATATCATATATATGCACATATATATCACTCATATATATGTACACACATATATATTACTCATATATATCATATATGTATGTGTGTATATATATGAGTGATATATATGTATATATATACACACACATATATGTATGTATGTGTATATATGTATACACATACACACACATATATATAGAGAGAGAGAGACGTGGTCTTGGCTTATTTCAGATAACAGAGAGTCCCAAAGTAGGGTGGGCTTCAGGGTTGGCTGTGGATGGGCTACACTGTGGCATCCAGGGCCCTGGGTCTTTCCACCTGTCTGCTCTGCCCTTCTTAGGGATGGTGTCATCCTCAGGCTGATGGAAAATGCCCAGGGCAGCTCCAGAAAACTTATTCAAATCCGAGCATGACCTGAGGAAGAAGACTCTCTCTTAGGAATGTGAAAACTTCCCCAGAAGCCCAGCAGACATCCCCCTTATATCTCATTGACCAAAACAGGGTCACATGCTCATTCTTGGCAAGGGGAAGGCATCACCTTTAGACCCATCTTGTTCACCCTCAGGCTGGAGGGTGAGGCTGGCTGCCCCAGAGGCCTGTGGCTGAGTGGGAAAGGGGTATCCATGGTAGTTCCTCTCCAAAGCTCCCCTTACTCCCAGTCTGCCACACCATGCCTCCTGGTAATCCCTGGACTGAGTCTGGGCTGCTTCTATGTAACTAATAAAATGCGGAGGAAGCGTCTTTGCACAAGGTTCAAAACTGGGTTACAAGAAGCCTTGCAGCTCCTTCTCAGTCTCTTGGAATGCTTGCTCTGTGATAAACCAGCCAGCATCTACAGAGCCCGACTGCAGGGAGGCCACCATGCTGTGAGGAAGCCCAAGATAGTCATGTGGAGAGGCTGTGTGGAGAGCCAGCAAGTGAGTGAGAGAGAGAGAGAGAGCAAGAAGAGAGAGAAAGACACACACACACACACACACACACACACACACACACACACGACACGGGATGGGGGGAGGGAGAGAAAGAGAGAGAGTTACCGAGATACCGAGATACTGAGCCAGTTTCCACTGTTCTGGACTCGTGAATGAAGAGGCCACCCGGGATGTCCAGCTCAGTGGAGGCTTCTGATGACCCCAGCCCCAGCTGCCATCTGACTGCAACCACATGAGAAACCCCAAGCAAGAACCACCCTTCTGAGCCCAGTCAGCCACGGAATTGTGAGACAGGATAATGAATTGTTGTTTTCAGTTTTGGGGATGGTTCGTGATGCAGCAATAGATAACCAGAATAATATCTAAAGGAAACTGGGTCTCTCTCAGGAAGGAAGAAGCAGGAAATGGCTGCTGGGTAGGCTATCAATGGTGTGTCCCCTTTACCCTGTTGGGAGTGTGCACAGAACACCACGTTATCCTCAGAAGACATCTGATGAGCGTAGAGCCAAAGCAAGGCAAATGTCTGCAGGTGGGATCACTTTACATTGTCACAGTGGGATCCATTTTCCCCACCATATGAAGGAAACTAGTTATTGTCAGAAGAGACCATTGGGATGAAAAGTGTGTATCTTCGAAACCACTAAAGAAAAACTCACACTTTGGGAGGCCGAGGCGGGTGGATCATGAGGTCAGGAGATCAAGACCATCCTGGCTAACAAGGTGAAACCCTGTCTCTACTAAAAATACAAAAAATTAGCCGGGCGCGGTGGCGGGCGCCTGTAGTCCCAGCTACTCGGGAGGCTGAGGCAGGAGAATGGCGTGAACCCGGGAAGCGAAGCTTGCAGTGAGCCGAGATTGCACCACTGCAGTCCGCAGTCCGGCCTGGGCGACAGAGCGAGACTCCGTCTCAAAAAAAAAAAAAAGAAAAAAAGAAAGAAAAACTCAGTCTGTACCTTCTATAATAATAATTAGTAATGCCAGTAACAGCAGGTAACATTTATTGAATGTATACAGTGTGTGAGGCTAAATGCTTTACAATTGTTCTCTTCTCAGTTTTCACAACAGCATAGTCGTGTTGGTGCTATTGCTGGCTCTACTTCACAAAGACAATGTAGCCTGGGTTCTGGGTTCAAATTCTGATGCTAGCACTTATCACCTCTGATATCTTAGGCAAGTTGCTTAAACTCTGTGCCCCAGGATTAAATGAATTAATACTGACAACGGTGTCTTGCACACAGTAAGTGCTTTATAGGTATGGCCATTATTATTATTTCAGAGGAAGAAAGTGAGGCTCAGGGAGACAGGTAACTTGTCCAGGTGCACATGATGGGTAAGAGGTAGGCAGATTCCAACCCAGCCTGTGGACTCCATAGCCTGCAAGCTTACCAATCTGTGCCTTCCTTCTCCTGCCTCATAAAAAAGAGCCTGTGTGTTGACCTTGAACTTGTATCTCTCAGATCTCCTGCTGGGGGAAATACAATCACCTGACAGCCCTTGATGCTGTGCTCTAAATCCACCACCACATTCAAGCTGTGTCCACATTTCTTACCACTGCTCCCAACCAATGACGAAGCACAGCAGGGCTGCTAAGGCAGAATGACTCCTGTGACACGTGGGACTCCTCTGATGAACTTTGCCTCAAGGATGCTGCTATGGACCGAATGTTTGTGCCCCTGCCCCAAATTCATATCTTGAAGCCATAATCCCCAGTGTGATGGTATTTGGAAGTGGGACCTTTGGGAGGTGCTTAGGTCACAAGGGAAGAGCCCCCATGAATGGGATCAGCACCCATTCATGAGGTGAGGACCTTATAAAAGAGGCCCCAGAGAGCTGCCTTGCTCCTCCTACCATGTGAGGACACAGTGAGAAGTCTACTATCTGCAAACCAGGAAGAAGGTTCTCACCAGATACTGGATCTGCCAGCACCTTGACCTTGGACTTCCCAGGCTCCAGAACTGTGGAAAATACATTTCTGTTGTTTATAAGCCACCCAGTATATGGTATCTTATTATAGTAGACTGAACTGACTTAGACAGATGTCTATCAACCCTGCCCAAACTTTGTTAGAATGTGCGGCAGGCTGAGAGTCTTCCTACCTCACCTTCCTTCCCTCTCTCCTTCACCAGGGTCAGACCTGCATCATGGCCTGACAGCTCTCCCAGCCTCCTCCTGTAATCTCCCCATCTTCCTGCACAGACACTTCCTTCAATAAATCTCTCATGTCTAACCCTGCCCTAGAACGTACTTCTCTGAGAACCAGAGAGGTTTGGATGAAACCCAAGTAATAGAAGAAAGTGGGAATGAAAGGAGCTGCCACCAACACTGCTGTTGATGTTTTGGAGGTCCTGACCCTTGCCAAGTCCACTTGTCTTTCTCTCTAATCAAGTCATGTGCCTGGGTGGCTGTGTTTCTATCCCATGACTGAAGCTTTCCGGCCAAGAACTTTTTGGACCAGCCGTGGACACCTAACTGGGCCTAAATCCTCTCTTAAGGGAGAGTGAGGAGCCGGGCCTCTGGGTCTGGAGCAGTCAAGGGCTGAGTCAGCACCATGGCAAGACAAAGCCAAGGAGAACCAGGAATAGGCAGAGGACGCTGGGCAGAGAAAGAAACAGGTGAGCAGAAGGAAACGTCCAGAGAGGACCAGGGCCCAGAGAAGAGCCACCCTCTGCCTGACAACCTTGTTCCCAGCTCCATGTGGCTGAGGCCTGGCTAGCTAGACTCTTCATCAGTGCTCCTTTTTTTTTTTTTTTTTTTTTTTTTTTGAGGCAGAGTCTTGCTCTGTCGCCCAGGCTGGAATGCAATGGCACGATCTTGGCTCACCACAACCTCCGCCTTCCAGGGTCAAGTGATTCTCCTGCCTCGGCCTCCCGAGTAGCTGGGATTACAGGCATGTGCCACCACACCTGGCTAATTTTTATATTTTTAGTAGAGACAGGGTTTCACCATGTTGGCCAGGCTGGTCTCAAACTCCTGACCTCAAGTGATTCACCCGCCTCAGCCTCTCAAAATGCTGGGATTACAGCGTGAGCCACTCTGCCTGGCTGAGCTCTCCTTAGGGTTAGGTTACTCTGTCTCTGCTTGGAGCTAGTTTCTCTTCCCCATAAGCAGAAAGCCTTGACTGAAATGGAAATTTAGAATTTTAGAGCAGGAAGACCCCTTAGACATCATTTTATGGCAAAGACGCAAAAGCAGGACATTTCCACCCTCTCCTGCTGCCTTTACCAAGATCTGAGGACGGGAACTCCTGTGTGTCCTGGGAAGAGGCCCGAGAGCTGCTCCCCGAGTCCTAGGTGGGAGCGGGAGAAGGGCCCCTAGCAGGAGGAGGGCGGCCTTGCAGAGCCCTTCTCGGGTCCTGGTGGATGACACTGCAGTGTGAGGGATCCGCCCACCCTCTCTGCCACCCCTGGCGGTGGCCTCTCATGCCACAGCTGGGAGGGCAGGTCTCCTGCATCCAGGCCTAGGATGGAATCTTCTCCAATCCTCCCAACAATCTTGCCTCCCCATGGGATGTGATTTCACAGCTTCTCCAAGGTTGATGGGTGGGAATTTGCTTTACCTTTGGGTAACTAGAAAGCCCGTTTCTGTTAACTTTCCCAGAGTAAATAAAGTCAGCTCCAAAGAGGCCACCTCCAGAAACGGAAAGCTATTAGCAACCTTCTAAGCAGCTTTCCCGCTAAAAATTAAAAAGGAAAAACCTAAATCCCATTTGGGGTGAGCCCTTGTTTTACAGGTAGAAGTTATTATTTTTTTATTTTTCATTTTTATTTATTTATCTATTTATGAGACAGAGTCTCGCTCTGTTGCCTAGGCTGGAATGCAGTGGTGCGATCTCGGCTCACTGCAACCCCCATCTCCTGGGTTCAGGCAATTCTCATGCCTCAGCCTCCCGAGTAGCTAGGATTACAGGCACACACCACCACTCCCGGCTAATTTTTTTTTTGTATTTTTAGTAGAGATGGGGTTTCACCATGTTGGTCAGGCTGGTCTCGAACTCCTGACCTCAGGTAATCTGCCTACCTCGGCCTCTCAAAGTGCTGGGATTATAGGCGTGAGCGTGTGAGCCACTGCACCCGGCCAGTTTTTTTTTTTTTTTTTTTAACGAGTGAATATCTTACCTGAAAAATATTCGTAAATGTGGGTTTTATTCTAGTTGAGGTAGAAAAAAACACTGTACTTTGTCCTGATTTTTAGTGAGTGAAGTTCAAGGAGAAAAAGTAACAAGAGAATTCAGAGAATTTTGAAAATGATTGTTTTGAATGTTGAGTTTTTGAATTTGGGAAATAAGATAGCTGTTACCATGGCTTTATGTTAACAGCTAAAGAATCCAGCAAGGAGTAAATGATGGCCCTGCATCCCCAGGCACAGGGGAAATTTTTGGAACATGAAAATATGAGTTTTAGAAACATGATTCAACTGTCAAAACACGACAAATCAGCAATTCCAATTATGAAACTAAATGCCAGTATTCTGTTTGTTGGGCCACAGAGTGTATGTGACAAGAGTTATCCTTGTGATAAAAAGTTAAACCAGGCCGGGAGCCGTGGCTCACACTTGTAAACCCAGCACTTTGGGAGGCCGAGACGGGTGGATCACGTTAGGTCAGGAGTTTGAGACCAGCCTGACCAACAGGGTGAAACCCCGTCTCTACTAAAAATACAAAAATTAGCTGGGCGTGGTGGCGCATGCCTGTAATCCCAGCTACTTGAGAGGCTGAGGCAGGAGAATCGCTTGAACCCTGGAGGTAGAGGTTGCAGTGAGCCTAGATCGCGCCACTGCACTCCAGCCTGGGCAACAGAGCAAGACTCTGTCTCATAAATAGATAAATAAATAAATAAACTCCATCTCAAAAACAAAAAACCAAAAAAACATTAAACCAAAGAAAAACTTTGAGAGAATCTGTTGCTAGCTTACCTAAGTAACCTCTCCCTCTCCCTCTTCCTGCCATGTGAGTCCTGCGTAAAATCTTTATGGCTGGGTTCAAAGGCTTTTTCCCCCTGCATTTCAGATTTTTTGGTAGGATAAGGTCCTAGCAGGGACTCTAGAAGAAAGGTCAAAGATGATGAAGATATCAAAGCATCTCAGGATCTAGCCTTGTAGCTTTCCACAAGGGTTTACCACTTCACATTTCCACCCACATTGCAGAATGTGCACCCTAACCACAGCTTTACCAGTTTTGGTATTACAACGACAAGAAATTCTTGTTGGTTTGATAGATTGTGATAATATCTGACTGTTGTTTGAATTTGCATTTTATGGGTAAAATTGTGGATTTTCTCACATATTTGTTATTTTCTGTTTTTTTCTCTTGGGGTAATATCTGTCTAAATACTTTGCCCATTTTGTATAGGCAAAGAATAAAAAATTACCTGTGAGTTATTTGGGGGGAAAGCTAGCAAGATATAATATTTTTGGTATGAGTTTTCAGGATTTGTCTAAGAGACATTCTTTGCAAGGCAGACAGGAGGTGGGTGTGGATGGGGTCACTCAACTTTTGAGTGTTAGGAAGCCTCTTATAGGAAGTTATAAAAATTCGTCCCTTAGTACTTATGAAACATTGTGGTATCTGAGTGTTTCCATATGTTGGCATTTCCGTATTTTTGGATGAAAAGTTCTGCTAACTAAGGTATTATCATAGGGGTGGGTGGTCACTACTTGCCCAAGCTGAGACTTCTGTGGGAGGATAAGGCAGAATTATTTTAGAAGGTCAAGGAAAACCTTAGTAAGTCCTCAAGTAGAGCAGCTGTGCAGGGCAGGACGGCTTCTGAACAGCCACACCAAGCACAGTGTAATGACACCCTTGCATTCACTGGTCCAAAAATTATATTATACCTCGAGGTAGTGGTGCCCCTCCTGCAGGCCCCAAGTCATGCCTAATGGCTTGGCTAGTAACCTTTTATGTAATCTATTTCTCTGAGTTCTTGACCTACTCCCTTCTTTGAGTCAGGGCCCCTTTGAGACTTAATTCAACAAGTATTCATGGTGTGCTTATGATATCTCAGCTACTATTCTGGGTGATAAGCCTATATCAGTATCTCTGCCCTCAGTGAGCTTTCATTCTAAGGGGGAAGAAACAGATGATATTAAAAAAAAAAAAAAAAAAACAGACAAAAAACAAAACAAAACAAAAAAAACACACCGGCCAGGTGTGGTGGCTCATGCCTGTAATCCCAGCACTTTGGGAGACTGATGCAGGCAGATAACGAGGTCAAGAGATTGAGACCATTCTGGCCAACATGGTGAAACCCTGTCTCTACTAAAAATACAAAAATTAGCCGGATGTGGTGGAGGGGGCCTGTAATCCCGGCTACTCAGGAGGCTGAGGCAACAGAATCGCTTGAACTTGGGAGGCGGAAGTTGCAGTGAGCCGAGATTGTGCCATTGCACTCCAGCCTGGCGATACAGCGAGACTCTGTCTCAAAAAAACAAACAACAACAACAATGCCCGCCCCCCAAAAAAAAACATACGAAAGAAATAAATAGTCTGTGTTGGAAGGTGATGAGTTCTATGGAAAAAAGAAGCAGAGCCGGGTGACGGTAATGGGGAGTGGGTGGGGGTGCAGTTTCTGCATCAACAAGGTGGCCAAGATGGGCCCATTGAGAAGGTGCGATTTTAAGGCCAGGCGCGGTGGCTCACGCCTGTGATCCCAGCACTTTGGGAGGTTGAGGCGGGCAGATCACTTGAGGTCAGGAGTTTGAGACCAGCCTGGCCAACATGGTGAAACCCCGTCTCTGCTAAAAATACAAAACTTAGCCGAGCATGGTGGCACGTGCCTGTAGTCCCAGCTACTCGGGAGACTGAGGCATGAGGATCACTTGAACCCGGGAGGTGGAGGTTGCAGTGAGTTGAGATCATGCCACTGCACCCCAACCAACCTGAGTTACAGAGTGAGACTCTGTCTAAAAAAAAAAGGAAGAAGGTGAGATTTTAGCAAAGCTCTGAGGAGGTGAGGGAGTTGGCCATGAGGTCATCTGGGGGAGAACATCCCAGGCAGAGGGATCAGCTAGAGCAACAGCTCCTCCATAGTAGGTGCAACTGGGCCCCGCTGAGCTCCTCTGTAGCAGCGCTGGCACCCTCCCTCTGTTGTTGGGGTCGGGGGTGTTGTCCGCTAAAGCTTCACACCTGTCCCCCTCTCCAGAGGATAGCCCTTGGCTGACCTGACCTGCTTCCTGTCCTGGACATGCCTGGGAGGGGACCAATGCCTGACTGATGGGGGCAGGGACAAGTGTCCAATCCCCTTTCCCCTGAGAGGGACCATCTCTGGAAGTAATGTATGTTCCAGAGCTCCCCCTGGGATCAGGCTGAGACTAGACTTCTCCCAAAAGAATCTTTGCACAAAAACCCCAGGCTCAGGCTCTGCTTCCAGGGAACCAAGTCTAAGTCAGTCCTAAGGCCAGAGCTCGCCTGACATGTCCCCAAAACAGCAGGGGAGCCATCGTGGCTACAGCGTGTCTCCCCGGGCAGTGTGCACATACATACAACCGTGTGTACAGCTCTGCCTGAGCGCTGTGGAACCAGGTTCAGCAGCGTGGAATCTCCTGGGCCCCCACCTATGATTGGTAATCACACATGTTAACTTCCTGATAAAGCATCCATTTCTCCCCAAAAGAGAAAAGGGTTGGAAGGGCATCTTCTCAGATAGAACTTTCTGTCTTTAGTTAAGAAAAGCTGCCTATTTGCCTCTGTCCAAAGCTGCTTTCCTGGAAAATAAGTGGACCCATCTGCTATGGATTGAATTTTGGGTCCCCACCAAATTAATATTTTGTAGCCCCAGCTCCCATTATGATGGTATTTGGAGATCGGGCTTCTAGGAGGTAATTAAGGTTAAATGAAGCCATAAGGGTGGGTGGCTTTATAAGAAGAGGAAGAAAGGTGCCTGGGCTCGGTGGCTCACGCCTGTAATCCTAGCACTTTGGGAGGCCGAGGTGTGCGGATTACCTGAGGTCAGGAGTTCGAGACCAGCCTGGCCAACATGGCAAAACCCCATCGCTACTAAAAATACAAAAATTAGCCGGGTGTGGTGGCACACGTCTGTAATCCCAGCTACTCGGGAGGCTGAGGAAGGAGAATCGCTTGAACCCAGGAGGCAGAGGTTGTAGTGAGCCGAGATCGTGCCATTGCACTCCAGCTCGGGTGATGGGAACAAGACTCCATCTCAAAAAAAAAAAAAAAAAAAAAAAAAAAAAAAAAGAAGAGGAAGAAAGGGAAAGAGAAAGCAGAAATTTCTTTCCTGCTATCTCTGCCGTGTGAGGACACAGTGAGATGACAGGCGTTCATCAGCCTGGAAGGGAGGCCTTATCAGAAACTGAACTTGCTGGTACCTTGATCTTGGACTTCAGCCTCCAGAAACGTGAGAAATAAATTTCTGTTGTTTAAGCCACCCACTCTGTGGCTTTTTGTTGTGGCAGGCTGAATAGACTCATACATTACCAAAAGCACAAAAAGCAGTTTCGAAAATTCTAGAGTGAGGTTTGCGAAGATCACTTTTCTAATCCTGTTGGTAAATAGTCCTTGCAATGCCACCACCCAGCTCCAGGGAGGCCAGCGACAGAGGGTGTGAGAACCAGGCCCCAGATTACTTTTCTACTTTCATACCTAACCATAAGATGGAAGCATTGTCTGAAGACAGACTGAGGGAGAGTGTTCTCAGAATTTTAATCATTGCCTGTGTAGTTGCTGTTCTGCGAACACTGAGATCATCTCCTCTTGTATAGAAAATTAATACCAAGAGGTAATGTGTTGTCGTTTTTTTTAATGTAAAATGCTTAACCCATCTCTGCATATTCTGGCAATATAACCAAACTCTTGACAAGGAGTTGAAAAGAACAAGCTTAGAGACTGGAGACACAATTTTGGGGACTTGGTTCCCTACCTTTCTTTCTTCTTTCTTTCTTTCTTTCTTCTTCTTCTTTTTTTTTTTTTTTTTTGAGACAGAGTCTCTCTCTGTCTCCTAGCAGTTGCACAATCTCAGCTCACTGCGACCTCCGCCTCCCAGGTTCAAGCGATTCTCCTGCCTTAGCCTCCCAACTAGCTGAGACTACAGGCGCACACCACCACTCCTGGCTAATTTTTGTATTTTTGGTGGAGACAGGGTTTCACCATGTTGGCCAGGCTGGTTTCGAACTCGTGACCTCAGGTGATCCACCTGCTTCAGCCTCCCAAAGTGCTGGGATGACAGGCTTGAGCCACCAGGCCTGGCCTTTACCTTTCTTATATGACCTTTGCCAGTGCCCTGACCTCCCTGAACCTCAGTTTCTTCCTCTATAAAATACACATAGGCCCCACCCTATAGAGCAGTGAGGATCAAGTAGAGAACCCATGAGATAGTGCATTTTATCTTAGCCCAGAGGCATCCATCTCTTCAACCAGTACTAGCAATTCCTGAGATAGGTAACTTGCTGGATTGGAGTGGGTTTACCTTATTCCTGAGTAGATTGTCATGTGGCCTTAGCCCAAGAGAAGTCCAAGAGCTCAACAAAATTTCATAATCTTGGGTGCACACCTGTGTCTGCTCACAGGTAAGAGAATGGATGGGTACAAATAAGGAAGAAAGAGCCTCTGTAGGGAGAATGGGCTAGCCAGTGCTCAATTAGCTACATCAGCATGACCTGGGGCAGGGGGGGTAGTGTTCAAAATGTATGTTCCTAGGTTTTGCGAACTCCCCTGGCTCCTGTGTCCCCCAGCCACTGTATCAGATTCTTTATGAATGGTCCCAAGCCAGGCACTTTTTAAAATTTTATTTATAGAGACAGGGTCCCACTATGTTGCCCAGGCTGGCCTTGAACTCCTGAGCTCAAGCAATCCTCCCACCTCAGCCTTCCAAATTACAGGCGTGAACCACTGCACCTGGCCAAGGACCTGCATTTTTAAAACAGGCACCTCACATATTTCTTATGTACACCTAAGTTTGAGAAGCAAAGGTCTGGTAACTAGATTAGATTTTGCAGTCACTAACAGGTTACTATAAATTTTATACCCCTAAGTTATAAGTACATGTTTTGAATAGCCTGCTTGGAACACCTTGCAGCTAAAATTTATTCTCCGTAACAATCAGTTTTTTTTTTTTTTCTGGGACAGAGTCTCGCTCTGGCACCCAGGCTGGAGTGCAGTGGTGCCATCGCGTCTCACTGCAACCTCTGTCTCCTGGGTTCAAGCGATTCTCCTTCCTCAGCCTCCCGAGTAGCTGGGACTACAGGCATGCTCAACCATGCCTGGCTAATTTTTGTATTTTTAGTAGAGATGGGGTTTCACCATGTTGGCCAGGCTGGTCTCAAACTCCTGACCTCAAGTGATCCGCCCACCTCAGCCTCCCAAAGTGCTGGGATTACAGGTGTGAGTCACAGCCTCAATCAGTATTTTTATGCTACTTATTGACCAAAAAAAAAAAAAAAAAAAAAAAAAATTGCAAGCTAATTATATGCCACCTAGGATTAGTACTTACATTATGTAAAATATTCCTCCAGTCATACATTATCACTCTTATGTTCAATTAGGGTGATTTAAGAGGAACAATTGGAGACTCTTTTTACATTTATTCACTGAAAATCAAGTGAGTAACAAATTAGGAAAGACATGCAGTGGTCTTTAGAATCTGGGCATAATCAAAACTATTGAATTATGAGGTCTGAGTTTTGTTTTGCTGTGTGGGACCTGATGCCAAGATGCACAGCAAATTCAATGGAAACATGATGTATTTTGCAATGAACAAAGAGCAAAGGTTCCATTAAATTTAGCATTCTGACTTCATTAAAAATTTTTATTCCAGCACATAGAACATGCTGTGAAAAAGAAATCGCAGAATGACATAAAACAACCTCTTGTCATTTGAGAGTCTATATTTACAGTCATTTCTAAGTGTTTCCGCACCACTGGGACTGTGGGAAAGATTTTCCTTTTCATTATGCAACATTATGAACCAGAACCAAAAATTTAAGACAGCTAGTTTTAATATTTTTTGTTAACACCATATTGTTGAATGGTATCCTGCCAACGGCAAGAGAGAATGGGTAAAAAACCTGTTGTCCATATGCTGCAGGATGAATAATAATTTCACAAGTAGAAACAAGGAAAGAGTGAGCCTGAAAAACATGAAATCTATGAAATACAGTGTCTCAGGATGGCACTCAGTGACTGCAAGGAAACAGTGCTAAGATGGTACCAGACCAGCTGATCTTACAGGTGCCATCCTCATGGGTCTTCCAAGGTAGGATTCTCAGAGCCCAGTTACCTTGAGAAAGGCTCACCCGAGAACCCTCTGGGTACAAATAGTGAAAGCCACTATGTTTTCACCCAATTTTTATTTTTCATTTGCTACCTCCAGTTTTCCTAATGACTCCGATGTCTATGTATTAGCCTTCTTGCAAATGATTATCAGAGAAGGTAAGCTGCCTCAATGAATTCACGGCAAAATTGGGATTGGAACCCAGCTCTGGCTCTTAATCATTCCCCCACTTCATCTGTTACAGCACTTTGCCTCCTTTGAGTATGAATCCATGTGTCTAATGTTTTCAGTGGTGTTTCTCCAAATGTGATGGCCCAAACACCAGCATGAGAAGGACCTGGAGTGCTTGCTGAAATTCAGATTCCTAGGCATCACCCAGACCAACAGAATCAATCATCCTGGCAGGGCCCAGGAGTTTGCATTTTAACAAGTTCCCCAGGTGATTTTTATGCATAGCAAAGTTTGAGTATTATTATCTTTGAGGAATCGAGAGGAAGCATGAGATACAGTAGCTGCCCTTAATGCTTTTACAAATGAGTTGGAGAGAGCAGCCCCCACACATCAAAAGCAAAAACTTCCAGATACTTTTGCATCGTCTGCAGCAAATTGTGAAATCCCAGCCTGGCTTCCACCTGGTGCTCAGTGCACTTCTGAGCCATCCTGCTTTGTGAGCAGGTGGTATTTACTTGGGGAGTCAAACCCTCATATTAACATAAGTAAAACATAATTAGAAAAATCTGTTATAAAAACCATTCTGTTTTCCAAGCCAAATATAAATTACTTTGGGGTAAGTCATGCCAGGAATTCCACTTCATTAGCTCATGCAATTAAGAATTGGACTGTCATGCCAATTGCTGTCACTATTTTTCTTCATTGTTTGGGCATGCGGCCCCCCACCATCTTTTACTCCCAGTGTATGTAACAGTTTGAAAGAGCTGGCTGGGCGCAGGGGTTCACGCCTGTAATCGCAGCACTTTGGGAGGCTGAGGCGGGTGGATCACCTGAGGTCAGGAGTTTGAGACCAGCCTGAGCAACATGGTGAAACCTCGTCTCTACTAAAAATACAAAAATTAGCTGGGTGAGGTGGTACGCACCTATAATCCTAGCTACTCAGGAGGCTGAGACAGGAGAATCATTTGAACCTGGGAGGTGGATGTTGCAGTGAGCTGAGATCACGCCATTGCACTCCAGCCTGGCCAATGAGAGTGAAACTCTGTCTCAAAAAAAAAGAAAACAAAGAAGAAAGAGTTGCCATCAAAAGATGATCTTATTCATTTTTAAACAAGTTGTGCTGGGTACTCTCCATTTGCCCCTCTTCCTCCCTGTCCATTGTCTGTTCTTCTCACTGTGCTCTGGGCTGGAGGCTGAGCCCTGGAGGGCAATACCACCACCTGCCCTCTGGATTCTGGTTGGGTTTGACCAAAGGGAAGAATCAGCAGGGGACAAAAAGGCAGGAGAAAAGAGAGGTCAAAGTAACTTTAATCTACAACTTTCTAACCTCTCAGTTGTTCTTGGTTTCTTTTCTGACAGCAGCTTCTAGCAGGGGTCAGTCTCCTGGGGTCCGGCTACCACCACCTCAGGTAATGCCATACCCACCCCCCTTCAGATCTAAGGAAGGTGGTGGCTTCCTGCTGTTGCTAGTCCCTGACCGCCTCCACATCCCTGCTACTTCTCTTAACTCTGCCTGTACCTCTGTAAATGGACTCTTCATTAAGGTCTCTCTTAAGGGTGCCCTGTTTCCTGTACATTTAGGCACATCTCTTTATATTCATAGGTTATGTGCATATAAAAATATCTAGTCTATTCAAATTATGGGGTTAATTTGCAAATATAATTACTAAGTTAAAATGATTGGGTTTATTTTCAAACACATAGATGTGTTTATGTGTATACACACGCATACAGACACACACACACATGAAAAACGTTAGCATGGGAACCTACCTTCTCCCACCTTCCTAAGGAGGAGAGGCCTTGTTGGTTCATTTGAGGGAATCAATGGACAGGGACCATGGAGAAAAGAAAAAACGTATGAGTCTCAATGTCACTTTATAAACCTGGGAGGGTGTGAACTAGACCAGAAAGGAAAGTGAGGGAGAAGGGGTGCAGAGAGGAGAGTGGGGTGCCTGGGCTGCCCTGAAGTCCTTTGGGAGAAAAGTGGGTAATGAGGATTTTAGAGAAGCTTTCTCTAGATTGTACAGTATGATTTTCCTCTCATTACTGCCCATCAGGAAAACCTTCCGTTATGATCAACATTTCTCTTTAAGGCTGTGGGATTTTAAAACATACCTGCAAGGTCTTCGACATTTCACCCATCAAAAGGTGGAGTCTAATTCCCTCACCCTTGAATGTGGGCTTGCTTCAAGTAGAAAGCAGCAGAAATGATTCAGCACAACTTCAGAGGCTAGGTCATAAGAGGTGATATGGCTTCCAGCTGGTGCACTCTCTCATTTTCTCATTCTCTCTCTCTCTCATTTCTCTGTCTCTCTATCTCTCTCTGTCTCTCTCTCTCTCTCTCTCTCATTTCTCTCTCTCTCTCTCTCTCTCATTTCTCTTTCTATCTCTCTGTCTCTCTCTCTCTCTCATTTTTCTCTCTCTCTCTCTCTCCCCCCTGGCTCTTAGAACCCAGCCAAGGGTGTTGTGAAGAAGCCAGAGAGTCATCCAGGAAAACCATACATCAATGTCATTGGTGCTCCAGGCACAGCCCAGCTCAACTGAGGTCCCCAATGACGCCATCATTAACCACCAGACTTGGGAGTGAATGAAGCTTCAGATGGTTCCAGCCCCCAACTTTCAAGCACACCCAGTGATGCTGAGTGCAGCTGATACAAGCTGTCCCCAACAAGCCCTGCCCAAGTTACAGATTTGTGAGCAAAGTAAGTGTTGTCATTGTTTTAAGTTTTGGAGCTGTTTGTTATGCAGCAATAGGTGACTGGCACAAAGCTTTTACAATCAGCTTGGGTTTCTTAAACTAGCCTTAAAGGGGCCCGGTGTTAATCAGTGACAAGGAGATGATTTGGAAATGGTATTTTTTGTCCTCTTAGTGGCTTTCAGAAAAATCCATCTTAGTCTAACGTTTAAAAATAAAAATAAAAACAGCCAAGCGCAGTGGCTCATTCCTGTAATCCCAGTACTTTGAGAGGCCAAGACGGGCAGATTGCTTGAGGTCAGGAGTTCAAGACAAACCTGGGCAACATAGCAAGACCCTGTCTCTACGAAAACTACAAAAAACTCAGCCAAGTGTGTTGGCGTGAGTCTGTAGTCCCAGCTACTTGGGAGGCTAAAGTGGGAGGATCACTTGAGCCCAGAAGATGAGACTGTAGTGAGCTGTGATCACGCCACTGCCCTCCAGCCTGAGCAACAGAGTGAGACTCTGTCTCAAAAAAAAAAAAAAATCCTTCTTAGGGAGAGTTATATATATAATATTATGACAAGCACTGTGTAGGAGATGCTTAATAAATATATATTTTGGGTGAACACATAAGCCACTTGAGGTGGGGTGTGGGACTCCAGGAGGCACACTTGTATGACAGTAGCCATTGAGGGTGGGTTTGGATGCCTCCAAGGCTCTTGTTTGGCTTGGATGAGTGGACAAGTTTGGATCTGAGCTCATTTGCTCTGTTTAATAGAGAAGGGAGACAGAGATAGCTTGGTGGTATATCTATGTAGGAGGAAAGAAAAATGGGTTTGAAAGCTGGTAGTGGAATTTTTCAGAGAGAAAACTGTCTTTTTACAGCAGAGCATCTTAAGGGCCATGGCTGTTGTAAAGCAGTGGCACCTCCCCAGCACCAAAGCATGGCCAGGATGGGCTTTGAATAGACAGAAAGTCATGTTGCTCAAGAGGACAGGTAAGAAGATTGTGGAAAGTTCTTAAGAGAGAGGGGCAAATGCAAGGGGCAAGGTAGCGGGGGAGCTCAAATAAAGTAGATCAGAGAGAAATTTCTGATGGCCCGGTGACTGAAGAATTCTAAAAACAAAGATTTCTTTAGCTGGGTATGGTAGCATGCCTGTAGTCCTTGCTACTTGGGAGGCTGAGGGAGAAGAATCATTTGACCCCAGGAGTTTGAGGCTGCAGTGAGCTATGATCGCACAACTACCCTCCAGCCTGAGTGACAGTGAGACCCTGTCTTTATTATTATTATTATTATTTGCTTTGAGACAGGGTCTCACTGCCATCCAGACTGGGGGCAGTGGTGTGATCATAGCTCACTGCAACCTCGACCTCCCTGGGCTCAGGTGATCCTCCCAGCTCAGCCTCCTGAGTAGCTGGAACAACAAGCACGTGCCACCATGCTCAGCTAATTTTTTTTGTGTGGTTTTTGTAGAGACAGGGTTTTGCCATGTTGCCCAGGCTTCTCTTGAACTCCTGGGCTCAATTGATATGCCTGCTTTGGCCTCCCAAAGTGCTGGGATTACAGGTGTGAGCCACGGCACACAGCTGACTCTGTCTCTTAAAAAAAAAAGGAAAAGAAAAAGATTTCTAATTGTTGTTTGTACGTTGTTGACTGTGTGGTCTGTGATGAATCATCCATTGCCCCCCACTTTCAGTGAAGTCTGCCTTACACATAGCCTTTCGTTGGTGGTATTTTAGGGAGTAAAGGAATCAGGGCAGGGTCTAGCATGGGACAGAAAACGGTCAGACTAGAAATACGGATGTGAAACTAGAAGCTACTGAAAGACGCATAGCTCCCCCCAAAATCCCCTTTGAGTGGTTGCTCTAGAGATTTAAATATATATATCAGTCTATTTAGAGTTAATATTGTACCATTTTATGTAAAATGTATAAATCTTGGCTGGGCACGGTGGCTCACACTTATAATCCTAGCATTTTGGGAGGCTGAGGCGGGAGGATCACTTGAGGTCAGGAGTTCGAGATCAGCCTGGCCAACATGGTGAAACCCCATCTCTACTAGAAATACAAAAATTAGCTGGGCATGGTGATGCATGGCTGTAGTCCCAGCTACTGGGGAGGCTGAGGCAGGAGAATCACTTGAACCAGGGAGGTGGAGGTTGCAGTGAGCCAAGATCGTGCCACTGCACTCCAGGAGCCTGGGCGACAGAGCAAGACTCCATCTCAAAAACAAAAAAACAAAAAAACAACAAAAAATACGTGTAAATCTTGCAATCGTATAGCTCCATTTACCAGTCTCCCCGCTTCAATTGTCGTAAGTATTACATTGGTATCATTCTAAACTCTATAAGAAAATGTTATAATCATTTCTTCACACAGTTATATTTTAAAGAAATTAAGAAAATTAAGATAAAAAGTCTTTTATATTTACCCATGTATTTACCATTTTCAATCCTTTCCATTCCTTCCTGAAGATCTGAGTTTTCCCCTATTATCATATCCTATCAGCCTGAAGAAATTCCTTTAGGATTGTTTATAGTAGATCTGATAGCAACAAATTCTGTCAGTTTTCTTTAATCTGAAGATGTTTTCACTTCATTCTTAAGGAGATCATCACTGGTACTAGAATTCTGGGTTGACTTTTTAAAATGTCTATTTCTCTCTTGAGATTTATATCATTTTGCTTGTTTCAAGACTATTTTCTTGGCAGGGTGCGGTGGCTCACGCCTGTAATCCCAGCACTTTGGGAGGTCGAGGCAGGCGGATCATGAGGTCAGGAGATCGAGACCACGGTGAAACTCCGTCTCTACTAAAAATACAAAAAATTAGCCGGGCGTGATGGTGGGCGCCTGTAGTCCCAGCTATTGGGAAAGCTGAGACAGGAGAATGGCGTGAACCCGAGAGGCGGAGCTTGCAGTGAGCCAAGATTGCGCCACTGCACTCCAGCCTGGGTGACAGAGCGAGACTCCGTCTCAAAAAAAAAAAAAGAGTATTTTCTTTTATGCCCCTGAGTATAGTTATAGTAGCTGCTTCAACATCTTTGCTAATTCCAGCATCTGGAATGGGGTTGATCATGGCTGTTTGTTTTTTCTCTTGAGATGGGTCACGTTTTGTGGATTCTTGTTATGAAACAATTTTGAATGGTGTTTGGACATTAAGAAAGATTATGGATTTTCAGAATTCTATTGCATTCTTCTGAACATTATTGACTTATTAAGGGCAATTAATCTGGATCAACACAAATCGCAAATTCTGTCTTCTCTAAGATGTTAAATAATTTGTCCAGTCACAAAGTTAATAGATAACTAACTTCAGATAACTTATAGGTGAGACTTTGGCAGGAATTATTTACTTCTCTAAGTTTTCATCTAGGTTTAAAAATTTTGTGCTAAAAATGGGCACTCTCTCAGCTTCCACTGGGTTCTCGTTGATGTGAAGTCAGTACTTGCAGCCCTGTCTGCAGTCTGTGCTGTTTACTGTCATTGCTCCTTGCTTGCCTCAGGCTTGTATCTTATAGATCCTGAGTGGTAGTGGCTCATTTCAGCTGTGTCAACTTGATTAGATTGAAGGATGCAAAGTATTGTTCCTGGATGTGTCTGTGAGGGTGCTGCCAAAGGAGATTAGCATTTGAGTCAGTGGACTGAAGAGGTAGACCCACACTCACTGTGGGTGGGCACCAATTTAATCAACTGCCAGTACAGCTAGAATAAAGCAGGCAGAGGAGATGGGAGAAGGGGACTTGCTGAGTCTTCCAGTCTTCATCTTTCTCCCATGCTGGATGCTTCCTGCCCTCCAACATCAGACTCCACATTCTTTAGCCTTTGGACTCTTGGACATACACCAGTGGTTTGCCAGGGGCTCTTGGGCCTTCAGCCACAGACTGAAGGCTGCACTGTTGGCTTCCCTACTTTTCAAGTTTTGGGACTTGGACTGGCTTCCTTGTTTCTCCACTTGCAGACGGCTTATCGTGGGACTTCACCTTGTGATCTTGTGAGTCAGCTCTCCCTAATAAACTCCCCTTCATATATACATCTGTCCTATTAGGTCTTTTCCTCTAGAGAACCCTGACTAATGCAGCAGCCCTCCAACAGGGAATGGAGCCTTTTTCTACATCCTTAGATAGATAGAGCAGGGCTAGGGTTGCCAGATAAAATACAGGAAGTCCCGTCAAATTTGAATTTCAGATACAAACCTTGAATTTTCTTAGTATATTTTAGATATAATATTTGGGACTATACTTACACTAAAAATTATTGTTGCTTTGAAATTCAAACTTAACGAGGCATCTGATATTTTATTTTTTATTTTTAAAATTTGTTTTACTATTCATCTCATCAAGAAGCAAGGCATCTTAAATTTCTATTTGCTAAATCTTTGACAGTTGGGCCCTGAAGTATTATTGCTTGTGCTCCTGCTTGTGTCTGGCAAAGTTCATCCCAGAAGCTGCAGCAGCCCCTCTTCCCATGGGGCCCTGGGGGAGTGTTTGCCAGGCTCTTGTTCTGTGCCAAGCACCTGGGGACAGAGTGGAGAGGCCATGCCTTGCCATGGGCCTCGGTGGCCTCTCCTTTTCTTTTGTTACCCAACATAGCCTCTCACAAATACCCTCCCTCTTCCTTCAGCTATCGAAGTGCGGTGCCGCATCCCTATTACCTTCAATAGGGATGGTACCAGGTTCAAGAGTCTGAAGAAGAGATGCAGTGCCAGCAAATGGGACATAGGATTTACTGGGAACTTACATACAGGGATGGTCCATTTGGGCTCAAGACAGAGTGGCAGCAGGCAGACAGGAGAACTGCCACCACTTGCAAAAAGCATGCAGTTTATAGAACACCTTCACTTAGCAACTTCTACCTGGCAACCTTCCTTTAACCCAAAACAAAGGGCCTTCATGCTCTCTATGGACCACATTCCACAGGATGTGCTGGGGGCTCAGATGTTCCTCAGAGTTAAGGAATGAATCTTCAGATTGGCCATGCTGGAAACTCCAAACACACATTCAGGTGTGTCTGCCATGCAGGGTTGTTCTCACGGTATGCTTCAGTTATTGCTGTCAGGTGCAGCCACCATGCACAAGAGACATCATCAAGCAGATCAACTCTGGCTCATGGACTCCTCTCGGGCTCACCTACCACTTCATGGATTGTGTGACTCTCCATTTGGGCTCAAGACAGAGTGTCTGTCCTACTGAGGAGCCTGTGAATGTGTCTGCCCCGTGCCCCCACCCCACCACCCCTGGCCCCCTACTGCTCTAACTTCACCCTACTCACTCTCATTCATGTAACAGTGTACATGTAACTCTATTTTGCTGCTAACCCCTCACCCCTACTGCTATGGTATCTCTGCATATAGGCCAAGCTAACTATGGGAGAAATTTAGAGTTTAACCTTAAAGCAAGGATGATAAGAGCCACTTCCCAAAACTAGCCCCCAAAGAGATAAGGAGGGTGTGTACACAAGTAACAATATTATGTTAAAAATGTATAAGAGCACTGTGACCTGACCAGGGACAAAGAAGTTTACCCTTGCTGCCACTCAGTTGTCTGTAGTCATAGATCACCTTTTGATCTCAACCCCTCCCTCTCCCCTTTTTCCCTAATATAAAAGGATTCTGAAATTCATATTCGCTATAGATGTTACTTTCTTTTTTTTTTTTTTTCTTTGAGACAGAGTCTACCTCTGTTGCCCAAGCTGGAGGGCAGTGGCATGATCTTGGCTCACTGCAACTTCCACCTCCTAGGTTCAAGCAATTCTCGTGCCTCAGCCTCCCGAGTAGCTGGGGTTACAGGCGTGTGCCACCACGCCCGGCTAATTTTTGTATTTTTAGTAGAGACAGAGTTTCACCATGTTGGCCAGGCTTGTCTTGAACTCCCAACCTCCAGTAATCTGCCCACCTCAGCCTCCCAAATTGCTGGGATTACAGGCATGAGCCACTATGCCTGGCCCAAGATGGTTCTTTAGGGCATTAGTCCATTATCTTCTCTGTTTTGCTGGCTTTCTAAAATAGAGTCTTCTTCCTTGCCCCCATACCTTGTCTCTTGACTTACTGGCTGTTGTGTGGAGAACAGTACAAGCTTTGGCCTTGACTGCATTCCACCACACTCCAGCACACCAGTTCTTTCCCGTTTCTTGAACACACCAAGCTGTTTCTCCAGGCCTACACATCTCCTTCTGTCTGGAATGTTTTCTCCTCATTCTTTGACACTGGACCATCCCACATTACAGAACTCCCCCAAGTGAGGTGTCCCTCTTCAGCAATGACTCGCCGAGCACCCAGGAATGTCAACCCAAAGGCACAGAGTAGGCATCAGAGAGGCCAGGGGCCTGCAGGATGGCCGGGCAGTAGAACTCTGTCGGGTGTTGTGACCCATGTCATGCGCAGCAGTCTGCTCTCACCTGCCTGAAGGCTCTCTGGCCTTGGGAGTTGGCTTTGCTGCATAGGCCAGAAGAGCTAAGGTGTTAACGCCCCTCCCAGAGGCAGCCCTTCACTGTGACTCAGAGTTGGCCTGGTAGCACCCAACTTGCTCCTCTTTGGGTTTTTTAGAGACAGGTCTCCCTTTGTCACCCAGGCTGGAGTACAGTGGCACAATAATGTCTCACTACAAGCTTGAACTCCTGGGCTCAAGAGATCCTCCTTCCTCAGCTTCCCAAGTGGCTGGGATTACAGGTACACGCCACCACACCCAGCTAGTTTTTTTCTTTGTTTTTTTGTAGAGACGGGGTTTCACTATGTTGCCCAAGCTGGTCTTGAACTCTTGGCCTCACAGGATCCTCCTACCTCACCCTCCCAAATTGCTGGGATTACGGGCGTGAGCTACCATGCCTGGATCCTGCTTGCTCCTCTTTGCATGGGGTGACACAGGCATGTGTTCCCAACAGTGCCTGCAGGGTAAGCCCAGGTGGCCACAGTGGCTCCCTGCCCATAGAACGTTCTGAAGCAGCTATATTGTCTGGGGTAAATACCTGGGGTTCACTGTCTTGCCAGGAAAATTTAGGACATGGACACACACAAGGAGTTTAGGAGCGGAGGTTTAATAGATAAAAGAGAGACAGAAAGAGAAAGAAAAACAGCTCTCTCTCTAGTGAGAGAGATGGGACTTCCAAGAGGAAAAAGATAGGAGGCTGAGGCAGGAGAATGGCATGAACCCGGGAGGTGGAGTTTGCAGTGAGCCTAGATGGCACAGGTCACTGGGGGTATGATGGCTTAGCTTGGGCTCTGAGCCCTGACACTTAGGCAGATAGTGGGGATACGGAAGTCCCCGGTAAGGTTGTCCTTTTAATGAAGAGCAACCCCAAATTATTTTCCTTTCTAACAAAAAGCAGCCTGTAAAATCAAGCTGCAGACATAGACACCAGCTGTTGTGCCAATCATGTTCAAGATGGCAGCTCCATCTTCCCTTATCTCTGTCAGCCACGTGTACAGTAAGGAGCAGACAAGATGGCCGCCAGCCAAAGGGAAAGTTCATTGCATAATAAGATTAGGGTGGGGCAACCAGCGTTCCCCTTGCTATGTAAACGTCATACCTGATGGAACCAATCTGTGAGCCCTGTGTAAATCAGGAACTGCCTCCTCAAGCCTGACTATAAAGTCCGGTGCATCCCCCACTAGCCCATCTTTTTTTTTTTTTTTTTTTGAGATGGAGTCTCCCTCTGTCGCCCAGGCTGGAGTGCCGTGGTAATCCCATCAGTTTGCTGACTCCTTTTTTGGACTCAGCCCGCCTGCACCCAGGTGAAATAAACAGCCTTGTTGCTCACACAAAGCCTATTTGATGGTCTCTTCACACGGACATGTGAGACATTTGGTGCCCTCAAAATCACAAACTATGCTCAACTCACTCTCTACAGTTCTCATAACTTCCAAAATCTATTTTCTTCCTCACACCTGACACATACTTTCTGCTCCCCAGCTCCTTCAGCTATATTCACTCTTTGTTGAGTCTCCCACAATTACCATTGTTCCTGGCCCGGACTTCAATCTGGCCTTCCACGTTATTCCGGATACCACACCTGACCCCTATGACTGTATCTCTCTGATCCACCTGGCATTCATTCCATTTCCCCATATTTCCTTCTTTCCTGTTCCTCACTCTGATCACATTTGGTTTATTGATCACATTTGGTTTAGTCCATCAGGCCTAATCGCCACTCACTAGCAAAGGCAGGCTATGCTATAGAATCTTCCACATCTATCATTGAGGCTACCGCTCTGCCTCCCTCCACTACCTCTCAGGAAGCCGAACTCATTGCCTTAATTCGAGCCCTCACTCTTGCAAAGGGACTACACGTCAATATTTATACTGACCCCATATCCTGCACCACCATGATGTTTTATGGGCTGAAAAGTTTCCTCACCACACAAGGGTCCTCCATCATTAATGCCTCTTTAATAAAAACTCTTCTCAAGGCCGCTTTACTTCCAAAGGAAGCTGGAGTCATACACTGCAAGGGCCATCAAAAGGCATCAGATCCCATCGCTCAGGACAATGCTTATGCTGATAAGGTAGCTAAAAAAGCAGCTAGCTTTCAACTTCTATCCCTCACAGCAGTTTTTCTCCTTCTCATCTGGCCACTCCCACCTACTCCCCCACTGAAACTTCCACCTATCAATCTCTTCCCACACAAGGCAAATGGTTCTTGGACCAAGGAAAATATCTCCTTCCAGGCTTACAGGCCCATTCTATTCTATCGTCATTTCATAACCTCTTCCATGTAGGTTACAAGCCGCTAGCCCGCCTCTTAGAACCTCTCATTTCCTTTCCATCGTGGAAATCTATCCTCAAGAAAATAACTTCTCAATGTTCCACCTGCTATTCTACTACTCCTCAAGAATTTCTCAGGCCCCCTCTCTTCCCTACACCTCAAGCTCGGGGATTTGCCCCCGCTCAGGATTAGCAAATTGACTTTACTCACATGCCTCGAGTCAGGAAACTAAAATACCTCTTGGTCTGGGTAGACACTTTCACTGGGTGGGTAGAGGCCTTTCCCACAGGGTCTGAGAAGGCCACCGTGGTTATTTCTTCCCTTCTGTCAGACATAATTCCTCGGTTTGGCCTTCCCACCTCTATACAGTCAGATAATGGACCGGCCTTTACTAGTCAAATCACCTGAGCAGTTTCTCAGGCTCTTGGTATTCAGTGGCACCTGGTTTTACCTCAAACTGCCACCCTTAGGTCTCTCTTTAAGTGGATAGAAGATCTTCAGTGACAAAGTGCACTTCAATACTTTCACCCTGATGAAGTCCTATTCTTTGCTTTTATACTTACTCTTATTCTCGTTCCCGTTCTTATGCCACCCTCCACCTTTCCCCAGCTATCTCCACCACACTGTCAATCTCAGTCACTCTCTCCTAGCCGTTTCTAATCCTTCTTTAACAAACAGTTGCTGGCTTTGCATTTCTCTTTCCTCCAAAATCACTGAGGCCTTGATTTACTTACTGCTAAAAAAGAGGACTGTATATTTTTAAATGAAGAGTGTTGTTTTTACCTAAATCAATCTGGCCTGGTATATGACAACATAAAAAAACTCAAGGATAGAGCCCAAAAACTTGCCAACCAAGCAAACAATAACGTTGAACCCCCTTGGACACTCTCTAATTGGACATCCTGAGTCCTCCCAATTCTTAGTCCTTTCAACCTATCTTTCTCCTTCTTTTATTCGGACTTTGTGTCTTTCGTTTAGTTTCTCAATTCATACAAAACCGCATCCAGTCCAACCAATAATTCTATATGCCAAATGCTCCTTCTAACAACCCTACAATATCACCCCTTACCCCAAAATCTTTCTTCAGTTGAATCTCTCTCACTGTAGGTTCCCATGCCACCCCTAATCCCGCTCGAAGCAGCCCTGAGAAACATCGCCCATTATCTCTCCATACCACCCCCCAAAATTTTCGCCACCCCAACACTTTACCATTTTATTTTTCTTATTAATATAAGAAGACAGGAATGTCAGGCCTCTGAGCCCAAGCTAAGCCATCATATCCCCAGTGACCTGCACGTATACATCCAGATGGCCTGAATCAACTGAAGATCCACAGGAGTGAAAATAGCCTCAACTGATGACATTCCACCATTGGGATATTTTTCTGCCCCACCCTAACTGATCAATGTACTTTGTAATCTCCCCCACCCCTAACAAGGTTCTTCATCATTCTCCCCACCCTTAACAAGGTTCTTCATCATTCTCCCCACCCTTAACAAGGTTCTTCATCATTCTCCCCACCCTTAACAAGGTTCTTCATCATTCTCCCCACCCTTAACAAGGTTCTTCATCATTCTCCCCACCCTTAACAAGGTTCTTCATCATTCTCCCCACCCTTAACAAGGTTCTTCATCATTCTCCCCACCCTTAACAAGGTTCTTCATCATTCTCCCCCACCCTTAACAAGGTTCTTCATCATTCTCCCCACCCTTAACAAGGTTCTTCATCATTCTCCCCACACTTAACAAGGTTCTTCATCATTCTCCCCACCCTTAACAAGGTTCTTCGTCATTCTCCGCACCCTTGAGAATGTACTTTGTGAGATCCACCCCCTGCCCCCAAAACATTGCTCCAAACTCCACCGCCTATCCCAAAACCTCTAAGAACTAATGATAATCCTACCACCCTTTGCTGACTCCTTTTTCGGACTCAGCCCGCCTGCACCCAGGTGAAATAAACAGCCTTGTTGCTGGTCTCTTCACACGGACACATGAGACACTAAGTAATCTCTCTCTTTTTTTTTTAGATGGAGTCTCTCTGTCACCCAGGCTGGAGTGCAGTGGTGCGAACCTGGCTCACCACAACCTCTGCCTCCCAGATTCAGGCAATTCTCCTGCCTCAGCCTCTGCAGTATCTGGGACACAGGCATGTGCCACCACGCCTGGCTAATTTTTCTAATTTTAGTAGAGACGGGGTTTCACCATGTTGGTCAGGCTGGTCTCAAACTCCTGACCTCATGATCCTCCCACCTTGGCCTTCCAAAGTGCTGGGATTACAGGCGTGAGCCACCGTGTCCGGCAGTAATCTCTTCTGTATCAGTTCTTTATGGCTTCTTTCCCTTTCCTGCCTCAAATCCTCACTCCCTTGCTCCTGTAGTGTTTCCTGAGTTATCCCCAAATACTTTCCTTGCACTCAAATCTTTGACTCAGAGTCTGTTTCTGGGGAATCCAAACTAATAAGACAGGTGGAGATTTACAGATCCCCAAACCAGCCTTCCCAGCAGATCTCAATGTAGGATATGCCCAGAGAGGCCCAAATATGCGGAGGGTAAGGAGGGCGGACAAAGCAGTGAGGAGAAGCAGCAGAGCGGCCACTGTGGTGCAATCGATCAGGAGGGAGGAGGAAACTCTGGAGTTTGACAGGACACAGGATGCGGGGCCCTGGGCTGGCTCTGAGCTCACCAGGGGCTTCTATGTCCTGACAGTGGAGGCTTCCTCACTTCCATGCACCCTGGTGACAGACCCATCTCCTGAGTGTCAGGCCTCTGAGCCCAAGCTAAGCCATCGTATCCCCAGTGACCTGCATGTATACATCCAGATGACCTGAAGCAACTGAAGATCCACAGAAGTGAAAATAGCCTTAACTGATGACATTCCACCATTGTGATTTGTTACTGCCCCACCCTAACTGATCACTGTACTCTGTAATCTCCCCGACCCTTAAGAAGGTTCTTTGTAATTCTCCCCACCCTTGAGAATGTACTTTGTGAGATCCACCCTCTGCCTGCAAACCATTGCTCCAAACTCCACCACCTATCCCAAAACCTCTAAGAACTAATGATAATCCACCACCCTTTGCTGACTCCTTTTTCGGACTCAGCCCGCCTGCACCCAGGTGAAATAAATGGCCATGTTGCTAACACAAAGCCTGTTTGGTGGTCTTTTCACACGGACACGTGAAACACTGAGGTGACCTGCTGCATCTTCGCCCCTTGAAATGGAAGGAGCCTAACGGGCCCTGTGATCTTTCTTTGTTTTCTTTTCTTTTTTTTTTTTTTCTGAGACAGAGTCTCGCTCTGTTGCCCAGGCTGGAGTGCAGCGATGTGATCTCACTCACTGCAGCCTCCGCCTCCGGGGTTCAAGTGATTCTCCTCCCTCAGCCTCCCAAGTAGCTGGGATTACAGGTGCCCGCCACCATGCCCAGCTTATTTTCGTATTTTTTAGTAGAGACGGAGTTTCACCACGTTGGCCAGGCTGGTCACGATTTCCTGACCTCGTGATCCGCCTGCCTCAGCCTGCCAAAGTGCTGGGATTACAGGCGTGAGCCAACACGCCCAGCCGAGCCCTGTGATATTTCTCCAGATTTGTGCGGGGCACCTCCCTCCTGCTAGCTTCCTGCACGTGTGCATGCGTGCGTATTTGTGTGTGTTTGGTGTCAGAATTCGGATCTTCACCTTCTTCAGGAAGGAGGAGCCTTTTCTCAGAACTGCTCTGTGGCAGTTGTCCACTTCTGGGGGTGATTCTGCCATTCTCTCTGCCAGATGGTGACATTTGGGAATGTCTGGGGGTGGGTTCTAGCGTCTAGTGGGCAGAGGCCAGGGATGCCACTAAGCGGTGCACCAGCCAGCGCCACACCGAAGAATGACCCAGCCCCACATGTCAGTAGTGTCTCGGTCCAGAACCCCTGCCCTGTGGGGAGCAGTTCCGCATGGGTTAGTTCCTCCAGGAGTTAGCCTGCAAGATGGAGGCACACTTGTCCCAGGTCCCCCATTGCTTTGTGTGAGTCATCGGTGGTCGGACAGGATTCCGGTCCTGTAGACCGGATTGTAGAAGGCATCCGAGGATGGGGAATGAGTGATGGACCTCACCGGCACATGGGTGCTGGGACTGTGGCTGTGCTTGGTGGCTGTGCTGCTGCAGGTGCCGTGCCGCTCCTGGCAGGCACAGGGCCTTACTTCTCATGTCACAGGTGTCACAAATGGTGTGGCCTGCAGGAGTGACCTGGCCAAGGCCCTGCCGCTTGTCAGATCTGGGGCCAGGATCAGGCCCTGAGTCCAGAAACGAAGGAGTCACCTTGAGAAGGGCTTGTAAATGGTAAAAACTGTGGCCTTGTAGCTGTCGAGGCTGCGGTGGGAACACGGAGAATTACGTTGTCTTTGTGAGAGCATCATGTTGATAACAGTGACATGTATTGAGTGCTTACCTGCAGCCAGGGCTATTTACATTAGCATGCCTTTTAATCCTTACAAGGCCACCCGGGCGCGGTGGCTCACGCCTGTCATCCCAGCACTTTGGGAGGCTGAGGTGGGCGGATCACGAGGTCAGAAGATCGAGACCATCCTGGCTAACAAGGTGAAACCCCATCTCTACTAAAAATACAAAAATTAGCCGGGCGTGGTGGCGGGCACCTGTAGTCCCAGCTACTCGGGAGGCTGAGGCAGGAGAATGGCATGAACCCAGGAGGCGAAGCTTGAAGTGAGCCAAGATTGTGCCACTGCACTCCAGCCTGGGCAACCGAGTGAGACTCCGTCTCAAAATAAATAAATAAAATTAAATTAAAAAAATAAAAAAATAAATCCTTACAAGGCCTCCGTGAGGTTGATGTCATTATCATCTCCTTTTTACAGATGGAGAAACTGAAGTTAAGTACTTAGCCACGGTCATATGGCCTGCCAGTCAGTGGCAGGTGGCAGGGCTGGGGGCTGAACCCAAGTGTTCTGACCCCAGAGTCCAAGATCCTCAGCACCAGTCTGGTTATCATTCTGAATACTAACACTAAATCATGAAACATTTCCCAGCTAATCCCGAAAGGAAATTCATGGCCGGGGGCTTTTGTCTGCATACCCCTTACCACCTGGCACTGTAACTGCTGGCCTGTGCATCGGCCTCTTCTGGAAGCTGGGCATGTTGCCTTCTTCTGCACAATGGTCACAGCCTGGCACATTTTTGATGTGTTTAAGCAGTTTGGCTCCCAAGTCTGTGCTCTCAACTACTACCTAAACAGAGTGCTTTTTAAAAATAGCAGAAGCAGGACAAACCATTTCTGGGGATGTACTCTAAATAAGGCCTGGAAATTCAATTTATAGCCCGTGCACTAAAACAGGATTCCACATGATACAGAGGACAGCCTCTTCCGCCTGCACCTCCAGCCCTTCCTTCTTCCAAGGCCCTGCCAGGGCTGCGGGTTGGAGCGTTGCCACCTTTCAGCCACAGGAATTCGGCTCCTTCTGGAATCTAACTTTCACTTTTCTGCCTGCTCTGCAGGGCTTGGATGAAGGGGAGGCAAGGCAGGGATGGGTGGGGGGGATGTTTAAATCTGAGGTGGTGCAAGTTCAGGGTGAGCACTGGAGAGTGAGTGTCGGTTACCTTTTGCACCCCCGAGACTTGCTGGCCTTACCCTATTCTCGACCTTCCTAAATGCTAAGCAAGCACGTCATTGTGTGCTCCGGAGTCCCCAAGGCTCCCCATTCCCTGCAGAATGAGGCAGGACTGCAAGTCATTGACATGGTTAGGGAAGGAGGAAGAAAAAGCGGAAGGAGGGAGAGACAAGTGCAGGAGCCGAATCTCGCAGGGACAGGTGCGTCCAGAACCGCCGTGGGGCACAAAACTGCTTTGTGGTGACTGGACCTGCCTACATGTCCCTGGTGGCCAGAAACACTGCCCAGCACTGCCCCATGAAGTGTTCCTATGCGTCCGCTGGGTCTGCTCCCATTGGCTCAGGTCATCTGAGCAGCTGTGCTCTGTGTAGCTAGAGAATCCACCTGCACCTCTGGCTTCAAACTAGTCTTCCTGGCCTCAACTAACCTCGCCTCTCCTTGACCTCAACTAGCTCCTCCTTAGCCTCAAATAGCCCACCTGGCCTCATCTAGTTCCTCCTGGCCTCAGTTATCCATGCCTTAGCCTGATCTATCTCCCTGCTCTTCATGGCTTTTCACAGCCTTGACTTGCCCCCTGGATGGCCTGCCTTGTTTATGAATTTGTGCTCTTGCCTTTACCTCTGCTTTGGACGTTCCTGCATCCCCAAAGCTCTTCTATTTGCTTCTTTTCCGATGCTGTGCACGGTGCCCTCCCTCACTGCCTTGTCTCGAAGGATGAGGGAACGGGATAACACTCACTGAACCCCTACAGCAGGGCCAGGCGCCGAGCCAGGGGCTTTGCAGAGATGAGCTCAGTGAATCTTCGACAACCACACCAGGTAGCCTTCTTTCCATTGTACAGATGAGGAGATTGAGGCTCAGAAAAGCTAAGAAACCTGTGCAAGATTATAGTTTTAGGAAATAAAAGACATTTAAGCCCCATTCTATCTGTTCCCATAGTCCAGGATCCCTCCCACCCATGGCCTACCTCAATAGAAGCACTGACCCCCAAGGCCCAGTGCACGCCATCAACATGTGTGGCCAAGTGCATGGAGGAAGAGCATGAGCTGGGTATGCCTGCTGTGAGATTAGTCACTGGTAAGCCTAGTGGTTCGGTCTGCTGTGACCTGAGAGAGAACTCACCAGTGCAGGCCAGCCAGCCCGTCAGAAAATAACAAGAAACTAGATTGCCTATACCTAGACTCAACCTCCCAGTGCGTTCCCTGGGTGGTTCAGATTTCCCAAAATGGGACCTTCGTGGGTGGCAGTGTCTGTGGGGGTGAGAACACACATTTGCATTATAAAGGGTCTCTGTCAGAGTGAAGGCTGGGAGCTGAGTTTGCTGCCTTGCAGAAAGCTTCTGGGCCTTCCCATAGCTGGGTCTCCATGGAAATTTGTTTGCCAAGAGAAAGGAGCTATTTTAAGGACATGCAAAGATGAGAACCTGGTAGGCTGGAACCAGGGAAGGTAGCTGTGGGAGAGAGCTTTTCTGAATGACTCACTAATTTCTCTCCTATCCGGGTGGGGAAAATGGTGTGGAAAAAGAATGGAAATGCAGGAAGGAGGAGGAGCCCGT
Organism: Homo sapiens; assembly: GCF_000001405.40. NCBI lineage: Eukaryota > Metazoa > Chordata > Mammalia > Primates > Hominidae > Homo > Homo sapiens. The sequence goes on along the minus strand of NC_000002.12, from coordinate 233,209,646 downwards.
GGCTGACTCTGTCCCTGCAGGTGGCACTGGCTGCAGGCGCTGCCCTCCAGGCTGCGGGGGGGTGGGGGGGGGGCTGCGGTGGAGGCACTGGGAAGAGCGCTGCTAGAGACTGTCCATCATGAGGGTAACACCTTCCTGTCGGCACAAACTCTGCTGCTCTCAACCAGCCTTCATAGCATCAAGCAGAGAAGGAAAAAAATTACCTCTGAAAAGGAACAGTGACTGTAGCAGCATCTGCAATCTCAGGGGGCGGTGAAATTCATCCTAGGAATGGAGCACTTTGATGAGAGCTGGCTAATTGACCTGCCTTCTTGATTAGGGAGCCTGGTGTAGGTGAATTACTTGGAGGTGAATTATGTAGGTGATAAGGAGGTGGGGATGTCTGGGTTCCCCCTCTGCCAGAAGGGGGAACCTGGGTGTTTGGAATGCCTAGAATTGTCAGGAAAGGAGAGACAGGAGAGAGACCTGGTCAAGGTGGAACCCAGATGATCACGGCAGCAAAAAGCCTAGGGAGAAAGTGGTCCGGGACCTCTCGGGGTGGGTGCAGGGTAGAGAGATGGAAAAGGCAAGGATGAAAATTCTTGCATTCCACAGCGTTTCCTGTTCTGAGCACCAGGTGGGCCTCAGCTGTCCGACCACGTGCAATCAAAGCCAGGTCCTCACAGCAGCCCTGGGTTTGACTGTGGTGGGGGCACTGCATTTGCTTGAGTGACTGGAACCCAGAGCAGGTGACGGGGAGCATGATGTATGCCCCAAACAGTTGCTCTCCTACCCGTATCTCCTGGGAACCCACAGAAATGCTGGGGAGTGCCTAGACATCCATCCTAAGTGGGCATGGGGCCTTGGGCTTGACATTCTCCCTGTGGGTGAGCAGATGATGGCACTTGTGTAGCAGGCCAGCCCACCCCAGCAGCCAGTGGGTTCCCCAGGGACCATGGGCATCCATGCCTGGGTCCTCAGCTCTGGTGATGGGGGCTGGGAGACTAAAGAATGTCTGGGTGTCTCCAGCTCTCTCTCCACCGTGGCCCTTGGTCTGTTGAATCAGAGGCTGGGGCCTGGGACTTAGGTCAGGTTCTACACGGACACCAGGCAGTGAGCCTGCAGGGCGGGGACACCTGAGTGGGGGTAGGGAGCCATGGTCCCAGCAGGCACTCAGTCCTGCCCCTGCTGGGCTCCAGGTGCCACTGAGGCTTGGGAGTGAATGGTTTGCTTGGAGGCTGCCAAAGACACGGCTCCAGGCCCTGCCTGGAGCCCAGGCCTGGTGTCTGTGAGCAGAAGCAGAGGCCAGGCAGCCCAAGGTGGGGCAGAGGCGCCGTGGAAGTGGCCCGCACTGTGCCTCTGGGCGGGGGTCTACTCCCTGACCTGGGAACCCATGACCTGGGGAGTGTTGACGTGTTTTTTTTGTCACTGCAGCTTAAGTGGTGAAAACTTATAAAAGCTGGGAGGAACTTGTGGGCTGCAGGACAGCAGGTTTGGAGGGGATGCTCGTGGCCTCTGGGTGGCCGCAGGGTGCTTGGAGTGCCAGGAAGATGTGTGGGTGGAAGGAAGGAAGGGGTGCGGTTTACTCCTGTTCCTAGTCCAGGACCAGCTTCAAACTGGCTCTATGGTGTCCCATCTGGTCAGGGCAACACCATCCATCACCACCATGAACCCTTAACTGCCTCAGTTGTGCCCTGTGCAGGCCCTGCCATCTAGAAGGATATCTATGGCTCCGAATGTCAGGAAAAACGCCACACACACAGCTGAGTGAGAAAGGCACAATTTATTGGTTACGCAGACTTCCATCATGGGAATGTGGGGTGCATTCCCTTCTGCATTCACACACACCACTGGATTTAGCTCCCTACATTAATTCTGCTATGTTGAAAAAGCAACATAAGGAAAGACATCACCCATCTATTCTCCTAATAACCAAGGAAGCAGAGCTGAAAGCCACAGAGATAGGAAGAAAAGGCTGCACTATTTCAAGAGCCTGGAACCAAGAGGCCCACCCTCCCTGGCAGCCAGGCTGGAGAGCACGGCTTTCGGGAGCAACAGCAAAGACTCTTCTACCAGCACGATGGAATACATGTTGGGGGGCTTGGCTTAACTGTGGCTGGTGATGGCTGCCCACCTCGAGGAGGGCACAGGGAACCTGGCACAGGCCTTGGCATCTCTAGCCCAAGCTGAGGCCAGATCTCTCCACTGGAGAATAGGAGCTGATTTCCTGCTCCTTCCAACCAAAGAACTGAGAAGCCAGGTAGATCCCTGCTCTCAGCCTAGCCATGCCGGAACCCGCGGGACTTTAGCTAAAGCAGCTTGTGTCACTGAAGCTGGACAGAACAGGCTTCTTGTACCCTAAACAAGCTACCCAGACTCTTCAGCTCCTTAAGGCCGAGCCCTTGTCTCACTCCAGGAGGGCACTGGGCTTCTTAATGCTTTCACCCCTCCGAACACACACCGTTTTAAACTGGTGGGTTTGGGCACGTGGTTTTAGGTGGCTAGAGCCTCAGCTCTCGAGGTCATCCTGATATGACGAATGTTCGTAAAGCACTTAGCACAGCACTTGGCACATCATGAGTGTTCGATCCATGTGGCCATTATTATTATTAATATTATTATTATCTATATCTCCACCCTCAAATCGGCGCTGCAGTTCCTTTCTTCAGAATGGCGCCCTCAACGAGGCACTGGGGTCCCAAGTACCAAGAGCGAGCTGGGGACCCAGACTGTTTGTTGCCCGTCTGGTGTGCGTTTTTCTTCCAGCCTCAGCACTTGGTGCTAAGTCTCACAGGCAGTGAACTCTGTGGGCCACACAGAAGCTAGGCCCTTTCCTGAAAACACAAAGCCTTGCATAGGAAGCTGGGCAGGAGGAGCCAGCAGGAGGTCCCGGGAGAGGGTCCAGTGGCTTCACGCCGTTCCTCTGGGCTCCCGACTCAGTGGCAGCTCACTGAGGGCTTCACTGTGGGACAAGAACAGAAGGGCTGTCAGGGCTCATTCTCACCAGGCCATGTTGAACTAAGTGGCCCAGGTCCCTGCATGCTGTGGGCTAGGCCAGGCTTCCTTTAACGTGTAGCTGAGAAGAGCCAGCACTCACTGCTCTAAGTACTTTACCTGCTTATTTAAAAAAATTGTTTTTTAGAAATGGGGTCTTACTCTGTTGCCTAGTCTGGAGTGCAGTGGTGCAATCATAGCTCACTGCAGCCTTGAATTCTTGGGTTCCAGCTAGCCTCATGCCTCAGCCTCCCCAGTAGCTGGGACTACAGGTGCATGGCACCACACCCAGGTACGTACCATATATATATATAAAATATATACACATATGTAATATGTATAGTATATATATATGAAATGATATGTAATGGATATCAATGTAAATACATAAATATAAATATATAATTTCTATATAGATGATAATACATGGTAATAATACATAATAGCCTACAATGCAATTCTCCTTCTAAGTCTATGAGGTAGGTACTATTAACAGCCCCTTTTTACAGATGGGTAAACTGAGGCTCAAGGCACAGAGCCAGGAGGTGGGAGGGCTGGGATTCAAATCCAACATAGCCTGACTGTTCTCTTTTTTGAGATGGAGTCTCACTCTGTCGCCCAGGCTGGAGTGCAGTGTTGCGATCTCGGTTCACTGCAACCTCCGCCTCCTGGGTTCAAGCAATTCTCCTGTCTCAGCCTCCCGAGTAGTTGGGATTACAGGTGCACACCACAATGCCCAGCTAATTTTTGTATTTTTAATAGAGACAGGGTTTCACCATATTGGTTAGGCTGGTCTTGAACTCCTGACCTCAGGTGATCCATCCACCTCGGCCTCCCAAAATGCTGGGATTACAGTCATGAGCCACCACGCCCGGCCTGGAGTCTGTTCTTAATCACTGTTAGTTTTGCTCAAAAAATTTTTTATTTTACATGAAGGAGAGGGAAAGTGTGCTGAATTCTCCAAAATATTGGGAAATTTTCAAGTATGAATGCGACTTAATAATAACAATGAGGCTGGGTGCAGTGGCTCATGCCTGTAATCCCAGAACTTTGGGAGGCCCAGGCAGGCAGATCACCTGAGGTCAGGAGTTCGAGACCAGCCTGGCCAACATGGTGAAATCCCATCTCTACTAAAAATACAAAAATTAGCCAGGCATGGTGGCAGGTGCCTGTAATCCCAGCCACTCGGGAGGCTGAGACAGGAGAATCGCTTGAACCCAGGAGGCGCAGGTTGCAGTGAGCCGAGATCACACCACTGGACTCTAGCCTGGGCAACAAAGAGTGAAACTCCGTTGTTGTTGTTTTTTAATTTTTTTTTTTTTTTTTTTTTGAGACGGAGTCTTGCTTTGTCACCAGGCTGGAGTGCAGTGGCGCAATCTCGGCTCACCACAACCTCTGCCTCCCAGGTTCAAGCGATTCCCCTGCCTCAGCCTCCCAAGCAGCTGGGACTACAGGCGTGCGCCACCATGCCCGGGTAATTTTTTGTATTTTAGTAGAGACGGGGTTTCACCATGTTGGCCAGGATGGTCTCGATCTCCTGACCTCGTGATCCACTGTGCCTGGCGAAACTCAGTTGCAAAACAAATTTATAATAACAATGAGATATAAATGATTTAGGCTCCTTTTCTTTATGGAATCTTCTTCCTCTGGGACTGACACTAGACTAAGTTTATCCACAGCCCCGCCTTTCTTCCTTTTAACAACTGCTGCAGAGGCAATGCAGGGTCAGGGATGTGTGGGACAGGCAGACCTGGGTTCAAATCCTGACTCTCCCTTCTCATGGAGCAGTTCCCAGGACCATCACTCGCATGTGTGCACATGCATGCGTTCACACATGCACGCACATATGCATGCGTGCACACACACATGCACACACATATGCATAGGTACACACATACGCACTCACGCATGCACACACACACAAATGCACACGAACCCACGTGTGGCGCAGCGCACCTGCATGGCAGTCCTGCCTAGAGGCCCTGGTGGCCCCTCCTCCGGCCGGTGCTTGCCGTGATGCGGGAGCTCGGTGTTGTCGCGGTAGTCGCGGCCCTTGGAGTGCTGGAGGTGCAGCACCGCCGGGCTCTTGACTGGCAGCGGCGGCCGCGGCGTCGGGGTGGGCGGGGTCTGCTGGTTGATTTCCGATCTGGAAGGCTTGATGGGCCTCTTGGCCGGCACCGGGGCCTGGGAGCTGACCGGGGTCTTGGGCTTCCCTTGGCTCTTGTCCCCGCCGGCCGCCCTGCCCTCGGCAGAGGATGAGCACGTGAAGGAGCGCAGCCGGGGCGCGGGCACCTGCTTGCCGGGCCCCTCGCCGCGATCAGCCTCCTGGGCTTTGGTGAGCACGATGCTGGGCGACAAGATGCCGGGTTCCGGGCAGGGCGGGGGTTCCTTCCGCGGCATTTTGGGGGATTCCTGGTCCTTCCTGGGAGCAGGCTTAGGGAAGGAACTCAGGGACCCATACAGGGGGTTCTCAAACATCTCGGGCTTCGTCAGCGGCAGGTCCTCCTGAGGCAGCGTGTCCCCTGCGTTCTTCCCCAGGTCACTGGGCCTAGAGCCAGGGACAGAGCAGGGAAGACACATGTCCAGGGGAGAAGACATGGGAGCATGGCTGCTTAATGGCTCTGGGTCTTTCTTTGGGGTGATACAAATGTTTCTGAACTAGATAGAGACATGTAACATTGCAAATTTACTGAATGGCACCAAATTGTTTTGTCTTGTTTTGTTTTAGAGACAGAGTCTCGCTCTGTCACCCAGGCTGGAGTGCAGTGGTGCGGTCATGGCTCACTGCTGCCTCAACCTCTTGGGCTCAAGCAGTCCTTCCCCTCAGCCTCCCAAGTAGCTGAGACTACTTGGGAGTAGCTGGGAGTAGCTAGGAGTAGCTGGACATTGCTGGGAGTAGCAATGCCTCCAGGCCTGGCTAATTTTTTAGTTTTGTTTTATTCTGTAGAGATGGGGAGTCTCACTATATTGCCCAGGCTGGTCTTGAACTCTTCGCTTCAAGCAGTCCTCTCACTTTGGCCTCCCAAAGTGCTGGGATTATGGGCATAAGCCACTGTGCCCAGCCTAGCAAACTGTTCATTTTGAAATGGTTAATTTTATGTTAAGTGAATTTCACCTCAAGTGAAAAAAAGGAAGAGGAAACAGTACTGTGTTCATCATACGTTGTCCTCAAAGACAGCCTCAGTTCTGGCCTGGGACCTTTTCCACTATAAAACCTGTTCACATCAGAGCATCTGTGAGCAAGGGGCATGGCACTGGAGGATTTGTGGGAGAAATGAAGTGAGAACTTACATGGCACCTCAGTATCAACCCCTCATCCTCATCAGATGAGCCTGCTCTCCACAGCCCCTTCCCACCTCCCCAGTCAACAGGCCTCCTTTCCCGGTTCCTCCCATCCCCACCCCGCAGCCTCTCCTCTGACTCCAGCAATTCTGCTCCGACCCAGCATTTGCATGACCGCTCAGGAAGGCGATCACACCTCCTCCTCAGGAACCACTTGTGCTACTTGAGGGTGAAAGCTCAAGAGGCTCCATCTACCAAACTCATGTGTGAGACACTTTCCCAGGCACAGCAACACAGCCACAAACAAGGACAGAATCTGAGCTCAGGGGGCCCGACATCCCGGTTAACACAGTGTCCTTCCCAGCCACATGAAGTCCTCTCCCTGGAAGCCTCTCCTAACTCACAGTGGAAGGAACACGTGGTGGCTGTGGTGCAAGTCAGAGGGAACTTGGACACTTGCGAGTACTGGGGAAGCCAAGGCCAGTAGCTAGAAGAAAGGCCCACTCAACTCATGGGCAGGGGAAGCTCCTGTGTTGTGACCCAAAGTAGGCAAGTGCTGCCTTTGCTTGTTTGTGTTCTGATTTATCACTGCTCTGACTGGAGGTGATTTCCTGCTGAGCAAACTATGAGAACGAGAAATGGGAACACATTTTACTTCCTGACTAGCAGCAGAATCTCCCAGGGGAGTGTTCTGGGTTCTGCTTTCTACAGAAAAGGAAGCTATCGTGAAGAAATTGTGGATCGCTGGGAACCCACTGAGCTGTTGAGGCTGTTGCGCCTGTTACTGATGGGATGTGCACTGAGAAGCTGCTCACAGGCACTCAACAGTGACTCTGGGGAGCAGGTGTGGGCTCAGGGGACAAAGGCGGGATGTCGTCCTCACACAGGTGCCGGTGAGAAGCCATGGAGCTCCAGGGAGGCTGGCCTCCGGGACACACCAAAGGGAGCCTGACTGTGCACCTGGGGGTGTTGCCCATTAATTTTTGGAAACACCTTAGAGCAGGTGCATACATAGAAATGCTGGGGCCTCAAACAAGGACTTTGGAAAGGGCCCCCTCCATGTTCAGCCCTCTTCTGACCCCCGTGTGGACCCTCAAAGGCCGTTGCTGTGAGTTAGCCAAGGGAAGAGGGCACAGGAGGGTGCAACTGGCATGGTCACAAGTTTTCAGATGAAGGAGCAAGAAGTCCTGACCTCTGACCACCCTCTCTCAGGGGCTGAGATGGGAGGAGGGGGCTGACTTCAGAGAACTGGGGGCAGGACCAGGAAGAGCCCTGGGTGCAAGCCCTTTTGTGATTCTAAAGCTCACTCCTCTGGGAAAAGAGCAGTGAGATAGAGACCAGGGAAGCCTTCCCTCTAAGAGGAGGCTTCTGTTGCACTTAGAGAGGGGAAGCTTGGTGGGGCGGGCGGGGAAGACTGGGGAAAACCATGAAAAACTCAAAAGTAAGTCTTATTCCCCTGACCAAAGGTAACAAGAAATTGACTCCTATAGCAGGCCACAGTTGTTGAATAAGGGAACCGATATCTAGGGGACGAGTTGATTCCTGCAGCAAATGACTGTACTTCTCAGATTCAGGAGACGAGTCTCATCTCCAAAGCAGCTAAGCACTGGCCAGGGGCTGAGAAGAGTCCCCTTCCTAATTGCACAGCTTCGATCTGGGGTCACCAGTTGTCCTTGCTTACGCAGGACTGAAGGGTTTCCTGAGATGTGGGACTTTCAGTGCTAAAACTGGGACAGTACTTGGCAAACCGGGAAGGTCAGTCCCTGCACTTGGGTCTGGGTGATGGTGGGGAAACACTGATGGTGCTTGGAACACCCCCTTCCACAGCCTTTGCTCTGGCTGAGCCTGGGACCTGGAGCAGCGGAAAGGGATGAGGCAGGTGTGCGAGCTGCAGGGCTCCAGGCTCCAAGCGCCTCCTTGGTGAGCAGTGAGTTAGAAGCGTACCCTGGGGGCCCCTTGCCCGTGGATGGCAGCCTGTCTGCAGCTGTCACCATGGGGCTGTGGGGAGCATGCTCCCACCAAGCTGTGTGCTCGTTGTTATGCACCAAGATCCATTCGCTTTGGGAGCTGAAAAGCATTCACTTACACAAATAATCATGCTCCTTTTTCTTTCTGGTTGCTTAGAGCTCCATTTCCTGGGGTCTCCAAAGAGGTGGCCACACAGGCACCTTGATACCCACTGAATAGTGCCTTTTGTCCTCATATTTCCAGGGCAGGAAACTGAGGCTGTTTCTCCTCCCTCCAAGTTTCTTAGGGAATGACCAGGGTCTGACACCCTATCAACAAACTCTGTACAGAGGCAGAGAGAGAGACAGCTGAGCTGAGCTTCAGGGCTATCCTGTCCTGTCCTTTTCTCTCTCTCTTCCTGACTTCCTCTCATCTATTTATTTATTTATTTATTTATTTATTTATTTATTTATTTATTTATTTTGAGATGGAGTCTTGCTCTGTCACCCAGGCTAAAGTGCAGTGGCATGACCTCAGCTCACTGCAACCTCCGCCTCCCGGGTTCAAGCGATTCTCGTGTCTCAGAGACTCCTGAGTAGCTGGGATTACAGGTGTGGGCCACTACGCCTGGCTGATTTTTGTATTTTTAGTAGAGATGGGGTTTCACCGTGTTGGTCAGGCTGGTCTCAAACTCCTGACCTCAAGTGATCTGCCCACCTTGGCTTCCCAAAGTGCTGGGATTACAGGCGTGAGCCACCGCGCCTGGCCTATCCGTTTCTTAGAGCATATCTCGCATATTTTGAGAAATGAGACTGTCAACAGCTTCTCCATCCAGAGGAAGACCCTGCCAGGTCAGGCCTGGGAAGGGTGGAACTGGAGGGAGCTGGAGGACAGTGTGATGGAGAACACACCGCTGCTGGCTCTGCCCCATGTGGCGGACAGCACGCAAGTCCTCATGGAAAAAGGATGAAGAAAAAACCAGTGTTAGAGGAAGAGAGGCTGAGAGTGAACCCCTGAGGTTATGATAAGCCAGCAAAGAGCCTCAAGGGAAGACAGTGCTCAAGCTATCTTGCCCATCTTAAATCGTTGGTAATTGGGCCTGCACTTTCACGTCTGTCTGTCATCCTGTGGCTACTAGAAACATGTAGAGCTCCCCACTTGTGTATCCACGAGGTACCCATGGTTGGCTCTGCTCTGTTCCAGCAGCACCAGAGAGCGTCTGTGCCTTTGGGAAGTGCTGACCCTGTTCCTCGGCTGCGTAGCCCGGTCTCCTATCTGGCTTCCATTCTTCTGCCTGAACCAGTTCTAGACTCAGATCAGTTTTCTCCACCGTCCGGGGCTTCCCCAGAGTTTCAGGGCCGGGCCTCCTCTCTCTGCAGGCTGGCTGCCCTGCCTTTTACATCCCTAGTTCCAGTTTCTAACTAAGTGTCCCCTACAGGAGAGACTAGGAAGCTGCTTATAGAATGGGGAACCTCATGGTCGAGAAAAAAGAGGGGAACTGGAGGGTGCGAGCAGGCTCTACATGGAAACTCCCACCCTGTTCCACAGGGCCCTCTAGGGAGCGGGAGATGCCCAAAGGTTAACTAGCTCTAGAAACATTTTTTTTCTTTTCTTTTGAGATGGAGTCTCGCTTTGTCGCCCAGGCTGGAGTGCAGTGGTGTGATCTCAGCTCACTGCAACCTCTGCGTCCCGGGTTCAAGTGATTCTCCTGCCTCAGCCTCCCGAGTAGCTGGGACTACAGGTGCGTGCCAGCACATCTAGCTAATTTTTTGTATTTTTAGTAGAGATGGGGTTTTACTATGTTAGCCAGGATGGTCTTGATCTCCTGACCTCGAGATCTGTCTGCCTCGGCCTCCCAAAGTGTTGGGATTACAGGCGTGAACCACCGCACCTGGCCATTTTTTTTTTTGAGACGGAGTCTCACTCTGTCACCCAGGCTGGAGTGCACTGGTGCAATCTTGGCTCACTGCAACCTCTGCCTCCTAGGTTCAAGCGATTCTCCTGCCTCAGCCTCTTGAGTAGCTGGGATTACAGGCGTGCACCACCACACCTGGCATTTTTATGGAGTCTCGTTCTGTCGCCCAGGCTGGGGTGCAGTGGTGCAATCTTGGCTCACTGCAACCTCTGCCTCCTGGGTTCAAGCGATTCTCCTGCCTCAGCCTCTTGAGTAGCTGGGATTACAGGCATGCACCACCACACCTGGCATTTTTATGGAGTCTCGTTCTGTTGCCCAGGCTGGAGTGCAGTGGTGCAATCTTGGCTCACTGCAACCTCTGCCTCCTGGGCTCAAGCGATTCTCCTGCCTCAGCTAGGATTACAGGTGTGAGCCACCATGCCTGGCTAATTTTTGTATTTTCAGTAGAGACGGGGTTTCACCACGTTGGCCAGGCTGGACTCGAACTCTTAACCTCAAGTGATCCACCCACCTCAGCCTCCCAAAGTGCTGGGATTACAGGCGTGAGCCACCGTGCCCGGCCGAAATTTGTTGTTTTTTGAGACGGAGTTTCAGTCTTGTTGCCCAGGCTGGAGTGCAGTGGCGCAATCTCGGCGCACCGCAACCTCCACCTCCTGGGTTCAAGCAATTCTCCTGCCTCAGCCTCCTGAGTAGCTGGGATTACAGGCATGCACCACCACCCCTGGCTAATTTTGTATTTTTAGTAGAGATGGGGTTTTTCCATGTTGGTCAGGCTGGTCTCGAACTCCCGATCTCAGGTGATCCACCCGCTTTGGCCTCCCAAAGTGCTGGGATTACAGGCGTGAGCCACCATGCCCGGCCCAAAACATGTTTTTTGATATGTATATAGTTTTTATAGGAGGTTCCTTTTCTTGGCAATATCTTTACAAATTTTTACCCTTTAAAAAGCAATCGAGTTGCACTAACAGGTTAGGACATGGAAGACTCCACATACATGTCAGGGGCCTGCTGTGTTCAGGCCCCAGGGATAAGTCATGAGCCAAGTGGACACAAATTGTGGCCCTTATGAGGCTTCCATTCTAGGGTGAAAGCCCAAAGCCCAGGGCGCTTTCATAAGGAGGGAGGGAGCCGTCTTAATGAAGAGGATGCTCACCTTGACTCCTGTGTCCTGGGAGGGAGACCCCGGTTTGCTGTTGAGGGTAAAAACTTCTTGGGTGATATGGGCGGCTGGCCGGGAGGTGTCGGAGGACTTTCTCCCCTGCAGGGCCCCAGCGGGGAGTCCTTGGGCGGCTGGTCGTAGCTCCAGGCTGTGGGCTGCTGGTCAGGGGACAAGGTCTGCTTCACGTGCAGGGGCATTGGTGGCCCAAAGGGCCCCACTCCCATGTAGTTGGGGTTGATGATTTCAGTGATGCTGGAGCCACTGCACGGAGGGGCCCTGCAGGGAGGACATGGAGTCACATCTCAGGGGTCCCTTCCCTTCTCGGGGTCAGCACCAGCCCAAGGAAAGTGTCCTCTGATAACCCTAGGGCTCTCTCGAGCTCTCCTCAACTCCTTCACCTCTTGGGCAGTGATCCATTCATTCATTCATCTATCCATGCAACACCGTGATTACTGAGGGCCTCGTAAGCACCTGGCCCCAGGCCGGGAGGAGGGAATATGGCTGTGAGTGAGGCAGCCATGGTCTCTGTTCTTATGGAACTCACTTTTGATGGGAGAGAAAAACAAGCTCAGTGACACAGAGACACGGTATTGATGTAGTGCTGAAGTCTGAGAATAACAAGGGGCAGAGATGGGGACTAGTGAAGTGTTGGGACCAACTGGGCATTGGGTGACCCCAGGAGGCCCCATCTGAGGAGGTGGTCTTTCATCTGAGATAAGAAGATAAGCAGATAAGAGAGAAAGAAGGGGAGACTGTTCTCGGCAGTGGCAAGAGTACATGCAAAGGCCTCCAGGTGAGAGGGGTTTGGCCTGTTCCTGGACGGTCCGAAGGCTGGTGAGCAGGTGCAGAGGATGGAATGAGAAGCTGGCAAGGCTGGCAGGGCAGAGAGATGGTGGGGGGGTAGCCTGGGTGGCAGGAAGGAGGGGATTTTCAGGGCAGACTCCAGCAGGGGTTCCTCTGGAACACATCAGCTCACACATTTGTGTGTGCAGCGTCAGCATAGAGACAGCCATGTGCATATTTAGAAAAATGAGTGTGAGGTCACAGAGATCAAGGTTGGAGCCTGGAATTGGGGGCAATCAGCTTAAAGCTATGGAGGGGATGGCCCAGACCCAGGCAAGGTGGCCCCAACAGACACACTGCACGCTGCCACTGTGTCAGGCACCGGCCTCCTGAGAACTGAGTTCTGAGCGTATAGGCTGTCAGGGACACTCCACAGCTCCCATGTGCTCTGCCAGCCTGGTTCCGAGCTGTACCTTGTTCCCATCCACCACTGCCTGCTTCAGAAATAAATGCTCGTTCTCATGCTAGTCAAAATGGAAAAGAATTTGTTTCCCTACACTGATCCTGATTCTGGAACACAGTAGACACTTCAGAGCCAGGATGCATTTGCTGATGGGATTATCATGGGAGGGAAAGAGGGAAAGGGGATGCTTGTGTGCCCACGGCTGTGAACATCGGAAGCTGGAAGTGGATCAGGGAATGTGCTAGAGATGAGAATTCCTGTGTACAGCGGGGGTGGCTGGGGTGAGGGCAAGGGTTGGTGGGGATGAGTTGTGGGGAAGGGAGGGAGGAGAGGAACAAGCTATGTCTGCTGCTGGCATGGTTCTGCCTCCTCGGCTGGTGAGCCGGCAAAGAGACCAGAACTTGATTCTGGATCTCGGAGACCACATCGGTGAGTTAGGGCAGCCCTGCTACCAAGGACGTCTGTATTCTGGTAATACAGACTTTAACATCTGTACTATTCTCAGTTCAGTCTCTGCCAAGAGCAACCAGTGTGCATTTTCCCCCAGTGATTTTTCTTGCTAGTGGATAGGGTGGGGTTTGGTGGCCACAGATCCCATGATTGCTGGTGTCCTCTGTCCCACAGGAGACACAGCCACCATTTGTAGACTTGGAATCTCTCCATTCTCTCCGCAGTCACTTCTTCATGCACTAGGCCGCAAGTTCCTAAGTCAGGGACTGCACTGAATTTGCCTTGATTTCTCTAGAACTGGACACATCACAGGGACTCAACAAATGTTAGCTGAGTCAAACTGAACTTTCCGTCACATTAGAATTTCCCCAGCTTTGTCACAGTCACATCAACCTCTCCAGCGGTCAACAGACTCGCAGAGGAGGCAGGAGAGCACCTCTCCTGGGCTGGAGCTTCTTTCTCCTGTGTCCTGGGTTTCTCTGTGCTTCAGTTCACCTTCTCACAGGCCCTGGGTTTGCAGAGCCATGCTAGTGTTTTGTTTTGTTTTTTTTGAGACAAGGTCTTACTCTGTCGCCTAAGCTGGAGTGCAGTGACACAATCACAGCTCACTGCAGCCTCAGCCTTTTGGGCTGAAGCAATCCTTCCATCTCAGCCTCCTAAGTAGTTAGGACTACTACACCCAGCTAAGTATTATTATTATTTTTGAGACAGAGTCTCGGTCTGTTGCCCAGGCTGGAGTACAGTGGTGAAATCTCGGCTCACTGCAATCTCTGCCTCCTGGGTTCGAGCAATTCTTGTGCCTCAGCCCTCCAGAGTAGCTGGGATTAGAGGCGTGTGCCACCACCACGCCCAGCTAATTTTTGTATTTTTAGTAGAGATGGGGTTTTACCATGTCGGCCAGCCTGGTCTCAAACTCCTGACCTCAAGCAATCCACCGGCCTTGGCCTCCCAAAGTGCTGCGATTACAGGCATGAACCACCACATTTTTTTTGTAGAGACAGGGTCTCGATATGTTGCTCAGGCTGGTCTCAAACTCCTAGGCTCAAATGATCCTCCAGCCTTGGCCTCCCAAAGTGCCGGGATTATGGGCGTGAACCATCGCACCCGGCCAAACCATGCTAATTTGTCATGAGTCCCTGATATCCACCCCCCCCAACACCCACCCCACGCCCACTTTACCTGCTAGTGACTTCCCACTGCTTCATGGGGTCGTGGCTGGTGAGGCTCTTCAGGGTCTTTGGCCCACTGGATTCATCACGCTCCGTCTTCACAAAGTCTGGAAGGAAAGGGACGGGAAAGAGCATGTGAGGGCCCAGCTTCCAGAGCTTAGGCGAGGGATGGCAAAGGGGTTTCCATTTGCAGGCTGAAGCTGCACAGTGAATAGTGAGTACCTGGAGAGGTGAGTTAAGCAAGATTCTGAGGCCTCCTAAGAGTTCAGTGATTGATTAGTTATGCCTGCAGTGGATCCACAGAGAGGAGAGTTGGGATCCAGAGTTGCCATTTCATGTGACATTTCCAACTTACTGGTCTCAGCAAGAAACAAAACAGGCAAGTATGTTTTGTCAGATTAAAATAAACAGGCCAGGTGTGGTGGCTCATGCCTGTAACCCCAGCACTTTGGGAGGCCGAGGCAGGTGTGTCACTTGAGGTCAGGAGTTCCAAACCAGTCTGGCCAACGTGGTGAAACACTGTCTCTACTAAAAATACAAAAATTAGCCAGTGGTGGGCACCTGTAATCCCAGCTACTCGGGAAGGTGGGGCAGGAGAATTGCTTGAACCTGGGAGGCGGAGGTTGCAGTGATCTGAGATTGTGCCACTGCACTCTAGCCTGGGCTACAGAGTAAGACTGTCTCCAAAAAAGAAAGAAAGAAAAAAAAAGGCTCGGTGCAGTGGTCACGTCTGTAATCCCAGCACTTCAGGAGGCGGAGACAGGTGGATCACTTGAGGTCAGGAGTTCCAGACTAGCCTAGTCAACGTGGTGAAACCCTGTCTCTACTAAAAATATAAAAATTAGCTGGGCATGGTGGTGGGTGCCTATAGTCCCAGCTACTCTGGAGGCTGAAGATGGAAAATCACTTGAACCCCAGAAGTGGAGGTTGCAGTGAGCTGAGATCGTGCCACTGCACTCCAGCCTGAGCCACAGAGTGAGACTCTGTCCCAAAAAAAAAAAAAAAAAAAAAAAAAAAGCAGTTTAGAAGGTACAGAAACCTGGGTGGGCACCATGAGGGCAGGGTTTAGGTACGTACGAGGGCCTGTTTGTATATGGGAGTGGGCACCATGTGGCCGTGTGGGCAAGCAGAGGTCGCCCAAGAAATTCTAAATCTCATCTGCAGCTGTAGCTGTGGCCTTCCCCGGACAGCCTGGAAGGAGCCATTTAACAAGACGTAGGTTCGCTTGGTACACTGGGTCCTTCTTTTAGTGGAGGTGCTAATGGGGGAATGACAAGGCCTAAAGGCTGACAGGTGAGGTTCGGGGCCCTAAAAAATCCACAGGGTCGGGGAGGGTGATCTGGGGGTGCTGGATGTTGGGTTCTGTTGGGACATTTTTGAGTTGAGTGAGGGTTGGGCCAGATTGTCTGAGATCTTTTCCAGTGCTGGATTTCTGCTCTGAGGCCGCAGCAGAGAGCATATTCGACAGCTTTGCTGAGAGAAAGCACGTTCCCGTCCCTAAGTGGGGGGCTGAAGAGGGCGCTGGGGAGGGGCTTGCTGCTTACCATAGAGCTTCTCCCTCGTCTTGCCCTGAGAGGTCTGCAGCTTGATCTCCCCCTGGAAGTGGCCTGTCAACTCCCCATGGTGGGTGAGAGGCGTGTAGATGGGCAGCTGCGTTTCTGTGGCCTCTAACCGAAGGGCAATGCAGCCCTCGCCTGCAGGGAAAGTGGGAGACAGCTGGGTGAAGACCCTGCCTTTTCATGGCAGAAACACCAAACTCTTGGCCGGAGAGTTGGTCCTTTGAAACTATAGCCCAGGCAAGGGTTATTTAATAAATCCGTCAGAACAACACCACAGTACTTTGGGGGCAAATGTCTCAAGTCTTAGAACAAAACGTGGATTAGTTGATGTAAAAAAAATTATATTGTAGAAAATGCAGCAGAAAGACAGAATTAAACACTCATCTGATCGCTGTAGGGAATGAAAACTTCCCAAGATTTGATGCAGCATAAGACATGACAGAACAAAATTGGCGGGCAAGAGGACATGCAAGTTTAAAACTTGCACAGAGAAAAAACCTAAAATAAAAAGGAAACGGATTGGGAACAGTATCTGCAGCTAGCTCCCCAGGCAAGAGGGTACCCTCTCCAGCAGATGCATGAACAGATAATACAGACAGACGTTTCACACAAAAAGAATTGCAGCTGGTTAATTTTAATAAATGGAAAATAGTTCCACTTTCCTAGCCATCAAAAATGCAAACTAAGGAATCATTAAGTTGCTCTTTCACAGACATGAAGTTAGCATAGATAGGAAGCGAGAAAAATAACACCCAATGCACCGGGTGTGGTGGCTCACGCCTGTAATCCCAGCACTTTGGGAGGCCGAGGCGGGCTGATCACTTGAGGTCAGGAGTTCAAGACCAGCCTGGCCAACATGTTGAAACCCCCTCTCTACGAAAAATTACAAAAATTAGCCAGGGGTGGTGGTGCATGCCTGTAATCACAGCTACTCAGGATGCTGAGGCAGGAGAATCTCTTGAATCTGGGAAGCGGAGGTTGCAGCGAGCCAAGATCGTGCCACTGCACTCTGGCCTCCAAAAACAAAAAACAAAACCACCCAATGCCAGCAAGGATCTGGGGAAGCCTATCCGTGGTGAGGTCAGCTGAGACAGCCTTTATGGCAATCAGTTTGGTGTCAAGCGCCAAGAAGCACAAACACTGATTGACACCCTCTGATCCGGCAAACATGGGAACCTGTCCTAATGAGATTACTCAAAGGAATAAAAAATGTAGCTGAAGAATAATAAAAAATGTCCACAAAGAGATTCATCTCAGTGTTACTGATAGCACCAACAAAAACAACTGACAGAGCCTCAATAATAGTACTTTTAAAGTGAGGAATACTTTTAAAATGAGGATGCAGTAAGTCCATGGAATATAATGCAGCCATCAAAAGGAACAGTCACAAAGATGGGGCAGGAGAATCATGGAAAATGTGTTTCATCTAATACCAGGTGAGGGAAGCAGAGTATAAAATGATGTTTCTGTGATGTAAGTATGAAAATCTAGGTATGCCTATGTATGAGGCTGGAAATGTGAAACCAAAATAAAAATGATTACTGGAATGAGACTGTTGATGTTTTTCCTTTTTATTTTGATGATATGCTGCTTGTGAGTATGAATATGAAGCGGAAGAAACAAAGGAGGATTACAGTATATTATTTTTAAAGACATGGTCTTGCCGTGTCGCAGAAATACAGGATTTGAATGAGAAAATGAAGCGTGTGTTTTGCGTACTGCCTGTTTCCTGCTAACAAAGCTTCAAACATTTCAGCAGCCATTCAGATGCTCTTGCATCCGTGACGAGGGGATCCCTATTAGGGCCATCACACTCCTCAAGCTCTTCCCACCCCTCCTGCAGCTTGGGGACCCTCTTGCCAGTGCTGCACTGGGAACGGGGAAGAGCTGCCTGGGCTCAGGCCCAAGATCACGTAGTTACCTCCAACAAGCTGCTCAGTAGCTGCATGACCTTCAGGTCTCCCAGCCTCCTTTCCTCACCTCCCCAAGGAGGGGAGCGACAGTGCCCACACCCAGGTGTTGGCAGAGCCTGCACAATGGGAGACTATGCGTGGGGCTTTCATTTGTGTCTGCAGCCTCTTCCTCTTTAGTGACTTCCACCGAGCAGTATTCAAAGGTTTTCCATTTCAAATAAATAAGCACGTGGATAAATGTGCTCCCTTGACCCAGGCGCATTCTCCTCTGCCTCCCTCCTCATGCTTTGTTCACTCCTAAGTGCTGAGGTCTGATGTCACCCCAGCTCTTCCACGGACACTGCGCTCACCAAGTCTGCTGATGGTCTGAGTATCTCCATCTAAGAGACGCTTGGTCTTTGTGTTGGGTCCCTTGGCCACATTTGCTATTGTAACCACACCCTCTCCTTGACCCAACTCTTCTGATGGTGTCCCCAGCACAACAGCATTCTGGTCTTCCTCATATGCTGTGGCTGTGCCTTGGTCTCCCTTACCCGCGGCACTGCATCTAACCCAGTGCAAGAAGTAGAAGCATCATTCATGCAGCCGCTCAGACCCTGATATGGTTTGGCTGTGTCCCCACCCAAATCTCTTCTTGAATTGTCGTTCCCACAATCCCCATGTGTCATTGGAGGGACCAGGTGGAGATAATTGAATCATGGGGGTGGTTTCCCCCATCCTTTTCTCAATAGTGATAGTGATGGTGATGGTGAGTGAGTTCTCAAGAGATCTGATGGTTTTATAAGGAGCTTCCCCTATCAATGGGCACCCACTTCTCCTTCCTGCCATCATGTGAAAAGGATGTGTTTGCTTCCTCTTCTGCCATGATTGTAAGTTTCCTGAGGCCTCCCCAGCCCTGCAGAACTGTGAGTCAATTACACCTCTTTCCTTTATAAATTACCCGTCTTAAGTATGTCCTTACAGCAACATGAGAACAGACTAATACAGACCCTTTCCCCAATCCCAGGCCCAGACAGTTTTCTACTCCATTCCTCTCAATGTCATCCGCTTCTCTCCTTTTTTACTGTCACTACTTCTATTCTGGCTCACTCATCTGTCGTCTTGATCACTGCAGATGCGGATTTCCAAGATGTGAATCTGATCCTGTTACTTCCTTGCTTGAATCTTCAATGGCTCCCTACTGCCCTCGGGATAAGGTATTTGCTCTTAGCTTGGCTTGTAAGGAGAGGCTTGGCCTGGCTCCTGCTTCCTGCCTCTCTCTGTCCCCTCCAGGCTCTCTCTGCCTCTCTCACCCCATGGTCTAGCCACACATGTGGTCTAGCAAGGGTGAGCCTGACTTTGGGCTGGAGCCACAAACAGGCAGAGATGGTACAAAAGCCCCTGCTGTCTCTCTGGCTGTGGGCCTCCACAGCCTGCCTGGTCTGGGCACCAGGCGATGCTGAGCAGAAGACCAGAGAGCCCTGAGCTGTGTTTCCAGCACCCCAAGTCCCACTCAGGGGACCCTGAACGACACCTCAGCCCAAATTGCTCTGGCTGGGGAGAGGGGGTCTTCGGGCAGAGGGTGGCTCCTTGGGGGCAGAAGGAGCAGCCCCTTTGTGCCTGAGCAGGTGTTTTAGAGACTGGGTCAGCAGAGGGGAGTCCGCAGCTCCAGACCTGTGAGCTGAGAAGGCTGACTCAGGACACTTGAGAAGCAGAGAAGGGCAGGCAGGCCTGGGTTCAAACTAGGGCCCAGCCACCACTACCTATATGACTCGGGCAAGTCACTTGATCTTTCTGAGCCTCTGTTTACTCATTGGAGAACAGTAAGGTCTTGTCAAGGTTATATCACATGATACTGGAAAGTGCCTGGCACAGATCTCACACATAGGGAAGGCTCAATACATGGAAGGGGTTGCCACTGCTGGCTGTCCTGCCCAGAAGCCTAGTGGGGAGGGAAGGATGACTTAGTGGTGACGGTCCCACTAGCAGCCCTGGGATGAGGAAAGGAGAGGCAGGAGCCTATGACCGGAAGTGCCAGGTGAGCTCCCCTGAAGGCAATGCTACGTCAGAGGCCGCCAGTTCACAGGCAGGTGTGGCACCTGCCCACAGACCCTTACCATAGGATTCGTCGCTGTCAGAGGACTTGATGCTGATGAGGATGTGCTGGTCTAGCAGGTACTCAGGGTCAGAGATAATGGGCTTCAGCTGCAGAGAGAAGGGCACAGGACTGGAGTTGATGGGCAAGGGACAGGTGAGGGGACAGGTGGGTGGACAAGTGGATGAAGATGACGAAAGGTGTTCTTAGTAATCAGATCTAAATCTCTGCTGTCCATACCCAAGAGAGCAGGTGGGGTATAGCTTTCACATACACCCTGTCCAGCAAGGTGGGGGTTAGCTTCCTTCCCTGTCCCCCTCACCTCCACGCTGCACCCCAGGCCTCCTAAACTGAGCTGGCTCCCAGGTCCCAGCAAGAAGGCCTGACCCCAGATGGGCCCCATCCATTGCCCCCGTTCCTTCCCATCCCTAGGCCAGGGTCATAGAGGAGAAGGCAGGCTGGCGGGGAAGTGGGGCCAGGCACCAGGTCTGGAATGATCCATGCACTCCACCCTGCGCCAGGCTCCCCCTACAGAGCACAGAATTTCTCCTTGGCCCCCTCCAGGACTGTGGCTGCATCCCAGCCCTGCCCCTGTCTGGCTTGCCCCTATCTAGGGAGGATGCAGCCTCTGTGTCCATCCTGGCAGAGCCCCCAGCTGGGCCTGGAGTGTCCTACCGATTGTTGGGGGTGTGGCTCAGCGAATGACAGACACAGGCTCCCACATTCCATCTGCGAGCAAGTTTCCAGAGCTGGGGAGTGCCAGCTCCCCCAGAGGCCCTGCTGGCCTGGCTGGCAGCGGGGGTGGCTGCTAACAGGCTTTGCACAGCACTGGCCAGTGGGGGCTGTGTCCGGGCAAGTGCAGGGAGGAGCATCACACGCACACTAGCTCCTCGTCTGCCACGAGTTATGACTTTTTCAGATGTGGGGCTGTTTCTCACGATGACTCCCATACAGAAGGGCCAAATAAAAAGGTGATACTTTGTTCTAGGCGATTCCCTCCCTTCCTTTCCAGACACCAAAAGGCTCCTGGTACAGGGCTCTGGGCACCATGTTGGCCAACAGGGCAGACTCACTATATCTCCATTCAGAAAGTTCCAGGCCAGGTGCAGTGGCTCATGCCTATAATCACAGCACTTTGGGAGGCCGAGGTGGGTGGATCACTTGAGGTCAGGAGTTCAAGACCAGCCTGGCCAACATGGTGAAACCCCGTCTCTACTAAAAAATACAGAAATTAGCGAGGCTTGATGGGGCGTGCCTGTCGTCCCAGGTACTCGGGAGGCTGAGACAGGCAAATCGCTTGAACCTTGGAGGCGGAGGTTGCAGTGAGCCGAGATGGCACCACTGCACTCCAGCCTGGGCAACAGAACAAGACTCAGTCTCAAAAAAAAGTTCCAGAACAGATGACTGGAAACTGCAGTGGAGCTCTGGGTACTCCAGGGTTCTACAGCTGCACCAATTATCACTTGGCTCCTGGCATGAGGTGATGTCAGGCTCTAAGCTAGACCCAGGGCCAGAGCTGGGGTTCTTGGATGCTGGAGGAAGACCCGGTCCTCCCTGGGATGGAGTGGAAATGGGGTGACAGACATCTGAACAACAAATGTCTCTGTGCGACACCACCACCCTGGCAGGCGGTGGCAGGGAGGAGAACTATCTAGGGGGCCACAGCAGGGATTTACAGGGTGAACAGAGGAGGCCGCCAGGCAACAGGGGTGGGGCGGGGGTCAGGGAGCAGGAGACGGTGAAGGCCCCTGCAGTCCTGTGGGAACAGCAGATGAGGCTGCTTGCCTCACTAGGCAACAGGGAGTCGACCGGATAAAGAGGGGGACTCCAGGATCAGAGAGGCATTCCAGAAAGATCCATCAGCGTTCAGGATGCCTCAGCAAGAGGCAGGAGACAGGAGGAGTGGACCCCCTGGGAGGGGGCAGGGGGACTGAGGGAGGGGACAGAGGCAAGAGGAACAGCAGGACTTGGCGGCTGTGAGGATGTGGGGAATGGAGGAAGACAGGGGCCCTAGGGGTCCCTGAGCTGGACCAGGGGGTGAACATGTTGTGGAATGGGGTGCTGCTCTCTTTTCCACCTTCACCAAAGGAGGAAACTACTGTTCAGGCCCTGCCTGGAAGCAGCCAGGGAGGAGGAGCAGGAGGACGGGCTTGGGCCGGGTGAGGCAGAAATGTCTCCTTGGAGCCCAGAGCCCCCACGACTCAGGGGCCTGAAGACAGCCCCAGAACAGGGACTTCTGACAGCTCTTCTGGGGCTTCAGTGGGAGACCCCAGTCAGAGCCATGTGAGCTGGCCGCAGCCTCTGAGTAATTTGGAATTGTGCCGCAGCTGGGGGAATCTGGAGTTCAGGCATCAGCCTCTGCTCCGGAGATGACATGGCCTTTTTACATGGCCTGAGAGTTGGTTCCAATCAAAAGTTAATGCCAATGTGGGTCCAGCCCCCTGAAACCTGCCAACATCCTACCCCAGTCTCAGGAGAGAATGGTCCCTCTGCCTGCTTAAGACTGTCCTTTTAAAATTCACCTCGAGTGTCACCTCTGAGGGAATCTCCTAGGGGAGCCTCCAAGACGCCCCACCTCCTGTGATGGATCTGCCTGGCCTGGGACTCCCCTTCATTCCACCCCTCCCTCATGGTGCGAGAAAGAAACTCCACTTCCCACCCAGCATGAACAACTAATAAGCTCATAATAAGCTTGTACTCGAGGACACCCAACATCTCCACTGTCAATTTAGCTCCACAAAAGCAGTTTCAGTAGAAAAACAAATGAACAAAAAAAGAGACAGCGTCTCACTGCATCACCCAGGCTGGAGTGCAGTGGCATGATCATAGCTTACTGCAGCCTGGATCTCCTAGGCTCAGGTTATCCTCCCGCCTCAGTCTCCAGAGCAGCTAGGACTCCAGGCATGTGCCATCATGTCTGGCTAATTTAAAAAAAAATGTTTTAGGCTGGATGCGGTGGCTCATACCTCTAATCACTTTGGGAGGCCGAGACCAGTGGATCACTTGAGGTCAGGAGTTGAAACCAGCGTGGCCAACATGAGGAACCCCATCTCTACTAAAAGTACAAAAATTAGATGGGTGTGGTGGTGCACATCTGTAGTCCAAGCTACTCAGGAGGGTGAGGCAGGAGAATCGCTTGAACCTGGGAGGTTGAGGTTGCAGTGAGCCGAGATCATGCCACTGCACTCCAGCCTGGGCAACAGAGCAAGACTCTGTCTCAAAAAAAAAAAAAAAAAAAAAAAAAAAAAAAAAAAAAAAAAAAAAAAAAAAAAAAAGAAAGAGAAAAAGAAAAAAAAACAAGAGAAAAAAAATTTTTTTTTGGTAGAGATGGGATGTCACTATGTTTCCCAGGCTGGTCTTGAACTTCTGGGCTCAAGCAATCCCCCTGCCTTGGCTTCCTAGGTGCTGGGATTATATGTGTGAGCCACCACACCAGGCCAGAAAACCATTTTTTCTATAGCAAAGAAGAATGTGTTCCCACTAAGGTCTGGCTGAGTGTTTCCAATTCCACCCTCTGCTCTTTGCAGGGCCACAGACATGTCGAGTACTTCGTGTGTTCACAAGTGTATGATCAGTAGCCAATGGACCCCTCTCTATGCCTCTTTGTACTCGATTCTATGAACCAGCACTGAATAGGAAAACAAGCGTCAAAGAGGGGATCGGGGTCTTGGGGTTGCGTCCTAGGTGTGTTACTGCAGCCATGAGGCCATGAGCAAACAGCGCTTGGCCCTGCACCTGAGTTTCCTTCTTTGCAAAATCATGTGGTTAGACGAGCTGACCTCTAGATCCCTTCTGTGATCCTTTAGGGGAACTGAAACCATTTAGGAATAATAAGGCCACATACCCACTGCTGTAAAGTGTGTTACGAACCACCTTGAGCGAGAGCTTGCTCCTAGAGTGGGTCTCTTTCTGCATTTGGTCTATGAGATTCCTGCTTCCTCTGGTCAGGCCTGGCCATAGCTCTGCCACTGGCTGGTACTACTGGCCTAGTAAATGCAAATCTCCCTCTGGGGAATGCCTTGCTCTAGAATTACCTTTGGAAGAGTCTCACCAAACTTCACCACCAGCTCCCCCTCACTTCCTTCTTCATTTTCTCCTTCCTGACTCTTGACAAAACCTGTTGGAGGACAAAAAGGCTGGTTTTCAGAAAACAGAGCAAGAACCAGACAGAAAAGACTCCCTGGGGTCACCCCACCCAGACCTAGGAAGATGTGCTCTCTCCTTTTTTTTTTTTTTTTTTTTTTTATCTCGGGGCCTCAGCATCATTTAGGAGTCAGGCCTGCCGGGGATTCTGTTTTTGTGCAGGGATTGGTCATTTGCCAACATGGTCTAATTATTTTTAGGAAAATCAAAGAGATTCCCCCTCCTTTTCAGTTCCTCTTTGCAACAAACCAGGCAACAAAGAAATCATCACATCACAGGCAAAAAGATTAGGAAACTTGACAGCTCGTCCCACGCCACTCAAGATAGCAGCCTTTTGAAATTCTAATTTAAGCTTCCTAATATGCTGTTTCCATAGAAATGTATGGAACTGTCTTGATAGTTTATTAAAAACACCCGCACAAAAATCCTCATCATTTTTCGAACCGCTTTGACCCTGCTGGGTGAACTGGAGCTTGGGGACTCAGTGACAAAGGCCGCTCTAGCACCAGGCCTGGGCCCACCTCAGTTGGAGAAGGAGGCAGGGACCAGAGGGGCAGAACTGGCAGCACACGCTTCTTCCTGATTTCTGGAAGCATCCCAGCCAGGCCCTCACAAAATGCCCTTTTGAGGAGGTGATGCCCCCTTTTCCTCCCCCGATCACTGTGCAGACCATCTCAGCGAAGACGGCTGGACACACGCAGCTCTTCCCTAGCCATGAAACAGCTTTAGACAATCTGCCTAGAAATGTCACCCGGAAAGGGTGTTTCCTAAACACAGTTTGTGCTAAAGGCTGCTGGCTCAGGGGAGCCTGTCCATCTCCTGCTTGCTTTCGGACGCTGCAGTCCCCCCGAGAAAGACGCTGTGATCTCCAACGAGCAAGAGGGGCCAGGGCGACAACAGGCAGCTGCTGCTCAGGCCCTCACACCGGCTCTTTGAGGTCTGGACCTGGGCCCAACACTCTCTGGTTGAGTCAGAGCCCCAGCTTGCAGGGAACCTAGAGTGGGTCACAGTCCACCCTGAGGGCCAGGGATTGGACCCTGCTTGCCACCTACAAGGGACTGGGGGGTCAGTACATTCATGGCCACCCCTGCCCCTAGGGCTGCACAGGCCACAGGGGGACCCCTCACAATAACTGAGTGTCCCCTTGAGTCATCCACCTGCAGCCCCACTTCTCTGATCAGCTTCGTGAGTCCTTTCCAGGGAGAGAAGATATGGGGCAAAGTGCCAAGTATGAAAGGTGTTTATAAGAAGGCTCCGGGCAGTTCTGCCCAGAAGGTGGCTCAGCAGCCACTTACTCTCCAAGCAGCTCGAGTGGAACTCCAGGTAGAATTTGGTCTGGGACTTGGTCTTCAATGTGGCATAGCACCTGAGAAACTCAATCTGTCCTTGGCTGTCAACAGTCCCGGGACCTGGAACAGGGGAGAACACGGATTCAGTTCCACAATGTGCCTGGAGATGGAGCATTTCAAATTAGTTCTCATGCCACATACTGAGCTCCTTCTCAGGGTCCCAGGAAGGTGGGAGTCTAGTGGGAGGAGAACTAAAGCTACAGCGAAATCCAGCACCCAGCCGAGCATCCTCAACCTCTCTGATGCATCGTGAGCTGGCCAGGGCAGAGAGCGGGGCAGAAAGATGCAGAGTCCCAGGAGTCCGGACCTCATTTCATCTCTGTCACTAAAGCTGTGTGACCTCAGGCAATACCCCCACTATTTCAGGCTCCCAGCTAGTTCCAGCAAAAAGACTTTGTACAATGGCTCGGTTGCTCAATACCCAGATCAATGCTGTTTCTGAGTTCAGATAATGAGGGCTAGCAGCTCTCTCTCCCTTAGGCACAGTTATCCCCACTCCTTCCTCTGGACTCCATAAGCTCATTTGTACAGAGTTAACTTGCCTGCAACTGTATTAATTTAGACGATGCTTTTGCAAGCATCCTTAAGCTGCTTTTAAACAAGTGTTCTGTCCTTTCATAGAAATTTTGAGCCACAGAACAGAGACTTGTTCGGAGACCATGAACAAACCTTTCCTTCCTCCATCCCTCACATCCTTCCTTCTTTCCTTTCTCTTTCTAAATCCCACAGTGCCCAGTCCAGGCTTGGCTTAGGTAGATGCCCTGTCAATGCTCAATCCCCGTGATCAGTGTTTTCCAGCATCTGCTGTGTACTGATCCCCCGTGGAGGGAAGCCCAGCCTGACATGGAGGATGCCCTACCCCGGAATAGAGGAGGAGATGGCAAGGGCAACCCCTTCAAGGCTGCAGGAGCTCAGAGAAAGGAGAGATGGGTGGAAGTCGGGGAAGAGGTCCTGCCTAAGGACTAGGAAGATTCTAGAAAGGCACAGTGGCCAGACTTAGGAAGGAGACACGATGGTGGGTCAAGGCTTGGGTGGAGGAGGGAGGTCACATTTCTGGGGCCATGGATGTTAGATACAATAGGATAGATAAGAGCACCCCAGGAAGACAGTGCTTCGGCCTCACGTGTGTCCCCCAGGGCATGAAGGACACAGAGCAAGATGGTCTTTCCCTGTATTTGGGTCCCCTACGCTTGGTCTTCCTAAAGGAGCCCAGTGACCACTGGGCTGACCGCGGAAGCAGAGACTGGGCAGAGACAACATGGCTCCCTGGTCACCTAGGCCAAGGGCTGGATGGGCACATTACAGAGAACACCTGGCCCAGCTGGGATGAGGGTGGCCTGGCAACCAGGGCTGAGCTGGATTATTTGAAAAATTACCTGCAAATCTAAATATTATTTACTGTGGTGTTTCCCAAAACTCAGTCATTTGCATCCCATCTTAACGATTTTTACCATCTCTGCCTACCACGCACCTGTGCTACTCTTTACTTCATATTTTCTCTAAATAGACTCACTTTTTAAAATTAAGTGTAGCTGAATAAGGTATATCACAATATTAAATGGAAAAGTAATGGTGCTTGCCTTAAACAGAAGACAGAAATGTAAAACATGTTAAAACAAAGGCATTACTAATAAATGTTTATTCATGTCCCCCGCCCCCTCCTCCCATCCCACCCGGAGAATTATCTTCAGTGTCTTCAGGCCACACCTTGGTAAACACTGATTTACCCACGTTTTCAGACTAAAATTGAGGCTCAAAAGGCTGACATACTTGCCAAGCAGAGCAAGTAAATTCTCTGGACTGCAATTGTGCTGTGGCTGGGACATGAAGAAACTGACTGATATTGTGGACTTGCCTGGGAAAATGAGCCTTCCTCTAATGCAGACCACTGACTGCCACCTGAAGACAAGCTCCCAACACTCCTTGTCATTGAGGAAAACAGAGAAACAGACACCATCCTTTGCTTACCGTTCTTGGAGACAAACTGGGAAGTGACTCCTGCCTCAAATGTGGCAAAGACAGGGCTGTGGTCACTCGTCATGATGTCGCTGGTACTGCCTGCAGGGGAGGGAAGGCATTTTTAAGCAGGGAAGGAGAAGCCCTTCCGGTCAGGCCAAGGATGGCAACCCTAAAGCAGAAAGAAACTTTAGTTATGGAGCCCTCCAGAAGTGCGAAGTTTTGCACCTGTTGTCCTTCCACAGCAATGCTTAAAGGGTTCAGTGGAAGACAGTGTGGACACTGCCTCCTCCATGGACAGAAGAAGCCTGTGCTCATTTTTCCTAAAGACCTAAGACTTTTTGAATTGATTAGGGAGTGTGAACCATGGAGATTTTTCTGGTCTAATCATTGTACTTATTTATTTACTTATTTTTGAGACAGAATCTTGTTCTGTTGCCCAGGCTGGAATGCAGTGGCGCGATCTCGGCTCACTGCAGCCTCCACCTCCCAGGCTCAAGCAATTCTCATGCCTCAGCCACCCGAGTAGCTGGGAGTACAGGTGCGTGTCACCATGCCCAGCTAATCTTTGTGCATTTTGTAGAGATGAGGTTTTGCCATGTTGGCCAGGCTGGTCTTGAACTCCTGACCTCAGGTGATCCACTCGCCTCGGCCTCCCAAGTGCTGGGATTACAGACGTGAGCCACCACGCCTGGCTCACTTTATTTTATTGATGAAGAGCCCCAAACACTGGGTGGGAAGGGGACTTAAGGCCACTCAGCTCATCGGTGGGAGAGACGGGACACCTTTTCCATCCCACGATGCCTCATAGAACCGGGAGAGAGTGGAGGACGCTAAGTGTAGAAAACTCTGTTAAGGAGCTTGGTGCTCGGGTGAGAATGGAGGCAGCAGAGCACTTTGGGAAGGGGCAAGAGAAAGAGGACAGTTCTAGAAAGACAGTTCTTTCAAGATAGCCCGTTGGAGATGCCTGGCAGGAAATGGGCACTCAAGGCTGGAGATGCATCTTTAGATGTGGAGTCTTAGGATTAGGTGGAAGCAGAAGACCTGAGCATGTCTGGGCTTTCACACGAAGGATGAGAAGAGACGAGGATGGAATTCCAGGGCACACCAACCATGAATGGGCGGGCAAAGGAAAAACCGCCAGCAAAGGAGACCAAGAAGGTGATAAAACAGACTTGGCATCCTTTTTAGAAAGCATTTACAAATCAGCAAGAAAAAGATAAACACTCCACCCTTCAACCAACCAAAGGATATGGACAGAAAATTCACCAAAAAATACAGATGGCTAATAAACATGAAAAGAAAAAAAGCTCACTTACTAAGGATCACCAGAGAAACACATGGAAACTATGAGACAGAACAGAGAAAGGGACAGGAGAGAAGGATGGGAGTGGGGGCACTGGTTGGTAGTGGAGAAGGAATAGATGGAGTCAAGGGTCCAGGGGCAAAGGCTAGGCAGGAAAGAAAGAGGAGGCTACCCCTTCTCTGAGACAGGAGGGAGGAAGATGCGAGGGCATCAGCCTAAAAACTGGACCTGAGGCCAAGCACGGTGGCTCATGCCTGTAATCCCAGCACTTTGGGAGGCCGAGGTGGGTGGATCACTTGAGGCCAGGAGTTCGAGATCAGCCTGGCCAACATGGCAAAACCCCGTCTCTACTAAAAATACAAAAATTAGCTGGGCATGGTGGTGGGCGCATGTAATCCCAGCACTTTGGGAGGCCGAGGTGGGTGGATCACTTGAGGCCAGGAGTTCGAGATCAGCCTGGCCAACATGGCAAAACCCCGTCTCTACTAAAAATACAAAAATTAGCTGGGCGTGGTGGTGGGCGCCTGTAATCCCAGCTGCTTGGGAGGCTGAGGCGGAGAATCACTTGAACCTGGGAGGCTGACGTTGCAGTGAGCCAGGATGGTGCCACTGCACTCCAGCCTGGATAACAAAGCAAGATTGTCTCAAAAAACAAAACAAAACAAAAAAAACAAAAAACTGGACACAGGCAAGAAGAAATCAGTGAGGTCCAGTGCTGTGTGAGGCAGGAGAGGATGGAGGTGGGGAGTCAGGCTGAGCACAGGGGTACAGGTTTGCTGTGGCAGTGGAGGAGGGGTGTTCCAGGGAGAATTTAATGGGTTGACGAGCAGGGTTTTTTTTTTTAAGCATTCTCAGAATATTTCAGATATGTACTGAACATAATAGCAATGGCACTACAGTGTGCCCTTAAGCCTAGGAGGTGGACTGTAAGATGGGTGACCCTCAAAGACCCAGTCCTCCTCCCAGTAACCACACTCTCTGTGGTCCCCTCCCACCATGAGTCTGGGCTTGGTCATGTGACTTTCTTTGGCCAATGGGACCTTAGTAAACATGAGGCCAACAGAGCCTTAAGAAGAACTTCCCCACTGGTGACACTCGAATCTGGGAACCCTGAGACCAGGAAGCTAAGAAGCCAGCACTGGCCTGCTGGATGATGAGTACCACCCCTATGCCTGCTGACAGCCAGCCGACCCCAGATCTGATGGGCTCCTGCCTGAGTGTGCCCAGATGACACCAACTAGAGCAGAGGTGAGCAGTCCAAATTCAGCCTAGCGCAGAGACTCGCGAGCAAATAAATGTTTGCTTTAAGTCACTGAGTTTTAGGACAGTTTGTTATGCAGCAATAGACAGCTGATATGCCTGCTATGTTAATTGTCATGAGAAGACTGAGGCTCCCAGGTCACCCCTGTTTCCTGAGCTCTGGACATTCACTCCCTTTTCTTTTCCAACATTTTGCCTCCCCTCAACCCCAACTCATTAAACGCTTCTACTGAGCCCTCTGGCACTCAATGAAATATCATTAGCAAAATTCCCTGTATCTTTAATCTTCCTGTCACCTCCCAAACCCAGCCCTCCCCGGAAGACACTGCTGCCTCTCTGGTGAGGCTTGTTTTCCTCCCCAACCCTCATATTCCGGGCCCGGAGGTGGGGGCAAAGGGTGTCCTTCCTGCTCCTCATTGCCACTTCCGGACTGATCTCCCTCCTCTTTCTCTAAAGCCTCCACTGTCGAGCAGTTTTGAATGCCAAGTTTAGGTGCAAAACAGTAAGTGGTAATTCTACAAGCCTCCACTATCTCCTGACTCTCGGCAGAGGCTGGCTGAAGCAGACAGATGGTTGAGACAAGAATTGGCAGGATGCACGGAGCTGCAGGATGTGGGAAGGACAGTATTGACAGGGTTGACCCTGAGTGTGGCTGGGAAGGAGTGACAGGCCTGGAGAGTCCGACGGGTGGCAGGGAGGGAATGCACAAGTGAGGAGGCTGCAGGCAGAGGGTAGGACTCAGGCACTTTGAGCTTTGGAAGCTGGAACAATGCCCTGGCCGTGGCTATGAGGGCAGGTTGCCTTCCCACACATCTAAAGGTGTTGTGTGAAGTTCGTCTAGTGACGTCACTTCTGGGAGACAGAGCTCAGTCCTTCAGCAAGGAATGCAGGGTGCGTGTGTTAAACTATTTCAGGGTAGCTGCTCTGGGCTCTTCTGGGCAGTAGGAGGAGACAGGCACTGGAATGGAAGTCAGTTCAAAGTATAGGACCAGAGTTAAATAAGTGAGACCAAATTTGCCAGTCCCCAGAGACAGAGTGGGAGCCACAAAGGTGGCCAGCGGGCAGCATTCCCCCACCCCTCTCCTTGCTCCAAGGACTGGGGTGGCCATCCTTTAGAGGCCATTGTGTGGGAATTCGCAGTGTTTTAAAAATAATACCACTGGGCCTGGCGCAGTGACTCAGGCCTGTAATCCCAGCACCTGGGGAGGCTGAGGCGGGTGGATCACCTGAAGTCAGGAGTTCGAGACCAGCCTGACCAACATGGTGTAACCCCATCTCTACTAAAAATACAAAAAATTAGCCAGGCGTGGTGCTGCGTGCCTGATATCCCAGCTACTCGGGAGTCTGAGGCAGGAGAGTCACTTGAACCTGGCAGGCGGAGGTTGCAGGGAGCCGAGATTTTGCCACTGTACTCCAGCCTGGGCGACTGAGAGAGACTCCGTCTCAATAAATAAATAAATAAATAAATAAATAAATAAATAAATAATAAAATACCACAATTCTCAGTCAGTGAAGTGTTCAAAGCAACTCTGTTCTGTGGATTTTTAAGGTCTCACTTCGTAAGTAATGGGAACTAATCAGTAGCTTTTCAGAATAAGCATTCAGGCAATTAAGAACTCCTTCAGTGCACCTTCAACTTTGAGGGTCAAGAGTTAACAGTCATTTCTTTCTTTCATTTTTTTCAGAGATGGAGTCTACGTTGCCCAGGCTGGTTTTGAACTACTGGGCTCAAGCGATCCTCCCCCCTCAGCCTATTGAGCAGCTGAGACTATAGGTACGTGGCACAGTGCCTGGCTAACAGTTATTTCTTAATTGTTTTGATAACTTATTCCATAATTATTTATTTTAATATTACATGTTATGCCTTCTAAAAATCAATTTAACTCAATTTATGGTTAAACCTCCCCAAATATATATGTGTATATATGTGTACACACTTGCGACATGTATTAGTTTGAGCCATATGAATTTCCAATAACTATTTCTGACCTACAAAAACACTTTCATATGGTTCACACTTAATATGTTCTTTTCAAAAGAAATAAAACTGAATTTTTAAAAAAGTGCTCCGGGTCGGCCGCGGTGGCTCATGCCTGTAATCTCAGCACTTTGGGAGGCCGAGGTGGGCTGACCACCTGAGGTCAGGAGTTTGCAACCAGCCTGGCCAACATGGTGAAACCCCGTCTCTACTAAAAATACAAAAATTAGCCAGGCATGGTGGCAGGAGCCTGTAATCCCAGCTGCTTGGGGAGGCTGTGGCACGAGAATCGCTTGAACCCAGGAGGTAGAAGTTGTGGTGAGATGAGATCATGCCATTGTACTCCAGCCTGGGTGACAGAGTGAGACTCCGTCTCAAAAAGAAAAAGAAAAAAAGTGCTCTATAATTCAAATGTCTCCTAAAGCAGGGGATATGGATTAGGTGGCAGCACAAGACAGGCAGGGAAGCATCAACATTTCCAGGTCGCCTGATTAGGGTTACAGTGAATTCCTCCCTTTGACACATCAACAGACTGAAGCCCTTAGATTTTAGGGCAGTCACACCTCCCAGCTTGGTGCCATTCTCTGATCCTGTTCTGCTTTCCCCAGTGTTTGAACTCACCATAAGACTGACACACCACGTGCACCAGGGGATAAGACTTCCAGAGGACTCGGTCACACCAGGAAGGCAAGTTGTACTTCATCTGCAAATCAAAGTCATAGGCTTTAAAAAATGCCTCTTATTATTATTTTTTTAATCAGTAAAAGAACAGATTAACTGGTGGCCTCTGTAATCCTCAAATTCATCGGCTGTTGGCTTTTTATAGAATTTCCCTGTAGGTGGCTTTAAACTTTTTTCACATGGCTCAAGTCCAGACTCCACTGCCACGCCTTCTTCTTTAGACTAAGATAACTCACCTTGCTGTATTCCCTCACATATCCTCCTGACTACTTCAGTATCCCTTGTATCTTCACCTTCTCTTACTTTCTTTCTGACTCAGATGAACCCCCACCTGTATTTTCAGCTCAGTCTCTGCTCACTTTCTGCAGTCACTTACTTTAATAACACACTTCAGCTTCCACCCCCAGTTCTATTCATCCATCTGTCCACCTTTTCATCTCCCCATCTACCCATCTTTACTCATTCACCCATCCATCCATCCACCTACCCACCTATTCATTCATCCATCCACCCATCCACTTATCTACCTATTCATTCATCTATCCATCCACCCATCCATCCAACTACCTGTCCATTTCATCCATCCACCCATCCACCTATTCATCCACTCATCCATCCACCCACCCACCCATCCATCCACCCACCGACTAGCCATCCATCCATCCACCCATCCACCTATCATCATTTATCATCCTCCACCAACCCACACATCATCAATCCATTATCATCCTCACACCACACATCATCATCATCATCATCATCATCCACACTACCACCATATGGCTATCATCCATTCACCCATTCACCCACCTATCCACCCATCCATCCACCTATCCACCCATCCATCCATCCATCCATTCACCCACCCACACATCCATCTATCTATCCATCCATCCATCCACCCACCCACCCACCTATCCATTCGCCTATCCATCCATCCATCCATCCATCCATCCATCCATCCATCCATCGCACCCATCCACTCATCCATTGACCGTTCACACACCCGTCTACCTACTTATCCAATCACTCAAACAGTATCTATTAATACTATATGACAAGCCCTCTCCAGGGCCTCAGGCTGCAATGATGAGCAAGATGTCCATTAGGTGGGATAGACAAGGTAAACTGGCAATAACAACCCTCTTTTATCAATATCCTTATCCCCTCATGTTCTAGCTCTTTCTTCTCTGTCTACAAACATAAAGGAACTCATCCTGAAAGAGCTTATCTCTGTCATCTCCTTCAATTACTTTTCTCTTTTCTTCCTTTTACCAATTTTCTTTCAAGAATGTTCTATTTTCAGGCTGGGCATGGTGGCTCATGCCTGTAATCCCAGCACTTTGGGAGGCCAAGGCGGGTGGATCACCTGAGGTCGGGAGTTCGAGACCACCCTGACCAACATGGCGAAACCCCATCTCTGCTAAAAATACAAAATTACCCGGGCATGGTGGCGCATGCCTGTAATCCCAGCTACTCAGGAGGCTGAGGCAGGAGAATCGCTTGAACCCAGAAGGTGGAGGTTGTGGTGTGCTGAGATTGCGCCACTGCACTCCAGCCTGGGCAATAAGAGCAAAACTCCATCTCAAAAAAAAAAAAACAAAAGTTTTTATTTTCATTCTCTCTACTTCTGAACCATTCACTTTTTAAAAAAAACTTTAGGTACAACTTACATAAAGTGTACTAACCATAAGTGTACAGTCCCATGCATTTTTAGGTTTGTATAAACCCACTTACCCACTACCCAGAGCAAGATACAGAAAACCGCCATCATCCTAAAGCTTCCCTCATAAGCCTTCCTTGTCAATACCAGAGCCTCCTAAAGGTGAGCATTAGTGTGACTAACATCTCCATTGATTAATTTATATGAACGTATATAAATGGACTCACTCAGTAGATACTCTTTTATGTTGGACTCCTTCAGCCACTTCGTTGCTTATAAAAGTTCCATTGTTTATAAGTATCACATTTATCTACTCTACTGTTAATGGACATAGGGTTGTTTTCAGTTTTGAAGATTACAAACAAGGCTGCCATAAACATTCATTTTTTTTTTTTTTTTTTTTTTTGAGATGGAGTCTCGCCCTGTTGCTGAGGTTGGAGTGCAGTGGCATGGTCTCGGCTCACCACCATCTCCACCTCCCAGGTTCCAGTGATTCTCCTGCCTCAGCCTCCCGAGTAGCTGGGATTACAGGCGCCCATCAGCATGCCCGGCTAATTTTGTATAGAGACGGGTTTCGCGGTGTTGGCCAGACTGGTCTGGAACTCCTGACTTCAGGTGATTCACCTGCTTTGGCCTCCCAAAGCTCTGGGATTATAGGCGTGAGCCACCATGCCCGGCTAAACATTCTTATACCTATTTTTGGTGAACAAATATACAAATTTCTCTTGAACACACACCAAAGCGGAATTACTGAATCATAGAATAGGTGCATTTTTAGTTTTCATTGATTCTGCCTAACAGTTAGTTAAGTCCTTTTTTTTTTTTTTTTTTTGAGACAGGGTCTCACTCTGTTGCCCAGGCTGGAGTGCAGTGGGGCAATCTCAGCTCACTGCAACCTCTGTCTGCCGGATTCAAACAATTCTCCTGACTCAGCCTTCTGAGTAGCTGGGATCACAGGAGTGCGCCACCACACCTGGCTAATTTTTGTATTTTCAGTAGAGATGGGGTTTCGCCATGTTGGCCAGGCTGGTCTCAAACTCCTGGCCTCAAATGATTTACCTGCCTCAGCTCCCAAAGTGTTGGGAATACAGGCATGAGCCACTGTGCCCAGCCTAAACAGTTACTTCTTAACATTGCAGTTCTCGGCATCAGCTGCCTCTGAGAATTACCCGTGGGGCTCCACAAATAGTCATGTACCACAGTAATGGACTGCATATAGGACAGAGGTCCTACAAAATTATAATGGAGCTGGAAAATCCCCATCACGTAGTGCTGCTGTAGCTGTCATCACGTCACAGCGCAACACATTACTCACATGCTTCTGGGGATGCTGGTGCAAACCAGCCCACTGCACTGCCAGCTGTGTAAAAGCATAACAGTACAATTCTGTTCAGTACATAATATTTGATAATGATAAACAACTGTCACTCATTTCCGTGTTTACGATATTATTTATCATTAGAGTGTATTCCTACTTATAAGAAAATGTTAACTATAAAATAGCCTCAGGCAGGTCCTTCAGGAGGTAACCAGAAGAAGACATTGTCATCATAGGAGACGACAGCTCCATGTTATTGCCCCGAGGACCTTCCATGGGATGAGATGTGGAGGTGGGTGATAATGTCATTGACCATCCTGAGCCTGTTTCAGCCTAGGCTAATGTGTGCATTTATGGTTTTTGTTTTTGTTTTTTTTTTTGAGACGGAGCCTTGCTCCAGGCAGGAGTGCAGTGGCGCCATCTCGGTTCGCTGCAACCTCTGCTTCCAGGTTTCAAGCGATTCTCCTGTCTCAGTCTCCCAAGTAGCTGGGATTACAGGTGCACACCACTACGCCTAGCTAATTTTTGTATTTTTAGTAGAGACAAGAGTTTTGCCATGTTGGCCAGGCTGGTCTCGACCTCTTGACCTCAGGTGACTCACCCACCTCGGTCTCCCAAAATGCTGGGATTACAGGCATAAGCCACGGTGCCCAGCCTACGTCTTAATTTTCAACAAAAAAGTCAATGTAAATGAGAGTTTTGAAATTTTAAAACTTGAAAAAAAGCTTATAGATTAAGAATATAAAGAAATAAAATATTTCTGTACAGCTGTACAATGTGTTTGTATTTTAAGCTACATTTTATTACAAAAGCGTCAAAAATTAAATTGTTTATAAATAAAAAGCTTATAAATAAAAAATTACAGTAAGCTAAGGTTAGTTTATTATTGGAAAAAGAAAATTTAAAAAATAAATGTAGGGTAGCCTAAGTGTACAGTGTTTGTAAGGTCTACAGCAGTGCATAGTAATGTCCTAGGCCTTCGCACTCATTCACCACTCACTCACTGACTCACCCAGAGCAACTTCCAAGCCTGCAAGCTTCATTCATGGTAAGTGCCCTATACAGGTGTACCACCTTCTTTTTTTTTTTTTTTTTTTGAGACACAGTCTTGCTCTGTCACCCAGGCTGGCATGCAATGGCGCGATCTCGGCTCACTGCAACTTCCATCTCCCGGGTTCAAGCGATTCTCTTGCCTCAGCCTCCCGAGTAGCTGGGGTTACAGGCGTGTACCGCCATGCATGGCTAATTTTTGTATTTTTAGTAGAGACAAGGTTTCACCGTGTTGGCCAGGCTGGCCTTGAACTCCTAACCTCAAGTGATCCACCCACCTCGGCCTCCCAAAGTGCTGGGATTATAGGCATGAGCCGCTGCCCCCAGCCCATTTTTTTCTTTTTATACCATATTTTTACTGTACCTTTTTAATGTTTAGATACACAAAAACTTATTGTGTTACAGTTGCCCACAGTATTCAGTAAAGTAACATGCTATACGGGTTTGTAGCCTAGGATCAATAGGCCACACCATCTAACTGAAGTGGGCTTTGTGTATACACACTTCATGAGGTTCCCACAATGACGAAGTCACCTAATGACACGCTTCTCGGAACATATCCCCGTTGTTAAGCGACGCATCGCTATTTTCAGCTGCCTTCTGGGTATTTTCTCTGGGTTCTTCCACTGATGTCACACAATCAGTAAGTCTGAAAACAAGTTCTATTTTTTTCCCCTTCAAGCCAGCTCCGCCTTGTGATTTTCCAGTTTTTATCAATGGCAATCAGGTCTCGCAATATATCCTGATTTCCCCCTTTCTTTCATTTTCACTGTTTTTTCCCTGATTCGGCCCTAGCTGTTGCTCAGCTGAATGTGCACAACGGCCTCCTCACCGATGCCCCTGCCGCGTCCTCATCCTTTACCACAATGCCCACCACAATTCTGCACATGCCACTCTGATGCACCAGTGCCCGGCAGAGCTTGCAGTGGCCCCCTGTGGCCTGTCATCCTGGCATCTAGGACCGGCCACTCTCCCATCTCAGGCCCTCCTCTGCCTCAACTTAAACTCACATCAAAGCAAACCATCCTTCACCAGCCTGCACAGGGATCCCCAAGGACCTGCTCTGACAGTGCCTTTGGGCCAGGTGACCTTATCCACACAGCAGGCAGTGGACCCTGCGGAATGGGGTGTCCCATCCTGGGGGTCCCAGCCTCGTGGGTGACAGCAGTCCGGGATCTCCTCCTGTCCTCTCAGTTGTATTCTCTTCCTCTCCTGCTCTGTTCTAAAATCCACCCAGCGCTTGGCCTTCCTCTCCCACGTCCAGTTCTTCACTTTCTCCTGAGCCCAGATGGGGCCCAGAACTCTTTCAGATGACACTTTGAACTTGCGCTCCATTGCCCTAGGCTTCTAGTGGGCCTGGGTACCTCACCGTCCCAGCCATTTGACCCTTGAATCCTGCCAGGGGCTGGCTTCCCTGATCCTTCCCTGCCCTGGCATTGTCACATTCTGGCTCTGGCTACAGCTAGTTGCATATCTGTTTTTCCTACTGTGAAGTCCCTGGAAAAGACATCTTTGCTCTCCCATCACCTAGGAGAGTGCCTAACCCATAATAGGCCATCAGGAAATATCTTTGAACAAATGAATACATATTTTATTGCATCTTTCCCCAAAACACTGTTCCTTGGAAAACAAGTGGCCTCATAAGACATTAATTGGTGTTCCATGAATAACTGAGTTTGGCATACAGATTTCCTCATGGAGAACCACAGTGCTCTTGGGCCCATAAAAGCTCTGATAAGTCCTGCAGCGAAGAAACCTGCTTAATGTTAATTCACTCAGCAGTTTAGTAAATATATTTGATCACGGGACTTTAAAAAAATGATCTTCAGAACCCAGTTAAGGAAATAATACTTTAAAGTCCTCTCAGCATCTTAGAGTATCTGGACAGAAGGTAAATCACAAGGGTTATTTTCCCAGCTCAAAGCAGTGCACAAGTGTGGCTTCCCATTTACTCTGTAACACAAATCAACATGTGCTTTCTAATTTTTTTCTTTCCTTTTTTTTTTGCCTAATGGATGAAGACACTTTCTGTTCACCTTTTGGGAACAGACACCAGCGGGGAGGAGATGGAGGGCAGGGAAGGTGTCTATGAAGAGGACTCACCCCTGTCGCTTTCTGCTTGGTGTAGGCGTATTTGTCCCGAGTCAGTCTCTCAAAACGGTAGGTTGGGGCAAACGTGATTTCTTCCTCCTCTGAAACAGAGAGACTTTCGTTTTAATTCTGATTCCCCAGGTTTTGCATCTGGCCAATTTTCCCTATTCTTCTGGTAGGAAATCAGGGGAAAGGGGACGAAAGGATGGCTGGAAAGGCTCCAAGAGGAGAGGCTGCTGCTTTTTTTTTTTTTTTTTTTGAGACGGAGTCTGTCTTTGTTGGCCAGGCTGGAGTGCAGTGGCGCGATCTTGGCTCACTGCAAGCTCTGCCTCCCTGGTTCACACCATCCTCCTGCCTCAGCCTCCCAAGTAGCTGGGACTACAGGCACCCGCCACCACACCCGGCTAATTTTTTGTATTTTTTTAAGTAGAGACGGGGTTTCACTGTGTTAGCCAGGATGGTCTCCATCTCCTGATCTCGTGATCCGCCCGCCTCGGCCTCCTAAAGTGCTGGGATTACAGGTGTGAGCCACCGCTCCCAGCCGGGGTTGCTGCTCTTACCGAAGTGTAGGAAGACCTTCTGCTCCCTCCTCTCTGTGAGCAGCTGGTCGTGGGACAGGAGGTCTGCGTACTGCTGCTGCTTGATTTTCTGGATGATGGTTTCTGCCTCCTGGAACAAGAACATGCCCGGGCCTCTGGTGAGAAGCCCTGCTGATCCAGGCCTGACAAGCTTCGGGGCTGGGGGCGGGCAGCTGGATGACCCGGGCTGCAGAGTGATGGTGGCAGGGTGGCTGTGACAGTTATGGGAACCGGGTGTGAGCACAGGGGAACCGTGAGGAGCGGCTGAGGCTCAGTAATGGAAACAGCGTTGAGCCCCCAAGGGGAGCAGCCGCCTCAGCCCACTTGATTCACATGTCTCCACGACCACCTGCCCCAAGCTGACTCAAGGGAGCCTCCATCTCATACAGCCCCAGCCCCAGCCCCAGGCGGGCAGCCCTTACCCAGGTAGGCAGATCCACACGGTAGTTAAGATCCCCAAACCAGAAGAGGTGCGTGAAGCGGTGAGTGATGTTAAAGGGACTCAGCTTCTTGTCGCCCAGGGCCAGGAACCGGAGAATGTTCATATAGTTTTGGTTTCGCCTAATGCAAGGAAAAAGCGGCCATCTAGCACGGGGTCACTGGTTCCCCCTCCACTGTGGCAGGAAGTCACTCCTGCCATAGGTGTGGGGCGAGGAGCATAGCAGGTGGGGGGAAGTGAGACTTAGCCCTCCAGCCCTGCTGCAGCAGAACTCCTTAGTGTGCAAATATGGCACAGCCAGGATGCAAAGGGCATTTGAGGCCACATTGGGTGTACAGAGGGCAGGGGACCAGGAGCAGCAGCATCTGCTCAGCAGAGAATCAGAACAGTGAAGATTCTAGATGGCTGTCTTCATTCCTGGGCCCCAGCTAGGCAAGATCAGCTTGGATTTGTAAGGAGGCCCCAGAGGAGGCTTTCTGCTTTAGAAACAGTGCTAGTTAGCGGTCCATCAGGCTAATGACACAAGGAAATATCTTTTCTGACCTTCAGACAAAATTCCTCCACACGTGAGGTCACTATGGTGCTGCAGTTGCCTTTGATGAGACTGTGGTGGGCCCTGAAAGGCCACAGGACATCCACAAGGTCAAAGGCAGGAGCTGAGCAGGTCCTTCTGGTGCTTAAAGGTGTGAGGCGTGTCTGGGCAGACAGCCCAAATGCACACTCTTGGGGGGAAGGAGTTCCATTACCTGAGTTTCTTTTCACTTCCTGAAGTCAAGTGGCTGTTGACGAACCCTAAGGAGGTTCCATTGAACATGAACGACACCCCCACGGCTCCCTTGTTCCCTAAAAAGAAGAGCAGAAAGAAGAATCAAAATATCAAACAGACACACTTGCCAAGGGGCCAGAAATCACCCGAAG
This sequence comes from Homo sapiens, assembly GCF_000001405.40. NCBI lineage: Eukaryota > Metazoa > Chordata > Mammalia > Primates > Hominidae > Homo > Homo sapiens. The sequence goes on along the minus strand of NC_000002.12, from coordinate 233,169,229 downwards.
GCAGGGTGAGAGGGGCAGTGAGTGAGGAGCTGGCAAGGGATGGGCGAAACAGGGTCGTGCAGGGTGGGAGCCGCTGGGCAGAGAGCGGGAGATGAGAAAATGCAGGAGCAGTGCAGATGGCGGCAGCCTCAGCCTTCTCGGCGGGGCAGAGGAAGGTGGCTGCTGCGATCCTCCCCCGGCATCTCTCTCTAAAGTGACCAGGGTGCTAAGCGGGCAGCCAGAAGCCCTGGGAAGATTCAGAAGGTTCCAGCCTGGGTGGGCTGATCTCCCTCCCAGTGAACTCAAGTTTCCTGGGGAGACCAAAAACCCACACTGAGATCATACCTTTTTCTGCCAACGTTCTGATCTATTCTAGGTCAGTGGTTCCCAAAGGGAGTTCCCTGGACCAGCAGCTGCACATCACCTGGGAACTTCATGGAAGGGCAGATTCTCAGCCCCACCCCAGACCTACTGAATCTGAAATCCTGGGATGGGGCCCAGTAATCTGTGTTTGACAAGCCCTCCAGTGTCAGGGGTGGGCAAATGCTGGCTCACTGCCAGCTACAAATGGTTTTACATTTGTAAATGGTTGGAAACAAATCAAAAGAAAAACCATCTTTTGTCATTCATGAAAATACGAAATTCAAATTTCAGTGTTCGTAAAGAACACGTTACTGGAACACAGCCATGCCTATTGACTTCTGGATTGTCTGTAGCTGCTTTCAGACTACGATGGCAGAGCTGAAGCATTGTGACAGTTGTGTGGCCCAAAGAGCCTAGAATATTCACCATCTGGCCTTCTATGGAAAACGCTTGTTAACCCCTGCTCTAGGTGATTCTGACACATGCAGGTGAGAACCTGCTCTGTCCAATACAGGCACAGGCCACATGTGACTATCAAACACCTGAAATGTGGCTGGTACAAAATGAGACAGGTTGTGAGTGTAAAATACACATTGGAATTGTGGCCTTGGTAAGAAACACAGACTGTAAAATATCTAATAACCTTTTACATTAAATATCTATTGAAATAATTGTATTTTGGATGTATGAAATTCAATAAAATCTATTATTGAAATTAATTTCACTTGTTTTCTTTTTAATGTGGCTACTAGAAAATTTGATCTATTGATTGTAATAAATCAAATTGTAATCTATTTTGATCATAAATCTATTTATTTATGATCTATTTGGCTCCCATCATTTTCTTTTCTTCCTTTCTTTCTTTTTTTTTTTTTTTTTTTTGGAGACAGAGTCTCACTCTGTCTCCCAGGCTGGAGTGCAGTGGCGCGATCTCTGCTTACTGCAACCTCCGTCTCCCAGGTTCAAGCAATTCTCCTGTCTCTGCCTCAGGAGTAGCTGGGACTACAGGCACCCACCACCACACCCAGCTAATTTTTTGTATTTTAGTAGAGACGAGGTTTCACCGTGTTGCCCAGGTTGGTCTCAAACTACTGAGCTCTGGCAATCTGCCTGCCTCAGCCTCCCAAAGTGCTAGGATTACAGGCGTGAGCCACGGCACCCGGCCCCATTTTCTTTTGGTTGGACAGCTCTGGATAGGCCATAGGCTGAAGGGACCCCTGGATATCACCTGGCTCAACCTTGTCAGGACCCAGTGGGGGAGTACACAGGCTTTCTGCCCTCCAGCCCTCTCCACTGCACCTAGCTCTCCAGCCCTGCCCCTCTGCCCGCAACCTGGGAGGGTGACCTGGAACTGAGCAACTGGTTCCAGTCCCGACAGCCTGGTTTCAATCCCTGCCCACCACATTCTTATCCCGGGGCCTTGGGCAAGTTATGGATCATCTCCATAGACTCTGTTTCTTCATCTGCAAATGGGAATAATAAGAGTCCCTGCCCGAGTGTTTGTATTTTTTTTTCTAATTTGAGACAAAGTCTGTGTCGCCCAGGCTGGAGTGCAGTGGCAAAATCATGGCTTTCTGTAGCCTTGACCTCCCAGATTTAAGTGATCCTCCCACCTCAGCCTCCTGAGTAGCTGGGCCCACAGGCATGCACTACTATGCCATTTTTTTTTTTTTTTTTTTTGTAGAAATGGTACCTTCCTATGTTGCCCAGGCTGGTCTCAAACTCCCGGTCTCAGGAGGTCCTCCCACCTTGGCCTCCCAAAGTGTGGGATTATAGGCATGAGCCATCGTGCCTAGCAGGGTGTTTATATCAAATGAGATGATTCAAAGCATTCAGCACACAGCCTTGCTTAGGGCACACTCTTAGAAAGGCCTTGGTTGTTCTAAGGACTTTTTTTTTTTTTTGAGATAGAGTCTCGCTCTGTCACCCAGGCTGGAGTGCAGTGGCATGATCTCAGCTCACTGCAACCTCCACCTCTCGGGTTCAAGCGATTCTCCTGCCTCAGCCTCCCAAGCAGCTGGGATTACAGGTGCGCACCACCACATCCAACTAATTTTTGTATTTTTAGTGGGATGGGATTTCACCATGTTGGCCAGGCTGGTCTCGAACTCCTGACTTCAAGTGATCCACCGGCCTCGGCCTTCCAAAGTGCTGGGATTACAGGCGTGAGCCTACCACACCGACCAGCATTTGCTGTTTCTGTCCTGTGCTAATTATGGCTGGGAGCCATTTCAGGGGAGTGGAGGAGGGAGGCTGGCCCCAGGGCAGAGAGGAGGGGAAGGAGGGGAAGGAGGGGAAGGTGTGTGTGAGCTGCACAGCCCAGAAGCTGCCCTGCAATGGTCATAAAGCTGGGACTCTGGCCAGGCCTTTCTCCTCACCCCTCAGATGCCAGTCGCACTGCCCTTCTCAGGGAGGCCCCTGACCTCTGCTCTCTGCCCACGCCACACACTCCTTCGCCAGTGCACTCCCTCCCAGGAACTGGCTTCTTTTCCTCCCGTCTGCTCATGCAATGTGTGTCAGGTCCACATGAGCAGAGCTCCTGCCTGCTCAGAAGCTGACCCAGTGCCCAGCCCTGAGGCCAGGATGACCAGGAACTGGTCTGGCTGAGGGGGTGGTTTTATGTGGCCCTAGGAGGTCCGAGCATATTCTGCACAGCGGGGCAGGGGCTGGTGGGAGGGACTGGAAGCCCAGGGAGCGATGGAATCCACACCCGGGGCGGTTGCTGGGCAGCAGGAGGGCGTGGGCGCAGCCAGGATAGCCACGCCAGCCCCACCCTTCTACTGTGGCAGGAAGGAAGGGGGACGAGTGGGGGTGGACGCGGGCAGTTTGCGGTTTGTCAGCAGAAAAGTTGAGAGAGCTTTGCACGTTCGATTGCAGCAATTCTTCTATTTCCTGTTATCTCTGGGACTCTGTCCTGTTCCTGACTCCACTGACTCCAACCACCAAAAACCACTGGCCTCGCCCCTGATGCCAGCCCTGGAGCCCTGTGTGTATACCACCCCACGTGCACACACGGGCACACACACACACACACACAAACACACAGAGAGGCTCTAGCACTTATGCACATGCACTCGGACACCCACCCTCACATACCTAGACTCTCATAAACACACACTCACAAACACAGACACATGGACTCACAGATACTCACACACTCATAGATATGGGGTGGTACACTCATACATGGACTCACATACATAGACTCACATAAACACACTCACAAACACATGCATGGACTCTCACACACTCATAGATACGGGGTGGTACACTCACACACAGATGCACATAAACACACACTCACAAACACACATGCATGGACACACACACATAGACACTCACACACTCATAGATATGGAGTGGTACACACACACGGACTCACATACATAGACTCACATAAATACACTCACAAACACATGCATGGACACACACACACTCATAGATACGGGGTGGTACACTCACACACGGACTCACATATGTAGACTCACATAAACACACACAAACACACATGCATGGACTCACACATACAGACACTCACACACATAGATATGGGTGGTACACTCATACACGGACTCACATACATAGACTCACATAGACACACTCAAACACATGCATAGATTCACACACATATAGACACACACTCATAGATATGGGGTGGTACGCTCACACATTGACTCACATAAACATGCTCACAAACACACATCCATAAACTCTCACACACCTACACAGGCTCACACACTCACATGCACGCTGTCACTCACACAAACTCACATACACAGACCTACTCACACACACATCCTACACAAACACACAGGCTTGCACTCCTACACTTATGAAGACTTCTTGCCCTTGTTACTGCTCTCTGAAGCCAGCAACTCTCCACTGACACCAGCGTTTCCAGATCCAACCTGGTGCACAGGGACCGAGGGCAGGGGCCAGCCACCTCCCGCCTGTGCTTGTAAGGAAGGTCTCACTGGTAACACAGTCACTCCCATTCGCTTTCTGGGTTGCCTATGGCTGCTTTCCCACCAGAAAGGCAGAGAGGAATAGTGTTGAGTGGCCTGCAAAGCCTGAAATATTTACTGTCAGGCCCTTCCCTTTCCTGCAAAAGTTGGCCAATGCCTCTTCTAGGTTCTTGCTTCTTAAAATGGGTCCCACGGGCCGACCAGCAGCGCTCAAGTCGCCTGGGAACCTGTCAGAAACTTGGAACCCTGAGCTCCACCCAAGATCTACTGGGTCGGAACCTGCATTTTAGCTAGATCCCTGGGACTGCTGGTGTAGACCCTGAGTGAGTTTCAGCCAGGGAGACCAATCACCCCTATTTGCTGAGGACTGAGCCAGGATCTGAGGATGTGAGGCTCTCTGTTTTTAACCCGGGGAACTACTGGTGGGATCAGGATGATGTGGTCGCGAGAGTTGAGGCAGAGGGTGTGGGAGGAACACAGGGTCCCCGCCCTGCTCACCCAGTGTGTTTGCAATGCCTGTCTTCACGTTGTCAGTACAGATGTGGCTGATCCGGTTCTCGTGCTCAGGCTTGGCCAGCACCACGATGCGGATGTTCCAGAGCGTGTGGATGGCGACCTGGTGGGAGGACAACGTTGCAATACTCGGCCCAAGTGTAGGGTGTGAACCAGGGCACAGTGATTCACACCCAGCCCCAGCCGCAGCCCCTGGGTATGGGGTATCCTGTCTGTAATCCCAACCCTTCGGGGGACTCCCAGCGATGCTTGATAGGCGAGACAAAACATCCTAAAGATGAGAACCGGGGCTGACCAAGGGTGGGAAGATAGAGGACTCAGTGGTTTTCAGCAATACCCCACAGATCCCATTTATTTCTGAATACAGACGCATCTCTCAGTGGGGGCCTCCAGACATCCTTGAAAACTGAGAGCTGATAGGCTGAGCCCACCCTTGCCTCTGAGACAGCCCAGCCGAGCAAAGATTCTATCCCGGAAGCCCACCCAGCGTGCAGCCAGCTGCTCACTGTTTTAAAAGTCACACTGGTGATTTCTTGCAGGGAGTGTTTGAGGATCTCCAGCCACTCCTTCTCACTCAGGGGGTCCTCTTGGGTGCCGATCACGTAAATGTCATGGGGGATGTAGTCCGCAGAGTCGTCCCGCGTCTTTCCCTGCCCCTTGGAGAGAAACCAGGACGTGATCTTCTTGGGAGGGGGGGCGTTACCTTCAACAGCAAAACCCAACACCAAGTGAGTCAAAGGCACATCGAGTCAAAGCATTAGGAGAATTCAAAACAGAGGGCGGGAGTGTGAGGGAGGTCACGTCATTACACAAGACCATCCAGGCAGCCCAAAGAAATGCCTGCAATGGAGGCCTGGGCGCCAACCTCACCCAGGATGTCGGTTAGGGCTAGAGCTCAGTTAAGCCTCTTTTTAAACGTAATGTCAAGTTTCAAGGTATAGAAACACCAGAAGATTCCCTGATGTCAGACACTGTCCTGCACTTTGAGGCTACGATAATTGAGACACAGTCCTGTCCCTCAAGGAACTCACATCCTATTCTCAAGACAGCCAAGGGAACTGACAAGTTTTAGATGGCGGGTTCTAACCCATTGTTGGGAGACAACAAAGTCTCCCTTGCAAGACAGATCCCAGCCCAGAGCGGAGGGATGCCTGGGTGTGAGCCAGAGAAACGGGAGAGTGTGGAAACTCCTCCGCATTCCCATTTCAAAACTGAGTTGAAGAAGCTCAATCAAGAAATTTTGAACGGTTCTCCCTACAATGCCCTTGAAGGATGAGCAAACTTTGTTCCTCAAAGAGATGAGCTTCTTGCCTTACAAGTGCAAAGAAGCCAAGCATTGGAGTAAATGGACTGTGGCTAAATTCTGCTCCCCCAAGAGGCTCAAAGTGGGTGCCCGAACCCCCGGGCTGGTGGGTCCCCGGCCCTCCTGCGGCATGGCCTCAGCTGGCTCCTTCCATACTCTTCTGTGGGAAGGGCACCCCTGCCCTTGTGTCATGGACATCCCTGACCATGTCCAGAGGGAGGAGATCAGGCAGACTATTGTCTCTTATTAGAAACACTGAAAGGGACCGAAGGGGACAAGTGACCCCCTGGGGCACTGGCCCGGGCTCTACTCCACGGCTGCTGTGGCCCTGGGACACGAGTGACAAGCTGTCACTTCACTTCCAGGAGGCCCCTGCCAGCCACTGCTCACCCTCTTCCTCCCAGACTCCTCTCAGGACAAGGGTAGGGGACACACGACACCCAGTGAAATTCCAATTTCAGATAAACTGGTAGTTTTTAGAATAAGTTTATCTGGATGTCTTCTATCTAATTTATTTCTACCTGAACACTTACACTAAAAAATTATTTAGTATTATTTATATTTAGTAGAGTGCATGTGTTTAGTAAATACACAATATATATGTTTAATACAAAATATATTTAGCATATATTTAGTATATTATTAGCTGTATGCTTAAACTAATATTACTTAGTATAATTCATATTTAATATAATAATTACACTTATTTAGCATATGTATATATACTATATATTCAGCATAATGTCTATGAGCATATATATTTAGTATTTATTTGTTTGTAGCTAAACATATACTAAAAAAAATTGTTTCTATGAAGTTAAAATTTAACTGGGCATCCTTTGTCTACGTACCTATCTCTCTGTCTCTCTCTGTCTCTCTCCTGATAAATCTGGCAACCCTACTCAGGGTGGACTTCTTTCTCTCAGGCCTGGGGCCCCTTGGTGAGCTGCCTAGGGCTGGCAGGGTTCCCATGAGCCCCTTCACCTAGATATTCAGACTCTTTCCCTAAAACTTTCCAATTTAGACATACAGAGTAACCCACGCCAGCTGCTCTTGGGGTACGATAGTCCCAAAGCTCGTTTTTCTTACCCATCATCTCAGGAAAAGGGTGGAATTCCTCAGGAAGGAGGTTGTGCGGGTGGGCTGGGGCTTAGGGGCAGGGCCCTGGGGCAGGAAGGAAGGGGACATGGATGTCGTCACTCCACCCCACCTTGAGGATGCCTGAGTCAGGAAAGCAGAAGCAGAGGGGGTGACTGCAGGGAGGGGGCGCGCGGACCCACCCATGTTCCAGGTGCCGATGAAGATGGTGATCATGTCGGGCTCCGGCTGCTCTGAGTGCTTGTTCTTCATCTGCTGCAGGAGCTGGCAGAAGCCTTCTCTCTTCTAGGGATGGAAGGGCAGACAGACTTAGAAAGGCCTCTGCCTCCCTGCACATTACACTTTGCAAAGGACTTGGTCAGCTTCAAGAAAACTGAGAGGAGCGTAAATCAGTGTGAACTTCCAGGACAGCAACCTGGAAACATGTGTCCAAAGTCATAAGCGAGTGGCTTCTGGCCTAGACACTCCCCTGCAAAGGTGCGACTTTAACAAAGTGATCAGGAGCTGCGCAGAAGTCCAACCCTGTCACGGCTCTGCAGCACAGGCCTCAGCACAGAAAAAAATCAGAAGCAACCTTACTGTCCAGCCTTAGGAGATTCATTAATAATGTATCAGAGGGCCAGGTGTGGTGGCTCATGCCTGTAATCCCAGCACTTTGGGAGGCCGAGGTGGGTGGATCACCTGAGGTCAGGAGTTCGAGACCAGCCTGACCAACATGGTGAAACTCCTGTCTCTACTAAAAATACAAAATTAGCCAAGCGTGGTGGTGCTTGCCTGTAATGCCAGCTACTCGGGAGGCTGAGGCAGAAGAATTGCTTGAACCCAGGAGGTGGAGGTTGCAGTGAGCCAGGATCGCATCATTGCACTCCAGCCTGGGTAACAGAGCTAGAGTCTGTCTCAAAAAAAAAAAGTATTCTAGACCATCCATAAACTAGAATATCACAGTGTTTAACAAGTGTGATCCAGAACTATCTTGCCAACAAGGACAGGTGGCCACAATATATATTTTTAAGCATGAAAAGCTAGTTGACAAATGATATGAATAGCATCATTGCATTTTTAATAAAACATTTGGGCCTGGCACAGTGGCTCATGCCTGTAATCCCAGGACTTTGGGAGGCTGAGGCAGAAGGATTGTTTGATCCCAGGAGTTTGAGACCAGCCTGGGCAACATAGGGGAACCCTGCCTCTACAAAAAATAAAAAAATTAGCCAGGCATGGTGGTGCATGCCTGTAGTCCCTCCCAACTTAGGAGGTTGAGGTGGGAGGATTACTTGAGGCCAGAAAGTTGAGGTTGCAGTGAGCCATGATCTTGCCACTGCACTTCAGCCGGGGCAACTGAACAAGACCCTGTCTCAGAAAAGAAAAGAAACAGAAAAAGAAAGAAAGAAGGGAAGGAAGAAAGAAAGAGAAAATTAAAAAACATCTGGAAGGGGCATAGTCCCAGATTAACTCATGGTATACGAGTGTTTTTATTTTAAACATTTGCTTGTTTGTGTTTGCCACGTCTTCACCAAGGAGAATAGATTACTTATGTAATGAAAGAACATTTAAATTAAAGAAACTAATTAAAAAGAAGAGAGGACATGAAGGCTTTCATAGCCTACTCAATATTTTTCACGTATTTTTCTGGGGTACCCAGTGGGGCACCAAGCAGCCTCAGTTGGCCCTCTCTTAGGATGCAATCAATAGAGCAGGCGGACTTTAACAAAGTACACAAATTTCAGGGTGTAACATATGACATGACCAGTGTTTGACTGTTTCAACCTGCAAAGACAGAAATTTTACATGATTCAACCTTATAATTGCAAATCTCAGTAAGTCCTCCCTGAAGACACCAGCTCACAAAGATGTCATAATGACCATCTTTACTATAACCTGCCTCGAGTTGGGAGTGGCTCAAGATTCATGGCCTCCATTTATCCCTGTGCCTCAGTCCTTTTGAGGTCGCAGCAATGGGGCAGAGCTGGTGTTTGAACCTATGCCCAGGTGCTCAGAAAGCATTCCAGCCCAGCGGTCTTTCTCTCCATCTCCCACCACCTGTCTGGGCCCCATTCTCTTGTTTCTCCCAGACCCTTCCCTATTATTCCTGACAGCTCTGGACACCTTAGACCTCCCACCAGCCCACCCCTGATGCTTTGGAGGTGAAAGTAGGAGCGGAGACTGGGCACTCAGTGGGAAGCTATCACTGTGGGCCTGCACCAGAAGCGCTTGTCCCTTGGCCTTGCTGGGGGTCCCTGATGTGAGATGTCAGCCAGCACCTGATGTGATGGACACCCTTATTGCGCTGCAATCTTTTTTTTTTTTTTTTTTTTGAGACAGGATCTTGCTCTGTCATCTAGGCTGGAGTGCAGTGGTGTGATCATAGCTCACTGCAGCCTCAAACTCCTGGGTTCAAGCGATCCTCCCACTTCAGCCTCCCAAGTAGCTGAAACTACAGGCTCATGCCACCACACCCAGCTATTTTTTTTTTCGTAGAGATGAGGTCTCACCATCTTGCACAGGCTAGTCTCGAACTCTTGGTCTCGGGCAACCGTCCCGCCTCAGCCTCCCAAAGTGCTGGGATTATGGGCATAAGGCACCCACTGTGCCTGGCCTAATTTTTTTGTTTTGTAGACATGGGGTCTGACTAGGCTGTTCAGGCTGGTGCAATCCATTTTTACTGCCTCACACGAGCTGCATGGCAGAGAACAATGAATGAGGTTCACGATGATAGGTTTTGGCCCTGGTTCAAATTTCTGAGATGAGGGGTCAGGTCACAAAGAACCCACTGTGGGGGCACAGAGGCCCAGCCTGGGTTTCCCCAGTGGCCCACAGCACCTCTTACCCCAGGAACCCATCCTGGCAGGGGCATCTCACTTCTGCAGAGCGGGGCAAAGTGTAGAAATGAAAGTCTCTGGGATGGAGCTCCAGTCGAGACTCAGATTTAAATCCAGGGGTGGCTCACACCTATAATACCAGCACTTTGGGTGACAGAGGCGGGAAGATTGCCTGAGCCCAGGAGTTCGAGACCAGCCTGGGAAACACGGCGAGACTCTGTCTCTACAAAATATAAAAAATTAGCTGGTGGTGTGTGTCTGTGGTCTCAGCTACTTGTCTCACCTCAGCTGAGGTGGGTGGGGGGATCCCTTGAGCCCAGGAGGTGGAGGCTGCCGTGAGCTGTGATCACGCCACTGCACTAGCCTAGATGGTAAAGCGAGACGCTGTCTCAAGTCAGTCAGTCAATCAATCAATCAATCAATCCAGGAGTGTCCCAAAGATTTCCCAAGTCCAGCCCAGAGAAGCTGAAAGCCTTTCCCCCAGGTGTGGGGCTGAGTTAGATGTGGGTCATAAAGGATGTGGCCTCGAGGCTGGGAGGCAGCTGGGCAAAGTGGGAAGCCTCCCTACTCCTGAGACAGTGATGGCTCAAATCCAGGCCAACCTGGAACATGATCCTCAACTTCTCTAAGTTCACCTTTCCCAGGTGTGAAATGGGTTGTTCTGGGAACTGAGTGAGCTAATGATACACTCCCTGGCACACAGCGAGCCTCAAAACGCTTGTGTCCCCTCCCTACCTCACAGCCCATTTTAGAAGTTTGCTGTCACTTACTTTGGAGTCAGCAAAAACATATTCCTTCCGCAGGATCTTCTCCTTCTCTGTTTCCACCAAGATCACCAACTTATTCAGAAATTTCTGTGACTTAATGAGCTGCAGGACTTAAGAGAAAAGAAATTCATTAATTCATTCATCCACTCATTCAACCAATATGGACGGTCTCCATTATGTTCCAGGCACCTGACTATCAACTCCCGTCCCCAAGCTGAGCCCCGAGTTTGTGTCTGGTCTCCCAGCTCCCTCTGCTTCCAGCTGCTCTTCCCAAGAGAGGCTCATGCTTGGGGAGGGTGATGTCTGGAACAAGCAAGAGTTGGCCTGTCCAGAGCAGAGACAGCGTGATCGTCTTTTCATCTTTCTCCCTGCCTCCCTCCTTCCCCTCTCTCTTCTTCCTTCTCCTCTTCTTCCTCCTCTTCTCCCTCCCTCCTTTCTTCCTTACTCTTCCTCCTTTCCTTCTTTTGCTTTGTTTTTAATTTATATCTAAATTTAATTTTACATTTTACTGTCATCAACAATTAAAAGAGTCAAGTTGTTCTATAAGGTTTTTGCAAACAATAGTCCTCCACAACCCAACCTCTCTTCAATGTCCAGCTCCCTACAGGCAACCAATTTCAACTCTCTTAATGGATTCTTTTGGAATTCTACTCTGTTTCTTAAAAAAAAAAAATGCTTAGATTAATACTTTCCGATGTTTCAGTTTTCATTATGTCCTATTACATTTTTGACTGTCCACTATGGAAGATGAGGTTGAAATTTCTTTCACACACACAACCTGCTCCCCCAACTTGACTCCCTGCCAATGCATAATTTCAGTCCCCACATCATCCTTCTAACAATTATATCATAATTTTGGCCAGATAAGTACTCAGTGTTTGTTATTCTGATTATCAAAATGCTATTGACAGACCAGCCCTGAATGTTTCTCTTTTTCTAGACAACTTTGTGTTATTCCTGGAGTTAGTAATTGCCATACTTTTTTTTTTTATTGTTTCTAATTCTTCCCCAGTTTATAACTCTCTTTTCCATGTGACCAACTACTTTCATCAGTTCCTTTGTCCTGAGGGAGCCTTTCCCAGAGCTTCTGGGTCTTCTCTGGACTGGTGACTTCAAGGGCCGAGGCACAGCCTTTACCTTGGGGCCTTACTTCATAATCCAGGAATACGTTTCTCTCTCTCGTATTAAATCCCATTTCTTGGACCCCAGGTCTTCCTCTTCTTGGTTTACACCCTCATTTTGGTAGAGCAGCATCTCTAGTGGCTTTCCAAGAAAGGAAGAATCGGTGATACATTTTTAGAGGCCTTGCGTGTCTGAGAATTCGACCCTCACACTTAACTGACAGAACTCTAAATTTGAAATAATTCTCCTCCGGACTCTGGAACCTTGTTCCATCATCTCTAGTTTTCAGGATTGCTGGAGAAACAATGTCATTCTGATTCTCTTGTTCAGAAAAGAGTTAGCACAACAGACCCGAGACTGCTGTCCTTAGAAGGGCTTGCTTGAAAGGCTGGCTTTCTGCTGTCATCTGGGAACTTAGATTTCGGGAGGGCTCCCACCACTCCCAGAGCTGATGAGTGGCTTGCTGTGCCTACATTGTTTGTACAAACAATATGGTTTATGCTGAGCACCTGTTTTCCTTTTGGGAGTCTGTAATCTGGGTACCTGCCAGGTAGAGGGTGTCTATGTGACCATTCGCCAGTTAACAACCACATTTCACACATGTTGTCACACCTCACTGGGGGAGGAGGGAAGTGTGTCCTTTGTGACTCCACAGAAGAGTGGAGCCACTCCTAATGGTGGCTCGCTGTACTTAGAAGGAAGCGTGGGCCAGGCGCGGTGGCTCATGCCTGTAATCCTAGCACTTTGGGAGGCTGAGGCAGGCAGATTGCCTGAGCTCAGGAGTTTGAGACCAGCCTGGGCAACATGGTGAAACCCTGTCTCTACTAAAATACAAAACAAAAAATTAGCCAGGCGTGGTGGCGGGCACCTGTAGTCCCAGCCACTCAGGAGGCTGAGGCAGGAGAATTGCTTGAACCTGGGAGGCGGAGGTTGCAGTGAGCCAAGATCGTGTCACTGCACTCCAGCCTGGCGACAGAGTGAGACTCCATCTCAAATAAAAAAAGAAGGAAGTGTGAACCTGGCACTCTGGCTCAGCAGACCCACACACCTGGCCCCTGCCCAGTCTTGGCCTTGTCTGAGCCACAGCCATCTGGCCATCTCACCAGCCACACTGGCTCCTGTCTTGGAACTATGCCCAGTGGCCCCTTTCCCTGGTTTGGGCACAGCCAGCATCTTCCTGACACTCAGGTCTCAGGCTCAGACTCTTAGAAGCTCGTGCCTGGTTTCTTCCAGACTTCATCCTATGCATGTGTCTTTTCCCTCAGCTGATTTTGCTCTATATCCTTTCAATGTAATAAATCACAGCTGGGAATATGATCATCCACTGGGTCTTGTGGGTTCTCTGAGGGAATCACAGAACCTGGGGGTGGTCTTGTGGGGCCCCTGACACAGGGCGTAATCTATCTTTTGCTCTGAACATTTTTAGGATCTTTTCTTGGAGTCCAGCATTGTGAGACTTTCCAGGGTTGTGTGGGCCTCCTGTGTTGTGTGAGCACTTGGCCATTTTCAACATGGAGGCAAGTGTTATTCTGTTCTGAGACTCTTTCCTGAATTCTTTAATAAATTTTCTCAATCTGTTTTCTCTTACTGACACTTATTATTTTGATATTGGGCCTCCTGAACTCGTCTTATTTATTTATTATTTATTTATTTATTTATTTATTTATTTATTTATTTTTTGAGATGGAGTCTCGCTCCATCACCCAGGCTGGAGTGCAGTCGTGGATCTTGGCTCACCGCAACCTCTGCCTCCTGGGTTCAAGCAATTCTCCTGCCTCAGCCTCCCGAGTAGCTGGGATCACAGGCGTGCACCACCATGCCCATCTAATTTTGTATTTTTAGTAGAGGTGGGGTTTTACCATGTTGGCCAGGCTGGTCTTGAACTCCTGACCTCAAGTGTTCCACCTGCCTTGGCCTCCCAAAGCGCTGGGATTACAGGCGTGAGCCACTGCACCCAGCCCTGATCTGGTCTTTTAAATTGTAAAAATCTTGCCTCTCCTATTTTCCATCACTTTGTCCTTTTGTTTTGCCTTTTCGGAGCTTTTCTAAACTGTATCTTTCCACTCTTCCATTGGGTTCTTATTTTTTTTAATTACTGCTATAATATTTTTTATTGCCCCAGAGTTGTCCTTCCTTTCCCTTTCCCCTTCTTCCCCCTTCTCTCTTTCTCCTCATCCTTTTTCACTTTCATTTTATTCTCTTACTGTTCCTTTCTAGATATAATTCTGTTATTCCACAGGCCCATTTCTTTTTATCTGTAGAATCTGATCTCTCCAAGGCTGGGTGCAGTGGCTCACGCCTGTAATCCCGGTGTGGCAGGCCAGGTCTCACTAATTCAGGCCTCCGTGACAACGGTTTCAGTACTGACTGAGTGGTTAAGTTAAATATCAAAAGCCAGTGCCCTTATACAAAGGCTGGAATGTAACAAAAGCCCATCAGAAGTTTTGCCTAGGCGAAGGAATTCTTAACAGGACCAGTTTAGGATTTAACAAGTTTATTGGAGGTCTGAAGGAACTCCCCAAACCTCCGTGATTTAGCAGAAGACAAGATAAGGGTAATCACACCAGCACCTGGACCCATTTAGATGAAGTAAATTTACTGAGGCTCCAAAGGAAGGTCTTCAGGACTCAGACCTTAGTTATAAATTAAAAGAAGTTAATCACTTATATCTTTCAATGAATACACACACGTAGACATACAGATTAGAAGGTATATAAGCTCTGGAAAACTTTGTAATTTTGAGTTGGTCTGGTGATAATTTCCAGGCCTTCTTCCTGTAACCAGTTACAGAAAATAAAACCTGTCTTCCTCCCCAGTTCATGTGCATCTTGTTATTGGGCCACAAGAAATAGCAGCCTGACCCTCAGTTTGGTCCAGGAACACCAGCACTTTGGGAGGCCAAGGCAGGCAGATCATCTGAGCTCAGGAGTTTGAGACCAGCCTGGCCAGCATGGTGAAACCTCATTTCTACTAAAAATACAAAAATTAGCCGGGCATGGTGGTGCATGCCTATAGTCCCAGCTACCTGGGAGGCTGAGGCACGAGAATCGCCTGAACCCAGGAGGTGGAGGTTGCTGCGAGCTGAGATCGCGCCATTGCACTCCAGCCTGGGCCACAAGAGTGAAACTCTGTCTCAAAAAAAACAAAAAGAATTTGATCCCTCCAAGTGTTTTGTCTTTGTGTCCCCTGTTTCCTGTCCCCAGCTTCCCTCCAGTGTCTGGTGATCCTTGGCTGTCTGTGTCCAACAGTGAGGTGGGGTCTGTCGAGCAGGGCTTCTCCGCAGGGTGGTCTGATGGGCTGAATCCTGGGGAAACTGCGTGATGGCAACACCTTTCCATCTTTGCCCCTGGGCTGATCAAGTTTCCCAGAGAAGACTTCTAACTCCTGCCTAGGGAGGGTGGGGCTGGCCAGCAGCATCCTGGGAGCTGGGCAGGGAAGAAGGCTGGGGTCTCAGCACTCAGCAAGTGACTGTCCCTTAGTCCTCTGTTTTCAGTAGGCTCTCCTGCCTGCAGCAGGCCTGGCATCTCCCAGCCCTTCACCTTCTCCAAAGAATATCCAATCTTCTGCCAAAGGAGTGAGGAGGAGCCACTGGCTACATGGAGTGGAGTGTGATCTGTTGGGCTGAACTGTCTTTAAATAGACTTCCATCTGACCCTGCTGTGTATAACCCCACCTTCACCCCACTTCTTGGGGTCCCCAAGGCTCTCAGTTCCTGAGCCCTTTGTGGGTTTTGTGTGAGTCAGTGTCTCTGTTTTTTCTTCCACCTGCTTAGGGTTTCGTTTTTTGGTTCCTACAAGTGACTCTCGCTATCCATCTCCTTTCCGGCTTTCAGAATATTGTTGCTCTCCCATTCTCTCTTTCCCTGTGGGTTTTGCCTTCCGGAAGGGAACTGATGGCAGAGCATGCATTTAACCATCACTTTGAGCTGGAAGCCTCCCCAAAGGGAAATGACATCAGCCTCGTCTGCACCTCAGTAAGCATCCCACAGTCCGATTTCTACCACTGCTAACCAAATGCTGAGACTTTTCCAGTCTGCTACGATCAGGCCATGTCTCCTTCCCCTGAATTTCCTTGCCATCTGTTCGCAGGACTGTGCGGTTGCCCCCAGGATGTGATATCTTGTTTGATCAGGGTTATTATTCCATCAGAGTCAGTCAGCGCCCCACCTTCCCCACGCCCAGTGAAATAACACTAGAAGTTCCGTTTCCCTCGTCCTGTTACATGGTATCGATCAGCAGGTGCTGGCTGGTCTACCTTTGAAACGTTCCCACCCCGTTCACCTTTTCCCATCTCCAGCTGCCACCGCCTCTTGCCTGACTGCTATCATGGCCTCCTAATTGGTGTCCCTGTCTCCACTCTTCCTCTCTTCCCATAGTTTATTCTCAGTACAGCAGCCAGAGTTATCTTTTTGAAGTGGAATCACACCACACCCCCCCCAGCTGAAAACCTCCTAATAGTGGCTTGCTGCATTTGGAAGGAAACGTGAGCTGGTACTCTGGCTCAGCAAGCCCACATGCCTGGCCCCTGTCCAGCCTCAGCCTTGTCTGAGTCCTGGCCGCCCAGCCGTCTCACACGCCATACTTGTTCCTGCCTTGGGACTGAGCCCAGTTGCCTCTTTCCCTGGGTTGGGCACAGCCAGCATCTTCCTGACACTCAGGTCTCGGTTCAAATGGCACAGCATGTCCACAGAAAGGCTTTTCCCCATTACTGTCATATTTTTCTATTTAAATCCCCAGGTCTAGAGTTTATCATTCCCTGACACATTCCTGGTTTGTATATTTGTGTGTTTGTTTATTTTCTCCTTTGCCCTGATTTGAATGAAACTTTCCTGAAAGCTAGGATCCCGGCTGGCTGGTTCACCTTCGCATCCCAAAGCCTGGTACCTGCATAGCAGGTGCTCGGAGCATGAATATTTTATGATTTGAACATACAGCAACTGGCTGTTCCTATGTGTAGAAGACCATGATGCCAAAGCTATTCATGAACATGGTGATTAAAATAGGGTAAGGAAGCTCCAACTCTTGCAACCACAGATTCCCTCCAGGCGAGCACCGCTCTGTCATAATAACCATGGATGGAAACTCACCATGAGCCAGACTCCGCACTAAGGACACACCTTACCCCATTAACTCTCACAACAACCCCTGTAGGAACCCCTGTCTTGTGGAGGCATCATTGAGGCTTTGAGGAGTTAAGTAGCTTACTTGAGATCATACTATTAGCAAGTCATGGAACCAACACATGCATCCGGTTTACCTAGAGCACCCACTCTTGAACCACACTGCCTCTCAGCACCAACTGTAAAGAAGCCACTTAAACATGCATCCATGAGAACTGTATGATCTTACCTGGTTTAGGACACATTTGCTCACTCATGCATAGATTCATTCATTCTTGCCTTCATTCTCTCATTCATGTGTGCATTCATTCATTATTACATTCATTCTTATTCCTGTGTGCGTTCCTTCATTCTTGCATTCATTCACTGATTCATGCATGCGTTCTCTCAATATGCATTTACTGATCACTTACTCTGTGCTAAGCACTGTTTTGGCTCTGGGATTTAGTGGTTAACAACAACGAAAAAATCCACATCCCAGCCTTTGTGAAGCCCACATTAAAGAGGGGAGACAGAACTGGGATTTATGATGGATGACATTGCAAGTGCCTCAGGCAATTGGCAATCCCTGAGCACGCACTTGCTGAGCCCCAGGGCCCGAGCTGGGGCCTGCAGAGTCCAGGGTGTGTAAAGGAAAGACCTTGCCCTTTTTAGGGGGAGGGAATTTGTGAGGAGTCAATTGTGCTCTGATGTGACAGGTGTCACCACAGAGAGGAAGTCAGGCTCCACCATCCTGGATTGACGGGAGGACTGGAGCTAGGTGGGCACATTCCCGGAGAGTGGGCTGGCAGTCTGTGGGCACCCATGCTCTTCAGGGCTCACAAACCTGCTCTGAAATAGCCTATTATTGTTATTATTATTATTATTAATTTTTAGAGATGGAGTCTTGCTGTGTTGCTCAGGGTGAACTCAAACTCCTGGCTCCAAGTGATCCTCCCACTTCAGCCTCCCAAGTAGCTAAGAATACAGGTGCGTACCACTGCACCCATGCATAGCCCATTCTTAACTAGAGCTGGATTTTCTTAGGGCCAGTGATCTCTAGTTTAGCTCTTTCACCCATCCCTGATCTGTTTCCACAAAGGAGAATACCAACTTCTCAGCAACAACAGCTCCAATCCTTACTTGGGCATTCTAGGCTCTGTTCACACCTAGGATGGCGTGCCCAGCGGCTTCTCTCTCCAGAACCACAGTGAGAGATGAGCAACATGTAATGTGTGATTTCACTAACCCCCTGTCCCGTTCCCTGCACACCCCATTCTCTCAGTACCAGTGCCCTCCCCTGCCTCATGCTTGGCAAAATCCTATTCATCCTTCAAATCCCGGTCAGAGCCACCTCGGTGGTGTGAAGTCTCCTGCCCTCACTCCCCAAAAGAGCTAACCAGTCCTCCCTCGGGACTAACCTCCCTCTGGAGCACATTCTAATACCTGCCCATGTGCCAGCGTTCCCTTCTCCACAGCAAATCCTTAGAGGAAGCGTTCACGATGAAGGGCTGGCCCATAGAAGATGCTACGCAAATATCTGTTGCATTAAACCGACAAAAGTTCACAGCACTTCTGAGAACCCTGGGAGGTGTTTCTTTCAATCTTAAGTTTTTTAGTAATCAGGTGCTCTGACAGTCTTCACTCATCTTAACGTTTCCATCTCCTCTTATCCAAGTTGGGGCCACCCCTCTCTCCTTAACAGATGTATTAGTCTGTTCTCACGCTGCTAATAAAGACATACCCAAGACTGGGTAATTTATAAAGGAAAGAGTTTTAATGGACTCACAGTTCCACATGGCTGGGGAGGCCTCACAATCATAGCAGAAGCAAAGGAGGAGCAAAGTCACGTCTTACATGGTGGCAGGCAAGAGAGCTTGTGCAGGGGAACTACCCTTTATAAAACCATCAGATCTCATGAGATTTATTCACTACCATGAGAACAGCATGGGAAAAACTCATCCCAGTGATTTAATTACCTCCCCACCCGGTCCTTCCCATGACAAGTGGGGATTATGGGAGCTACAGTTCAAGATGAGATTTGGGTGGGGACACAGCCAAATCATATCAACAGATAAGAGGAAACCATCACTCTAAGCTCACTTTCCACACAGCCTTTCTGTTCAAATCATCAGTGACTCCCCATTTCTCCTGCCCAACTTGCCACTATACACAGGGGCCACCATGATGCTATGAGCTCCCCTCTGCAGGACTATGACAGCTATGATGTCACCCCCAGCCATTCCCTGAGATCAGCCTCCCTCACGGCTACCCTGGAAGGGTAATAATAATGGTGGTGGTGGTGGTGACAGTCAATGATATTGAGCACTCCCTGGAGGTTGGGCACCAGTTGCTTTGATGTTCACCCACATAAGACTCATGAGAGCCCTGCAAGATGCTGCTACTATCCCTGCTGGACAGAAGAGTAAACTGAGGACCAGAGAAAAGGCACCAGACCCAAGTCACAAGTGGCTGACCTGGGACTCAAGACTGGGCTACTTGCACCCCACTGTGCTATCAGTGGGGTTCAGGATGCACTATTGCAAAATATGGCATCCTAAGCATGTTGAATATTTTCAGCTGAAGGAATTTGAGCAATGGCAGGTGCAGGAAGGACCCTCTGACATTCCTCTAAAGCAGGTTATAGAGCCTCATATGAGAGGAGCCCTCCCTATACCTGGGGGACAGAGCATCCTGTCTCCAAGGACACAGGGACAGAGAGGACTCTGAATGCACAGGCCCTGCCAAGGTCCTCCCAGTTCCCCATACTTAGTGCATACGACTTTATTAAGAACAAAAGATGGCTGAGCACAGTGGTTCATGCCTGTAATCCCAGCACTTTAGGAAGCCAAGGCGGGTGGATCACTTGTGGTCAGGAGTTCGAGACCACACTGACCAACATGGTGAAACCCTGTCTTTACTAAAAATAAAAAAATAGCTGGGCGTGGTGGTGGTCCTGTAGTCCCAGCTACTCGGGAAGCTGAGGCAGAAGAATCACTTGAACCCAGGAGGCGGAGGTTGCAGTGAGCCAAGATCGTGGCACTGCACTCCAGTCTGGGTGATAGAGCGAGACTTTGTCTCAAAAAAAAAAAAAAAAAAAAAGGTGCTGATCATGCCTGAAGAAGCCAGATAAAATACAGGAGACCCAGTTAAATTTGAACTTCAGAAAAACTGTGAATCATTGTTGCATATAAGTATGTCCCAAATATTGCATGGGACATACATATAGTATATCGGTTGTTTATCTGAAATTCAAATTTTACTGGGCCTCCTGTATTTTTATCTGCTAATTGTGGCAACCTTAACCATGCCCTCTAAATGAACTTTGAGACACTAAAGAATAAAAAAAAGTGTTGTAGCCACAGAGACTTGGGGGGCTTCATAGTGGTCTTAAAACCTGACATGGGATGCAAACTGTTGTGTGAAGGTTGGGATTTATCTGAGGCAAGGGTCTACGCATTGATCAGGTTTCTCGGGGGAACCCATTGGCCACCCAGATGAAGAAAGATGTCCATTCGCCATCAGCCAGAACGAGAGGCTGCTCAGGAAACTCTCATGCTTTCGTCAGCCCTCTGGTCCTGTCTGCTGCTGTTCTCCAGCCCCATGTGGCCCCGCACTGGGCATTGCCTACCCCCCTGCCTCCTGACACCCTGCCTGGCCTCCCTAACCTGGGCCCCAGTGCCCATCTCCCAGCGTTTGCACATGCTGCTCTGCTAGCTGGGATGCTCTTCCCTCAGACCCCTGCCCGACTGGTTGCTTCTCAGCCTCGGGGTCTCCGCCAATGTGCCTCTTACTCAGAGGAAACTTCCATGTCTGCCCTTTCTACACTATCCCCTCTTGCCAGTTAACCTCTACCCCTTTGCCCTGTTTTGTTTTCTTTGTAGCGCTTTTCATAGCTGGATCATCCATCTGATCATTCATCTGTATTGACAGATGTATTTGAGTCTCTATCGGCTACTCAATGCACCAGAATATAAATTCCATGTGGGCAGGGGCCTCATCTGCCCTGCTGGCCCTGGATCCCCTTGTCTTGCCCCACTGCAGCTTCTCTATATGCATTTGTTGTGTGAAGAGCTTCCATTTTATGGATGAGTTGATTTGATGGTTCTCAGAATCTACTAATAACAGCTGACTCTCAAAGTGGCCACTACATGCTGGGCTCTAGCCTAAAGAGCCTTGAGCATATTATTCACATAATTTTTATCATCCCCATTTTACAGATGAGGAAACTGAGGGCTAGAGAGGTCATGACATGTCCCAGGTCACACAGCTGCTAAGTGGCAGAGCTGGGACGTGAATTTAGGCAGTTTGGTTCCAGAGTCCATGTACTCACAGTTTAGTTTATCCTGTGCTACAGACACTACCCAATTGTCAACAAGACCTCATCTGTGCAAGGCTTTGTGCCCGGCACTGAGAGGTGATAGCATGGATCACACTGGGTCTTGGTGGGGAAGAGAAGAGACACACACACACACAAAAGCATGAGCGCAGGCGCGCATGCGTGCGGAAGACAGACCTGCAGGGCAGGCCTTCTGAGAGGTGAGCTGAGAGGGCAGGAATTCCACAGGCAGGTGAGGGGCAGTGGTTGATAGGCACGAGGGGTCTTACTTTTCTTGTGGCTGTAGAACTTGTCCTCAGAACCATCCTTGGACTTCTTAATGATCAGTTTCCCAGACTCAACGTCGACTTTGAGCTGCATTTTCTGAGGAATCCCCAGAGACTCTGCCTTCACCTTAGAAGAGAAGAGATGTGTCACTGATTGATTTTCTGCCTGGGCTTTTGCAAGGCTTCCCCCGCCCGAACCCCTTGTCTACATGGCTGGGCAACCTCTGGTGTGCGTCCTTCGTGGGGCCACTGGGCTTCTCTTGCCCCAGCGGCGCACGTGCATGTTTCCACAGGCGTCTCCCGGGAATCACAGAGACTCTAGGGGCATCCCCCTCGTCCACTGTGTGTGGGGGAGCCGTTCTGCCAACAGGTTTGCTGGCGGAAACAGACGAATTGCTGGAAATGGTTCATTCACTGATGACTTTGACAACACTCATTAATCTGATGTGTCACCTACTTCCAGAAAGGATTTTAGTAACAGATTTAAACTCCCAGGCCTTGTTACAACCACTGATTGAACATTTACTGATAATAATAGAAAAGAAAACCCACAACAGTTGCGTAGGCATGCTCAGAAAATGGAAATTTATCTTAATAGAGGATAATCACCAGGTCTAGAACGGACTTTGGGGTGGGGAATGTGTGTGTGGCGGAGGGGGTGCGGGTCTCACACTGGATTCCTGAATTTGGGACCAGTGCTGGGGTGAATATACTAGAATCTCTGGGGATTGTAAAGAAGAACGCATTTTGGGTCAAGCCTGGAGATTCTAATCCAGTCATTCTCATGGAAATCACAGGAATCGCACGATTTTTTTTCTGAATTCCCCACCCCCTTGAGGCAGTACTTTGCAGCCCCGTCTGATGTCACTCATCTCTGCCATTTTGAGAAGGACAAAGTTTACATGGTGCCTGGCCCAATGAGACACTCCTCCCTTGTAGCTTCCCTCCGAAGGGGATTTCCCAGTTGTCTCTGGGTGCCCGTTCTGACGTTGAACCGCCATCACAGCGACAAAGGTCAACTGACTGCCATTCTTGGCTAATGCGCTCCCTGCTCTTCCCCAGCTAAAGCCCCAATCCCTCTTTCCACAGGAACAAGAACATGTCTCTCTGCCCAGCTGTGGAGCCCAAGCCCAGGCTCTGCTGTCCCATGGCCACTTACCTCAAAGGTGACTGGAGGGATAAGGGAGGGCCGGTGCGGAGACTCAGGACCCTCGTGCAGCAAGGCCTTGACCTGTGGGCAGCAGCGTTAGAGACAGAGGGTCAAGGGGACGCCGAGCCTGTGCATCTGGGCATTCTCCATGCAAAGAGGGGACCAAAGAGGAGACCAAGAGAAGCCGCAGGAGCCCCACACGTACCTTGTCTTCAATGGACGACAACAGGCTTGTCAGTTGGCTGAGCTTGGACACCATGTTGATGGGATTGGCCTCACCAGGAACCTGGGAGAGGAGGGAAAGAGGATCAGGGCAGCATCACTGAACCTGAACCATCGAGAGGCAATGCTCTGGGTTCTCTCTGCACCTCACCCCATTCCAGCCTCCCCGCAGCCCCACAAGTTCTATTATTATCCCCTTCTGGCAGATGAGGACACAGGGATCTCTACAATCTTCTCAGAATTCACATGGCCAAAAAATAGATCTTCATTTCTTCTTCCCTGTAAATCTGCCTCTCCCCCGGTGCTTCTCACCTCACCCACTCCGTTGCTTAAACAAAACTCGAGGACTGTCCTTGCATGTTACCTTTCCTCCCTCCTACACCTGCTGCATGGTGTTCCCGTCCTACTTCCAAAATAGACCCAGCCCTGCTGCTTGAAACCCCAGTACAGTTCTTCTCCACGTAGAGGAGAAAATGATCCCGACCCCTTCCCTGCCCTCCGAGGTCCTATATGATGCAGCCCCCCACCTCACCCGCCCCACCAAGATCTGAGCCACTCTCATCCTCAACTCATATCTGCCTTGAGCTTCCCTTCTGAGGAATCTCCAGAGACTCAATTTCCCCTGGGAGGGGCAACTCCTCATCATTCAGGTCTCAGCCCCACAAAGAGGTCTTCCCTGACCACCCTGTCTAAAATAGCCACCAGGTCACCTCTATCAAGTTGCCTTGTTCTGTTCCATTTCAATCACCACGAGCTAAAGTCATCTCCTTCCAATATGTGTTCATTGTTTGTCTTCCCTGCTGAATGGAGGCTCCGTGAGAATGGAGATCAAGAGGACTGTGTTCAGTACTGCAACACTGGGGCTCAGAACAGTGTCTGGCCAACGAAGATGCTCCGTTAAGTTGTTCAGTACATACAGGGCCCAGAGAGATGAACTAACTTGTCTGAGGTCGCACAGCTAGTAAATGGCAGAGGAAGACATGTATCCTGTCTACCTGATGCCAAGTACATGGTCTCATGCACTTATTCACAGAAGAAACATTTACAAAGCATCTATTCTATGTTAGACATGCTGCCAGGTGTGGAAATGTAGAGTTAATAAGATACCTTATTAAGTTATTAATACCTTATTAAGTTCAWAATAAGAAGTGGAATGAGAAAATCAGACACATGTATGGCTAATGTGAATACAAAGCAGAATGGAACCAGGGTTATCACCAGGCAGGTGATGTCCCTTTACCTCACCCCTTGCTCAATATAGCAGCCAGGCTGCACTTGCTTTTGACCTCAATTTTCCACCCAGCTACTTTAGTATACTACTTTTACTATCACCACCTCCATTACCACTGCTGCCTCTGCACAATGATCAATGGCACTGMCATGATCAATAGGATCCCCTTCAACAGCACCACCAGAGTCATCAGCATGGCCACCACAATCACCACCAACACCACCATCACTACCACCATCTCCACCCCTATCACTCCCACCATGATCATGCCCACCTCCACCATCACCATCACTACTACCACCTCCACCCTCACCATCACCATCACCACCACCATCTCTACCCCATCACTCCCACCATGATCATAACCACCTCCACCATCACCATCACCACTACCACCTTCACCCTCACCATCACCATCACTACCACCATCTCCACCCTCACCATCACCACCACCACCTCCACCCTCACCATCACCATCACCACCACCATCTCCACCCCTACCAGTCCTATCATGATCATGACCACCTCCACCATCACCATCACTACCACCACCTTCACCCTCACCATCACCATCACTACCACCATCTCCACCCCTATCACTCCCACCGTGATCATGACCACCTCCACCCTCACCATCACCACCACCATCTCCACCCCTCCCACTCTTACCATAATCATGACGACCTCCACTATCATCATCACTACCATAATCTCCACCCCTACCACTCCCACCATAATTATGACCACCTCCACCATCACCATCACCATCACTACCACCACCTCCACCCCTACCAGTTCTACCATGATCATGACCACCTCCAACATCACCATCACCATCTCTACCCCTACCAGACCCACCGTGATCATGACCACCTCCACCATCACCATCACTACCACTATCTCCACACCTATTATTTTCCATGATCATGACCACCTCCACCATCGCCATCACCACCACCATCTCCACCCCTACCACTCTCACCATAATCATGACCACCTCCACCATCACCATCACTACCACCATCTCCACCCTCACCATCACCATCACCACCACCATCTCCACCCTCACCATTCCTACCCTGACCATGACCACCTCCACCATCACTACCACCATCTCCTCCCCTATCACTCCCATATGATCATGACCACCTCTACCATCACCATCACCATCACCACCACCATCTCCACTCCTACCAGCCCTCCCATGATCATGACCACCTCTGTCATCACCATCACTACCACCCTTAGACACCACACCATTCCCCRTCCCAATAACCATCACTCCRCCATCWCAGCAGTTAATAATTGTCAGTGCTTTCTCTAACCACTTTTTGGTCTTTCCCTTGCTTCTTAATAAAGCTTACAATTCTTCTTTAGTTATTGTCAATCAGGAAAGTGGCTTGAAGAGGTGGTGCTAAGACTCAGGGAAGGGAACAACAGAATGGCTGCCTGTTGGTTGAGAAGAAAAGCTGGTCAGGAGATGGGATAGTTCAGGATTCCCTTGTTTTAGGGTTATTTATCTCATAAATAATTGAAACGGTAACACAGATTCAAGCCTCCTCCTTTTCACAGTAGAGAACATTTGGAATGACCTGCCTTCACCCCGGGCAGTCACCAATGCAATTGCAGGTCCCCCGCCCCCCACCGGCTCTCTCTTTGGATTTGTGACTTTTGGGAGGGGAGATATAACAAGATCTTAGAGAACATAAATGAAGTTACTGACAAACAGGGCGTTCGTGCTTGAAAGAAAAAGTATTAGAAAAATGCTGGAGCTTTCCCCATACTTCTGCCTAATGATGATTTGATGAGTTTGTATGCTATGCCAAGCACATCTGAAATATATTAAGTCATCTAATCCTCACATGTCTTGATTTTTCTAATCCTTGTTTTGCTGATGGGGGAATAGAGTCAGAGTGGTGAGTTTACAGCTAGTATAGACCTGAGATGTGAATTGGGGGCTAGCCCAGTGGTCCTCAGCTGGTGGCGATTTTGCCCTCCAGGGGACATTTGGCAATGTCTGAGACRTTTCCAGTTGTCACAGCTGGGGGATGCTAATGGCATCTCATGGGTAGAGGCCAGGATGTGGAGGACTCCTAGAGTGCACAGGAGTCCTCCACGACAGAGAACAATCCAGTCCCAAATGTCACCAGTGTCGAGGTTGAGGATAGAATTCACAGCTTAGCCTGTTAAAGGGTAGACTGGTCTGACTGCTACCTGAGGGTTTACATCAGCTGACCCAGTTTTTTCACTTTGCTTTTCAGTTGCACTTTTCAAAAAAAAAGGAAGTGGGCGCCAAGGCAGGTTAACCATCCAAGGGAGGTTACCGGCTCTCCTTTCTCACACAGGGTGGACCCAGGTCTCCCCCATCCCCCAGGCCAGCCAGCATTTTGATAACATTGCATTTCACACTTCCCAGCAGTCCTCAAGTAACCACACAGGGGTTTGGGTGTCCCCAGCTTGTCTTGCCTACTTAAGGGAAAGGGCCTCATGTTGGTGAGAGTCTAGCAGGGTCAGACGTCTCACGCACCCAGTTTCACTCACTCCTTAACCAAACCCTGCAGAGATATTACTGTCCCCATTTCACAGATGGGGAGACTAAAGATCCAGGAGGGTGAATCAGAATTTGAACTCAGGTGTTTCTGATCCATGGACCAACGTTCTTTCCTCTCCTCAAGGCAGCCTCAACTCCCTCTTGATTTCTGAATTCCTAAAGACAAATCAAGAACAACCTTTTCTGTTTTTCTTCAAGACTCAGGGTCTCATAAAGGGGAGGGGAGTGTGGCAGCATGACCCACCCTCCACTGGGTGGCTGCTCTGTCCTGCCACCAAATGCAGAGACTGGCCTCCACCAGGCAGCACCGTAACTGGGACTGCAGCTGGCCTCTCTCACGAGGCTTTTTCTCGCTTCTAATCTACTTCAAAGACTTGACTGTGTGTTCTTCCACTCAAACTACTTAAGTTCAAGTGTCGGGCAGAGCCCCTGTTTTATCTAGATTTGCTTTTACTTTCTTAGAAATTAACCCATCATTCACTTCAGAGAAAGCAAAAATTTTTTTTTCTGAATTTTGAAAGTTGCACAAGTAAAATACAAATTCGTGTTCTCCGTAGAAAACCTAAACTAACAATGTGGGCAAACTCAAAATCCCCCTTGGCCCAGTCCCCTTCTCCCCAGTCTCATCCCTGAATTGTGGTGACCAGCGTGGCCCTTTGGGTTTAAATCCTTCCCATCTGATTTCCTCGTGGAGACTTCCATCAGAGTTTCTATATCATCCTGCCATTTGCTTTTCCACCTAACAGTAGTCTTGGAGATCTTTCCAGAGCAGTGTTCACACCTTAGAATAGAATTCTGCACCACTGCAGTTCACCAGCTCTCCATGTTTATGTGATTTTCTTTTTTTCTTTTTCCTTTTTTTTTTCTGTTTTAGATGGAGATGGAGTCTCACTCTGTCACCCAGGCTGGAGTGCAGTGGCGCCATCTCGGCTCACTGCAACGTCCACCTCCCGGGTTCAAGCAATGCTCCTGCCTCAGCCTCCTGAGTAGCTGGGATTACAGGCGCCCGCCACCACACCTGGCTAATTTTTGTATTTTTGGTAGAGACAGCGTTTCACCATGTTGGTCAGGTTGGTCTCAAATTCCCGACCTCAGGTGATCCACCCGCTTCGGCCTCCCAAAGTACTGGGATTACAGGCGTGAACTACCACGCCTGGCCTGTTTATGTGATTTTCAATGTTTTTTTCTGTTACTCTTTGTGTACTTGTAGTCCCTAAGAAGCTGCCAACATATGGAACTGCGGGCTTGAGGGATGCCTGCAGTTCACATTTGCATACAAATGGCCAAACTGCCGTTCAGAAAACCCATTTCCATTCCCAACAGCAGAGGAGTGAGCCCCTGTGAGCACCTCCTCCACCCCACATCCTAGCCAAGTCCTGACTCAACCATCAACTTGAGCATCAACTCTTTGTCCATCTAATAGGCAAGAAGAGGCTGCCTAGTGTCAAATGTCATTTCCCAGTTACTAACAAGGTGAGGTTGAACGCCTTTTCATATCTATACTGGCTATTCCCTGTCCCTCTTCAGTGAACCGCCTTGTTTATAGCCTTTCCGCATTCTAAAAACTGGATTGTTTTTACTTAATTATTTGTAGGAATTTTTTTAAAAATGGCCAGGCATGGTGGCTCCCACCTGTAATCCCAGCACTTCAGAAGGCTGGGGCAGGAAGATGGCCAGAAGTTTGAAACCAACCTGGGCAACACAGTGAGATCTGTCTCTACAAAAAATTTTAAAAGGAGACTGGCATGGTGGCATGCACCTGTAATCCCCAGCTATTAGCTGGTGCAAAAGTATTGCAGTTTTAATACATGGGAGGCTCAGGTGGGGTGGATCGCTTGAGCCCCGATGTTTGAGGATGCAGTGAGCTGTGATTGTGCCACTGCACGCCAGCCTGGGCGACAAAGCAAGACCATGTCTCAAATAAAAATAATAATATAAACATGAATACTTCGTCTGTAATCCTTTGTCCCTAAGCTTTGTTGCAGGTATTTTCTTCTGAGATACAGCTTTTGCTTTTTTAAAAAACTTGTTAAAACTTTATTGATGACACCTTTTGTTACACAGACATTTGCTTAATGGGCAACACGACCTTGGCCTCCTGCCAGGCCATGAGCAGGTGCGGGGGTTGGGGGGCACCTTCATCCTGCTCCTCCTGGGACAAGAGGCAGGATCAAGAGTTTAGGCATCTCCTCTTTTTCTTTCCTTTCAGTTTCTGATAAGAAATGATGGGAACAGGCCCTGCTTACCCCCTTATTTGGCACAAATAAGTTTTGCTGATGAGTGCATAATTTGAAATCTTTATTCCTCAAATCAAAATCTGGCAGTGGGAGATGGCTTCCTGGAAAGGGCAGGGGCTGAGGCTCCCACCCCCAACCCATGCGTACCTGCTTGCTGTTGCCCAGTGAACACACAATGGGCAGTGCTCCCCTCTTCCTCCTGAGCCCTCAGGACTGGCTAACTCAATCCTCCTCCCTGGGGTATTAATCTCACCTTTTCAACCCCAAGACCCTTTACCTGAGGACGTGGACGGAGGCCCGGGGAGAGCTGCTGGTCAAATAACCTCTGCAGAGACTCCAGGGATGGGAGGGTCCGGATGACTTCTCTGGGGGCAGGGGACAAGGTGAACATCAAGGATTAGTGGGCACCGGAAAGAGTCTTCCATGGCAGCACGGGCTCTAGCCAGAGATGAGGGCACCCTCAGTCCAGCAGAAGCAGGTAATTCTCCCCAGAAGGACAAGCCCGGGCAAAGATCAAGGCTTGCCAGCACTGGCCCACCCATCCCTTCCCAACCCACAGCGAACTGGAATTGTGTAGTCCTGACTGTACCTAGGTTTTGCTTTAGCCAAACTGCACTCTATAGCCTGTAGAAAATTCAAATCTGAGTGACAAAATGACTTCACTTAGTTATCCATGGTTCCCAACCTTCTGTGTTTATAAAACACACACACACACACACACACACACACACACACACACAGGTGTTAACAATGCAAATTTCTGGGCTCCCGCCTGATTGAGTCTAGAATCTGCATTTTAAATATTAGGGCTGCCCAGTGCTGGTGATCTGTGGATTCTGATGCAAATCCCCTCCTAGCAGCCCAAATGCAGGCTCAGACGGATTTTCCCATTGTCACATCCATTGACAACTCCAATCCTCGGGCTTTATGCGCTCTTTGTTCCCAGCTCATCTTTCTCTATTGTTTTAACATAGTGGGGCAGACAATTTTGAGTTCTACTTTTCACTTATTGTTTCATCAAAAACTGTTCATGTTTTTACATATTTAACATTCTAATGATTTGAAAATAGTCTATTGAGTAAATGTGCTGAAATCGATTGCTAGATATTTGGGTTACTCTGAGATCTTTGTTATATGAATAAAGGCTGCTCTGGGCCAGGCACGGTGGCTCACGCCTGTAATCCCAGCACTTTAGGAGGCTGAGGCAGGCGGATCACGAGGTCAGGAGGTCGAGACCATCCTGGCTAACGTGGTGAAACCCCCGTCTCTACTAAAAATACAAAAAAAAAAAAAATTAGCCAGGTGTGGTGGCGGGCTCCTGTAGTTCCAGCTACTCGGAAGACTGAGGCAGGAGAGTGGTGTGAACCCGGGAGACAGAGCTTGCAGTGAGCCGAGATCGCACCACTGCACTCCAGCCTGGGCGACAGAGCGAGACTCTTGTCTCAAAAATAAAAATAAAAATAAAAATAAAAATAAAATAAATAAAACCTGCTCTGAACAACTTTGTTCATATAGCTTTTCTAATTTTTAATTACAGAATTAGGATAACCAGAGATTACGGCTCTTGATCATTATTGCCAAACCTGTGAGTACTGATTATATTGTCCAGACCTGATTACCCAATAGCTCCAATGACTGTACTTCTGTTCTTTCTCTCTCTTTTAAGGGACATAACATTGCACTTCAATACGGATGAATAAATTTGCATATCTTTAATTTCTAATGTCATTGTTTTTCTATTGCTGATTTCTAGTTAATGGCTACTGCATTTCTCTCATTTCTCTTTGTATAAACTTTTTTGTTTTTTCTCCCTTGCCAATTTTCTGTTGGGAATTTTGTTCATATTTTTATATAGTGTTATAAACTTTACATATTGCTTTGCTTTTTTTTTTTTTTTTTTTTTAGACAATCTTACTCTGTGGCCCAGGCTGGAGTGCAGTGGCGTGATCCTGCCTCAGCCTCCTGAGTAGCTGGGATTACAGGCATACACCACCACGCCCAGCTAATTTTTGTATTTTTAGTAGAGACGGGGCTTCGCCATGTTGCAGGCTGGTCTCAAACTCCTGACCTCAGGTGATCCGCCCACCTCAGCTTCCCAAAGTGCTGGGATTAGAGGCGTGAGCCACCAGGCCCGGCCTACTTTGCTTTTTATTTAATCTAGGTGCTGTATTTTTTTCTCATTACATTATTAATATAATATAATCTCATTACATTATTAATACAATATAATCTCATTATATTATAATATAATATCATTATATCATAATAATAAATACTAACATATTATGTGTATGTGTGTGTGTGTGTGTATATATATATATATATATATATATATATATATATATATATATATTTTTTTTTTTTTTTTTTTTTTGTGATGGAGTTTCGCTCTTGTTGCCCAGGCTGGAGTGCAAGGGCAGTATCTCTTTTTCTTTTGTTAAAATGTTTAATGGGGCCAGGTGTGGTGGCTCACACCTGTAATCTCAGCACTCTGGGAGGCCAAGGTGGGTGTCACCTGAGGTCAGGAGTTCAAGACCAACCTGGCCAACATGGTGAAACCTCATCTCTACTAAAAATACAAAAATTAGCCGGGCATAGTGGTGGGCACCTGTAATGCCAGCAACTCAGGAGGCTGAGGCAGGAGAATAGCTTGAACCCAGGAGGCAGAAGTTGCAGTGAGCCAAGATCCTGCCACTGCACCCAGCCTGGGGAACAGAGGGAGACGCCACCATCTCATAAAAAAAAAAAAAAAAGTTTAATGGAATGATTTTAATGTTTCCCTATCGATTGTAATTAGTTTTACTTTGATTCATATTGCATTATTAAGGAAGTATCCTTCTATTCCTTTTTTTTAAAAATGATTTTTAAAAATTAGAGATGAATTTAAAATGTTATCTATGTAAATGGTTTCCGTTTATCTTTTAATCTACTGCAAAATTACAGTGCTTTCTTTTTGTTGACTCATCTTTGGAGTGACCTAGATAAAGCCTCCATTTTTCATGTCACTAAATTATATTTGCTGGGATGTTACTGAAACAATATGCATTTATATTAATAAGTGAAATCAGAGATAGAGAGTTTTATTTCAGGCTATTATCTTGATTAGCTTTTTGGATTTAAATCATATTTTTCTTGAAGAGAGAATTAGGTGACTTTTTTGTCATTCAGGAATAATCTATACCTTATGCTCACTATTTTTTCCTTGAAAGTTTAAAGGACACTCATGGTACTTTTAATGTTTTATATTTTACGTAAACTATGTGTTCCATTTAATTATAACTTGAAGATCTGTAGCTACATAACTGTACACTATTCTTTAGTGACTTCCAAATCTTTAATGCAGATTATTAATTCTCCTTTGACATTTCTCATGTTTAAAACTTTCTTAATTGACAGTTTTTCCTGATGTATCTCTGTTTTTATTTTTACCATCTTGTCCTCCTCGTCTCCTTTCTGGCTGTTGTTATTGCTCAGTTGCTCAGCAGAGATTTCTTAAAGATTCTGTTTTATTCACTGCTGTATTTCCAGCTCCTGGAACAGTGCCTTGCAGATAGTTGGTACACATTGGATCTTTGTTCATGAATATCGAATAAATCAACATTTCATGTACTTTGCTGGGTCCTGGAAACATCAAGGGGATTAGGACATGACCCATAATGTCTTCAAGAGATTTACAATCTGGACTCAGTTTGTACATTTGACTTGTTATTCTATTTCCTTTTTTTTTTTAAACGCGGTCTCGCTCTGTCATCCAGCCTGGAGCACAGTGGCACCATCTCGGCTCACTGCAACCTCCGTCTCCTGGGTTCAAGCGATTCTCCTACCTCAGCCTCCTGAGTAGCTGGGATTACAGGTGTGCAACACCACATTCAGCTAATTTTTTGTATTTTTAGTGTAGATGGAATTTCACCATGTTGGCCAGGCTGGTCTCGAACTCCTGACCTCAAGTGATCTGCCCACCTTGGCCTCCCAAAGTGTTGGGATTACTGGCATAAGCCACTAGGCCCGGCCTTCTATTTACTTTTTAATAATAGAGCAGAACTTTTAAAGCTATGGTTTTTCCTCTAAGTGGTGCTTTGGCTGCATCACATAGTGTTCTGATATGCAGTGGTTTGATTACTCCACTCTGTGCCTCCACACCTACCCCATGTATTATTGTGTCAGTTTCTTTCTTAATTAGCTGTAATTTAGAAGGTGATTTTAAAATGTACAGGTAATTGGGTGGTTGTGGCTAGTTTTGTGACTTATTTCTATTTTCATCACAGTGTGTTATGGGAGTACAGAATGAACACTTTCTGCTTTGAGTATATTCATATTTTGCTGCTCAGTAAGCTGCAGGCTTCTTGTTTTTAAGATCACCAGGACTATAAAATTTCTGAAAAACAATTTTTGGATTCCTTTTGAGTAAGGCATTTGATTGGTACATTTTTAGGAACTTTCTGAAAAAGATGACTTGTGCTCTTGAATGAGCTAGGCTTAGCTTTTCCAGGTCAGTAGCCTTTTTCTTGGAGACATGGCTTCAGAATCTTTATTATACTGTCAAGGAGTTTGAATTTTTAAATATTAAATATATTAAATATAAAATATTAAAATATTAAATATTTAAAAATATTTAACATTTTAAATGTCGACAATTTTAAAGCTATGGTACTGTTTGTAACAATCTGTTTGTTGAATTTATCTTTTCTTGTCATTTAGAGACATTGTAAGAGATTTAGGCTTGGCACAGTGGCTCACAACTGTAATTCCAGAGCTCTGGGGAGCCAAGGCTTAAGCCCAGGAGTTTGAGACCAGCCAGGGCAATATAGTGAAACTCCATCTCTAAGAAAAAAAAAATTGTTTAATTAGCTGGGCATGGTGGTGCATGCCTGTAATCACAGATACTCCGGAGTTAAAGGCAGGAGGATCACTTGAGCCTAGGAGTTCAAGGATGGATAAGCTATGATCCCACTACTGCATTCCAGCCTGAGTGACAGAGTGAGATGCTGTCTCTTTATAAGAAAAAAAAAAAAAAGATGTTTCAGTGTTGCTGTTTGATTGTTGTATTATTTGGATCATTATGGAGCTTCTCAAAACTTAGATTTAGCTCTTTTGTAAGCCTGGAAATTTTTTTTTTTATTGTATACATTAATTGGCAATTTTTTCCTACTTCTTCAAGAACATATCCTGCCAGCTACAGGTAGCACCTCTGAGCTTTGTCTCCAAGGACTGTCCATTTTTACCACACATTTCCTCATCTAGGTTTGCTTAATCTTTTCATGCTTTTGATATACATGTTTCTGACACTCTACTCTGTTTTGTGATTTAATTTTTGAAATTTGATTGGAAAACTATGGGCTTATTTTATGGCCTCCAATGAAACAGTTATAATGGTAATGAAGTATTTTTGGTTTTGGTTTGTTTATTAAAAATCTTACCCTGCTCTCATGTAATAGATATTGTATTGATATTCAGACCTTTGATCTTTTATTTTAAATTCCACTTGCAATCCTTTCCGTGTCTCCATTTCAGGAGTTAC
Source organism: Homo sapiens (assembly GCF_000001405.40). Taxonomy (NCBI): domain Eukaryota; kingdom Metazoa; phylum Chordata; class Mammalia; order Primates; family Hominidae; genus Homo; species Homo sapiens. The sequence continues at coordinate 233,134,688 of NC_000002.12, read as the reverse complement.
CAAATATTTCCAGTCTCTGGTTCCTTATTCTCTCTCTCTGGAAAAGTTTCTGTCTGGCTCTAGGGAGCCTAACCTGGGGTTGCAAATCTTGCCTGATGCTTTGTACTGCAAAGAGATCTTCACGCCAGACCCGCACGGGGACATCGTCACAACATTTCTGCAGAGGAGGCTCTGGCACTTCTCCTTACTCCTCAGTGCTCAATGTCCTTCTCATTCACACTTGGGTCCAAGCAAATAGACCTGGACATCATTGATGCCATTCTCAACCCCCTCCCAGCTCCTCCTTCTCCATCCCTCCTCTAAATCTTGAGCCTGGCTCTATTCTCCTCTGTCTACACTCTCACCTGCAGTGACCTTACCCCCAGCTTTCAGTGATTCCCCATATGCATCCCCCATGATTCCCCAAATGCATCCCCCACATCCTAGCTTCTTAGCACTAGCTCCATGGCTGGTGACTCCACTCAGATGCCTCATGGCCCCTCAAGCCAAATGTAGCCCAGAACTCTCCTCCCACCACCCTCTCCTTCCTCCTCCTCCTTGACTTTCCCTATCCCAGGAACTGGCATCAGCATCCACTCAGCCCCTCACACTGGGAACCCAGGGGTCACCCTAGATTCATCTTCCCTTCACCCCACATCCAATCAAGCGGCAAATCTGACACCTTTGCCATGCACACGTGTCCCAGGTCACACCAGTTCTCAGCATCTGCACGCCCCCAGCCATTGGGTCATTTACCTAATATCTGTTGAGCCGCATGTGCCAGAGCCTGTGTATAACCGGGGACTCAGCAGGAAGCAAAACAGACACAGACCCCTGCCCCTGCTAGCCACCTTCCTCATGGACTGCCATCCTGTCTCACTTGGACAACCACAGCCACTCCCAGCTGGTCTCCTGCTTTGGGCAGTGCCTCCTAGGATGCATCCTCCACCACTTGAAAATCAGATCATGGCCCAGCCCTGCACAAACTCTATAGGGCCTCTTAAGCCTTGCGTGATGTGGCTCCTGCCTACAGTGACCAGGTAAAACACAGGACACCCAGTGAAATTTGAATTTCAGATAAACAATGAATAATCTATTAGCATGAGTATATCCCAATATTACATGGTATATACTTATACTAAAGAAGTTGCTGTTCACCTAAAATTCCACCTCTCTGGGCAGCCTGTGCTTTTACTTGTTGACCAGCTTTTACATGTTACACCAGCCTCTCCCCAACCTCTGTTCCTAACACTCACTTGCCACACAGACTTCCTGTTCCTTGAGCAGGCTGTCTTCATTCCTGCCTCAGGACCTTTGTACTTTGTACTTAATGTCCCTCTGCCAAATCACTGTGTGGCAAGACCCCAGTTCTGTCACCTCCTTCACCTCCAAAGGAAGCTGGCACTCTCCCACCCAATGTCTCTTCCTCACATCATCGTGTTTTATCTTACCATGACATTTACTAAAATTACTGTTTGAACTGGGCATGGTGGCTCATGCTGTAATTGCAGCACTTTGGGGGGCCGAGGAAGGCAGATTGCTTGAGCCTAGGAATTGGAGACCAGCCTGGGCAACAAGGCAAAACCCCATCTCTACAAAAAATATAACAATTAGCTGGGTATGGTGGCACATACCTGTAGTCCCAGCTTCTCCATTGGACTCGGGGGAAGCAAGTGAGTGGGGGGACTCAAGGATAGGGGCTGAGAGGTGGGAGGCTCACTTGAGCCCAGGAGGTTGAGGCTGCAGTGAGCTGAGATCTCACCACGGCACTCCAGCCTGGGTGACAGAGCGAGATCCTGTCTCAAAAAAAAAAAAAAAAAAAAATTCTTGTTCATCTGGATCCTTAGTCTACTGTTGTGTGCCTCACTGAGATGTTAGATCCAAAAAGGCCTAAAAGAGCAAGAGGCTTGTGCATTGTGTCTGTTGCTACATCCCAGCACCCAGAACAGGGCTCAGAGGAGGCCTCCAATACATGTTTGTTCGATGAACGAATGAATGAAGACCTATTCTAATCAAAGCAGTTTGAAAATTATGGGTTTACAATTTGAGGGATGAGAATCTGCAGGGATTCTGGCAGGAGAAATGGGAAGCATCATTTTGTTCCTTTCTACAATTTCCTAAAATGCCAAGGCTGATCAAGTCTCCAAGCCTGGCTGTCGCCTTACTGATGAAAGCAAAGACGAGTGTGCAAGGGAAATTTAGAGCATGACGGTGTCTTTAATTCTAAATAGAGTCATGGAGCAGCTAGAAGCTGAAGGAAGCTCTCTCCATCGGCACTACATACCCGAGAAGAAGACAAGTTGGGGAAGCTGGCACCGCCATAGTGATGAGGTGACTTGGCTCCTGGGAAGTCCAGGTAGTGTTGAGGTGTTAGGGAAATCTAACAATGTGCAGAAGTGTCTGGGGAAGACTGAGGGAAGCCTCGTGGAGAGACTTAAAATACATTTCTTTCTCCACAAGGAAGCAGGGAAGAACAGAATCTCCACTGAAGCAGAACTAAGAGCTTGTTATCAGCCATTGTGAAATGGTGTTTTATAAAAAGAAAGTGCTGTATGTGTTTTCCCCTAGTGATAAAGTGATTCATAACAACAGCATCAAATGGAACAAAATCCCTCCATGGGAATCTATAAAAATGATAGCTCCAGGTCCAATTAGCTACAGCTGCATTAGTTGAAAGCCAATTCATTGAAATTAAGCCCAACTGGCCAATTTGGTGAGTGCTTGATTTGTCAAAGAAATTATTTGTTAAATTTACCGAATGTACTGATCGTGCTTTTAAAAGCCTTTAAAAGGAAAGTCGAATTTGATTACTGATGATAAAAGAGTGTTTTCTGCATATTAACTAAGCTAAGATTGAAACAGCCCCAGAAAAATCAACAAAGGAATCTTGAAACGGCTGTATGTGTAATAAAACACAAAACAGCACAGACTACAAAACCGTTGCCAGTATGAAATCCCATTTTTCCAATCAAAATGTTGACCTTTCTTTCCTTTGTTTGTTTGTTTATTTGAGACGGAGTCTTGCTCTGTTACCCAGGCTGGAGTGCAGTGGCGAGATCTCGGCTCACCACAACCTCAGCCTCCCAGGTTCAAGTGATTCTCCTGCCTCAGCCTCCAGAGTAGCTGGGATCACAGGTGTGTGCCACCACATCCAGCTAATTTTTTTTTTTTTTTTAGTAGAGACAGGATTTCACCATGTTGGCCAGGCTGGTCTCAAACTGCTGACCTCAGGTGATCCACCTGCCTCGGCCTCCCAAAGTGTTGGTATTACAGGCGTGAGCCACCACACCCGGCCTGACCTTTCATTTGTGATGGGATTGTTTTGGCTCCCTGTGGCTTTGTTCAGATGCTCTGGAATTTTTTTTGTTTTTTTTCTCTTCCAAGCTTTTGGCATTTAAAATATTCTTTGCCAATTCTTTGGATGGCATATTAGCCTTACTTTTGCACTTTTAACAATTAAAATGTAATTAACTTGAAATTAACTTTCATCAATTAAATTTTAAAATGTAAAACCAAAAGAATCTAAAAGAAATCAGAACCTTTACCAGTTGGTCATTCAATGGATCGGACATCAGAAAATTAAAGTTTTGGTGAATCATCTCCCTTTGAAAAATTGACATCACTGGAAATCTTGGGCCATAACCACCCACGCAGAAAATAGACTAACTTTAATTTATTTCCTTTTGATGCCTTTCTGTGCTTGTCAGGTGTAATGGCTGCAGCAAACAGCAAGAGCAGCAGCAAAAATCTTAAGAGCTGGATCCTGTGCAAGTGAGAAAGGGCTGGCCATGTCCTCCCACCCCATCCGCTTCCCAGAGCAACTGGCCTCCAATTAACTTTAGTTGTAAAAAGCTGCAGCACACACAAGCTACTGTTCAAATTCCATGATAACAAGACCTCCAAACAACCACAGAGATTTCCAAGCTGTGCTCACCACTCAATTATTGTGAGTGCGGCAGAGGCATTTGTTCAGCCAGGCAGAGGCAGAGGTCGCTCTCATGAGCTGTTTCTCTCACCTGGTGGCCGCCCCCACCTGCCCGCCCCCGTGGGCCAGCCATTACCCATAGAGCTCCTTGCAGAGCAGTGTGGTCAGTTTCTTCAGGTGAGGAAGACTGCTGGACCCTGTCTTCACAAATTCAGAGTCCTGGGCGAGCTGAGTGCTTAAATAATCTTGGATGGCCTTAAGATGCTCTTCTGGAAGCCTAAAGAAAAGAAAAAAGAAACAAACTATGCTTGCCTGTTTCTTTTAGCCACCATCACCAATGGGAACAGCAACCACAATAACAAATCCTCATCCTCAGAGCCTCCAAGGGGACACCGTCCTTCAGAAGAATGTTTGCAAACCTGGACGAAGGTTCCCGTGGTCTCACTGATGGGGTAGATTAGCAGGTCAGAGCAAGAAGAAGTGGCCCAGCAGGAAAAGGTGCCTCTCAATGAGCTCCTTTGGGTGCTGCTGGGAGGAAGTGGTTTTGGCTGGGGGTCTGGGAAATGGTTATACTTTAAAAAGGAGACCAAGGCTGGGCATGGTGGCTCACAACTGTAATCCCAGCACTTTGGGAGGCCCAGGTGGGCGGATCACCTGAGGTTAGGAGTTCAAGAACAGCCTGGGGGGAAACCCCGCCTCTACTAAAAATACAAAAATTAGCCGGGTGTGGTGGTGGGTGCCTGCAATCTCAGCTACTTGGGAGGCTGAGACAGGAGAATCATTTGAACCCGGAAGGCAGAGGTTGCAGTGAAAACAGATCGTGCCATTGCACTCCAGCCTGAGTGACAGAGTGAGACACTGTCTCTCACACACACACACACACACACACACACACACACAAAAGGAGGCCAAAAGCTTTGGAAAGTGTAAGTGGAATTGTTTTCCTACCTTATCTACTTATAAAGATAGGATCTGAGGGCTGGAAGGATGATGGGATCTAGAGATAACAAATGGCTTTAGCTCCCATGCACTTTGCAATTTCACGGCCAAAGGCTACCCAGGGCACTGTGTTCAGAGAGTCTGGATTCATCTCAGGCTCTGTGGGGGGAGTCTGAGTGATTAGCGATGGGGCTGGGGATATGGAATGAGGTAGTGCAAGTGGCCGACTTTGCCGTGTGGAATCTGCTCCAACCCCTTCAGTGTACAGAGTGAATGGGGCTGAAGGCAGGATTTGTTCACTGTGCAGATCAACCCTGGTGGCAGAGGCACAGGCAGAGAGCCCAGGCCAGTCCCACGAGGGGCGCCCCCTAAAGTCGGATCAGCTGTCTGCATTCTATCTTCCAGCACCTTTTGTTCTGGGTAACGCTTGAGTGTTTGTTCCCATAATGATGGAAATTGTAATTACAGCAAGTATTTCCTGAGCACAGCATACCAGACACTATGCTAAGCACTTCATGCTCATTTTCTCCATTAACCCACAAATCAATTTTATGACTCAGATATTATTACTAATTATTCCTGTTTTACAAATCAGAGAACTGAGGCTTAACCATGTTAATTAGCTGTGTGGAAAAAATTATTACAAGCCTTCATTTATTTATTTATTTATTTATTTTTTTGAGACAGGGTCTCACCCTGTCACCTGGGCTGGAGTGCAATGGCAAGATCTCGGCTCACTGCAACCTCCAACCCCCAAGTTCAAGTGATTCTCCTGCCTCAGCCTCCTGGGTAGCTGACACCACAGGCACATGCCACCAGACCTAGCTAATGTTTGTATTTTTAGTAGAGGTGGAGTTTTACCATGTTGGCCAGGCTGACCTCAGGTGATCCACTGCCTCAGGCTCCCAAAGTGCTGGGATAACAGGTGTGAACCACCCTGCCCAGCCGCCTTAAAGATTTTTATTCCAGGCTTGATATGTAATCAAATTGAAACTAAAGGCCACAAGGCTTTTCCTGTGGAATCTGTGAAAGAATGAAAAGCCGTTGCTCTTAAGATTGGACAGGAATTGCCAGGCATGGTGGGTCACGCCTATAATCCCAGCACTTTGGGAGGCAGAGGTGGGCAGATCACCTGAGGTCAGGAGTTCAAGGCCAGCCTGGCCAACATGGTGAAACCCTGTCTCTACTAAAAATACAAAAATTAGCTGGGCGTGGTGGCGTGCGTTTGTAGTCCCAGCTACTCAGGAGGCTGAGGCGGGAGGATTGCTTGAACCCAGGAGGTAGAGGTTGCAGTGAGCCGAGATCGCGCCACTGTGTTCCAGCTTGGGTGACAGAGCGAGACTCCATCTCAAAAAAAATACTGAACAGGACTGGCTTACCCATTTGACTTGTTAGATTGAGAAGAGAACATTTACATTTAAGTTCTTCTATATTTATTCTGGGTCTTGACATCATAAAAATCCAGTTTCTGCCTGAGTCTGTTTACTAAAAGGGACAAACATCTCTTCTATAGTATTAAAAACAGTGGTCCCCAACCTTTTTGGCACAAGGGACCGGTTTTGTGGAAGACAATTATTCCACGGATGGGTGGTGGGGGGATGGTTGTGGGAGGAAACTGCTCCATCTCAGATCATCAGGCGTTAGTTAGATTCTCCTAAGAGGCGTGCAGCCTAGATCCCTCAAGTGCACAGTTCACAACCGGGTTCACACTCATGAGAATCTAATGCCACCGCTGATCTGACAGGAGGCAGAGCTCAGGTGGTAATGCTCGCTTGCCCTCCGCTCACCTCCTGCTGCCACCCAGTTCCTAATAGTCCACAGGTTGGGGACCCCTGTATTAAAATATGTATCTTAACAGGTCTAATTACTATTGCCTTGTGACTTTGATACCGTGAGTCTGTATTACAGGCAGTTCTATTTGTTAAAATGTTTGTGGTAGGCTGGGCACAGTGGCTCATGCCTATAATCCCAGCACTTTGGGAGGTCGAGGCGGGCAGATCACCTCAGGTTGGGAGTTCGAGACTAGCCTAACCAACATGGAGAAACCCCGTCTCTACTAAAAATACAAAATTAGCTGGTTGTGGTGGCGCATGGCTGTAATCCCAGCTACTTGGGAGGCTGAAGCAGGAGAATCACTTGAACCCGGGAGGGGGAGGTTGCAGTGAGCTGAGATCGTGCCTTTGCACTCCAGCCTGGGCAACAAGAGCAAAACTCCGTCTCAAAAATAAAAGTTTGTTGTAGAAAAGTGTTGACATAAAGATGTAAACTATGTTTATTTGAGAAGGCTAATTTTACTTAGAAATGTGATAATTAACCTACTAAGACCTAACTGATGAGATCTGATTAACTTGCAGGAAAGACTGTGCAAGTTGTCATTTAAAGAAAAATAATCAAAAGGCAGTCCTCTATGTGCAAAGCAGCTTGACAAGCGAAATAGACTGATTTTAAAACACAATGTGGATTCCCAGTTTTCCTTGACCCTGAGAATGGAGGGCGGCTCTGTGTCGCCGCTTTCCTTGGTCTCTGCACATGCCCCCTTCACTCATTCCCATCTCCGAACAGAAGTTTTAGGAAGGTTCCACTGACATGATAAGCAAAGATAGAAAAAGCAGGGCTCTCTGCCCATGAACCCTCAGCCCATGCCCCGACCCTAACCCCTCCTGGAAAGCTGCCTGGAAGCTCGGCTTCACGCCCCTGCTGGTCCCACTGAGGCAGAACCCCATAACCAGGATGGAGGGGCTGATGAGGAGGAGATGGAGTTGGCGGGAGGTGTACGAGCCTTAGTAGGAGAGGTCAGCAGGTGGAACCATGGGGCCTCCCCGACTCTTCCCCATCCAGTTTACTGCACTCAGCATCCAAACCTGGGAAGAAATGGAAACCCTGGGGAACTAAACAATGGGCTCGATGTGGAATTTTTTTTTTTTTTAGACGCAGTTTTTCTCTTGTTGCCCAGGCTGGAGTGCAGTGGCGCAATTTTGGTTCACTGCAACCTCTGCTTCCCAGGTTCAAGCTATTCTCCTCCCTCAGCCTCCCGAATAGCTGGGATTATAGGCGCCCGCCACCATGCCCAGCTAATTTTTGTATTTTTAGTGGAGAAGGGGTTTTGCCATGTTGGTTAGTCTGGTCTTGAGCTCCTGGATTCAGGTGATCTGCCCGCCTGGGCCTCCCAAAGTGCTGAGATTACAGGAATGAGCCACCGCGTCTGGCCTATGTGGAATACTTTCAAAGCATCTGTTATTTAGACACATATATAGAGACAATCAACATAGTAGCAACACTGGATATTCGGCTATTTGATAAATAGCACAAATAAATCAAGGAGCGTGCACAGAATTCAGGCTGGAGAGCCCAGGGAAGAACCAATGGGTATGTCCAGGTGGAAATAGGAACACGCCAAGTATCATAGCAACCCGGTGGCGTATGTGTCCCATCGGCATCTACTTCATATTTTGCCAAGTGAGAGAGTAGGAGGAGGGCAGCCCTGGCAGCCTCAGATGGATCCTTCAAGTTGGAAATGCGGCTTCAGCCCTGTCATTAGGATTTCTTTGGGGGGCAATGGAGCGTTTCTCACAAAGAAACAAAAAGTTATATTTACTAAGGCATGGAGATTACCAGGTACTAACTTATTAATTAATGTAGCACATATCCAGTGAGTGCCCACACTATGCCGGGCCGTGCCTGGAGACGGAGTGCTCCCCCACCCCCGTGGAGCACTTTTCCTGTTAAGGCCCATGCCCCTGGCCTTCTTGAAGCCAATGGTGCAAAGGCCTCTGGGGTGCAAGATGACAAGCACTCTTCTCTGGAGACCTCCCCATCTCCCTCTGGTCACCAGGCCCATAACTAGGATCGAAACCCAAGCCATCCAGCCCTGCCCTGGCTGGGCTCACTGCAGATGAAGGCCCAGCTGGACTTGAGTGGGGACTCACCCACTGGTGTCCATGCTTTGCAGTCGCTGGAACAATGTCTCGGAGAGGCTCGGCCGGCTGGTCTCGGTCGCTCGGGGATTCTCGTTTGAAAAAGGAACCTCCTTGGCCTCACAGGAGCTGGCAGTCAGCGGGATGTTTCTTGGGGGCAGCTCGGGTGGAGACACGACACTTTCTACTGGAGAGAACAGCAGGAAGGCCATTGGTGAGGACACTGTGCGCACAACCCGGCCTTCACCGCAGCCCCATGGGGTCCAGGCCACGACACCCACGTTATTGATCTCCATCTGCGTCCCCGTGTCCCTCGCTGACTCCCTCCTGGAGGGAGAGCCTCCTGCCACAGGGCCCTGGCTAGTGCAGTGTCTGCCCCACTGTGGCCATCAGCAAACACCTGCCAGGGCCAAAAGGCCTTGCTCCATGGAGGGTCTGGAAGGCCTGCAGGGCTGCTGACCTTGGATGGACTAAGCCCACAGCAGCAGGCAGGTGAGCAGGATGAGTCTGGCTCTCAGACTTTCAGGGGCTGAGACACCTGTCTCATGATGGCTGAGCCCTGGGCTAGGCAGAGGCCCAGTTCCCAGAATAGGCCAAAACCATGGAAGGGGACCAGGGGTAAGGAGACAGGCAGGCCTAGCCACACTGCCCCTCTCCCTCTCTCCCTGGTCCCCTCTCTCCAGCCTCTGTCCTTCCTTCTCTCCTCCCCCAGACTCTCAGAAACACATAAAAGAAAGCGAGGGGGTTCCCTTCACTCAGAGACATTCAACAAATGACTTGAACTTGGCCTGGGAGGTGGGAGCCCACCCATCGCCTTTAGGAGAAGGTTCATTCTGTACGTACACGAATGGAGGGTCCAGAGCTCTGTCTGAGCCTCTTCCCACACAGAGCGGCTGCCTCTGGCCCAACCACAGTGGGCCCCGGGGGACCTCCTCTTTAGAGAACAGGCCCTTCACTTCCTCTGTCTGGGGTTCTGAAGACAACTAGGAGTCTGCTTCGAGCTCCACGGTCTGGCGGTGCCTCAAGAGGCCCTGGGCCCAAACAGACCTCTTGGACTGCGCGGGCCTCATGTCGCATTGCTCTGGTTCGAGCCGACAACTGGGCGACCTCGTTTGCGGAAGTGAAGCCAGCAGTCATGAGACTGAGGTTCTTTTTTCAGCCCTCACAGAAACTTGTCGGGATCTTCCTCCAGACAGCCATGCCCAGAGGGGCCCAACTAGCTGGGATGGGCAGCCCGAGGGGAGTGAGGGTGTTTAGTGTGGAGGGCGTTTCTGCAGAACAGCTTCTCAGCATGGCCCTGGGCGCCTGGGGGCAGCTGTTCAGGTGCAGCCAGGGCGCGGTGCTGGTGAGTGACCTTGGGCTCACAATGGGACAGGTCAGCCCTAGTTCTTCCACAGCCTGACCTTCCTGATTCCAGAGGGCAGTGCTCACTCAGACCAGGGAGGCCAAAAGGGACAGGGCCTGCCTGGGACCCTTTCAGCCTCCATGGAGCTGCGGTCCTTTTGGAAACGAACAGCTGCACAACCATGAAAAGTGTGTTTCCATGAGGGTGGGAGGGAGCAGGGGGCCCTGGTGGCCCACAAGCCAGCCCACAGGTGAGGGAGAAAAAGGATGCCTGCAGCAAGCCCCCAGAACAGGCAGGAGCCAGGCAAGGGTCTCAGCGTCTGTGGACAAATCTCTCCTCTCTTCGGGGAGAGCCTGGGGGACCTGGTAGTCTCCACCTGCTGGAATTCAGGAAGAGCCCTGGCCAACTGAGGGGCCCGGTTAGGTATCTCATGGTTTTCTTTTAGGAAATAAGCCTTTAAAAAAAAAAAAAAACTTGTATTTTAAGTTCAGGGGTACCTGTGCAGGTTTGTTACATAAGTAAACTTATGTCATGGGGTTTGTTGTACAGATTATTTCATCATCCTGGTATTAAGCCTAGTACCCAATAGTTATTTCTGATCCTGTCCCTCCTCCCACCCCCTCAGGTAGGCTCCAGTGTGTGCTGTTCCCCTCTTTGTGTCCATGTGTTTTCATCATTTATCTCCCACTTAAGTGAGAACACGTGGTATTTGGTTTTCTGTTCTTGTGTTAGTTTGCTAAGGATAATGACCTCCAGCTCCATCCATGTTCCTGCAAAGGACATGATCTCGTTCTTTTTACTGGCTGCATAGTATTCCATGGTGTATATATACAACATTTTCTTTATCCAGTCATCACTGATGGGCATTTAGGCTGATTCCATGTCTTTGCTATTGCAAATAGTGCTGCAATGAACATACACATATGTGTCTTTGTAACAAAATGATTTCTATTCCCTTAGGTATATTCTCAGTAAATCCTTGAGGGGAAAAGTGGGGCATCCCCAGGTAAGCTCCTTCTCTGCAAGACTTTCTCCATCTGACTGTTGCTCTATTGGTCTTTGTCCCTATGCTGTAAAGGGCACCCTTAGTCTCACACACTTTTTAGGGACTGTATAATTTTTTTTTTTTTTTTTGAGACGGAGTCTCCCTCTGTTGCCAGGCTGGAGTTCAGTGGTGCGATCTTGGCTCACTGCAACCTCCACCTCCTGGGTTCAAGCGATTCTTCTGCCTCAGCCTCCCAAGTAGCTGGAACTACAGGCGCGTACCACCACACCTGGCTAATTTTTGTATTTTTAGTAGAGATAAGGTTTCGCCATGTTGGCCAGGATGGTCTCGATCTCCTGACCTCGTGATCTGCCCGCCTCTGTTTCCCAAAGTGTTGGGATTACAGGCGTGAGCCACTGCACCTGGCTGGGACTGTACATTTTTTTCAACATATTTTTAGGGGTTGTATTTCCCCCTCCCCCTTTTAATGATGACATAAAGAAACACCTTCCTCATCCTTCCAGTTAGGTGCAAGGGTCTCCTCCTTCACTCTCCTCTCAGTGAAATTCAGCAGATTGTAATCATGCTAATGACCGTAGCTGCATTTATGGAGTGCTTACTATGAATATGTACCAGGCTCTGGGTGCTACATTTCTCAACTCATTTGATCCTTGAGATACCATGAGAGGCAGGTACTATCGTTATTCTCTCTCTCTGTCTTTTTAAAGGCTAGTCAAGTGAAGCAGAGGAAGTTCAGTCTTTACTGTCTCTTTCTCTCTCTCTCTTTTTTTTTCTTAGACAAGGTCTCTTTCTGTCACCCAGGCTAGAGTGCAGTGGTGCAATCATGGCTCACTGCAACCTTGAACTCCTGGACTCAAGGGATCCTCCTGCCTCGGCCTCCCGAGTAGCTAGGACTACAGGCCTGAGCCACCATGCCTGAATAAATTTTTTAAAAAGCTTTTTGTAGACACAGGATTGCCTATGTTGCCCAGAAGGGTCTCAAACTCCTGGCCTCAAGCGATCCTCCCACCTCGGCCTCCCAAAGTTCTGGGGTTACAGGCGTGAGCCAGCAAGCCCAGCCTTATTTTACTGTCTCTTTAAAGAGAAGTCTGTGATTCAGAGAGGTCAGGTAATTTCCCCAAGGTCACCTGGCTAATAAGCTGGGGAGGAGGAATTTTAACCCATGTCTGCCTGACCAGAGAGCCTGTGTTCCTAACTTGTCCTTAACCCCCACGCCAACAATCTCCCTCTGATAATAGGACTCACCTAGTCTACAAGCACTCAAGGTGGGTGCAGGGCAAGTTCCCAAAAGTACCTCCTGCCGTCCTGTCCCTCCCTCCCTACCTGTGTCCTCCTCAGGGTCGTCGCCTGTGTCCTCTTCCTCCAGCGGCACAGGGTATTGCAGATGGGTCACCAGCCCCATGTTTTCCTTCTTGTAAAACTCGATGAGCTGGTCCAGCTTGGTGAAGAACCTCATGGAGACGCCTTCGGATGCCTGAGGACAGAACATCCAAACAAACGCACATGTTAACCAACTAGAATGTCAGCCAACCACAAAGGCCAACTGCAGCAGAGACCAGCGAGGCGGAGGGAGTGACTGCGATCCAGGAAAAGCCTTGGGCTCCTACGCAGGGTGTGTGACCCTCATGCCCACACCTCACATCCTGCAACCAGCAGCTGCCAAGGGCCCTTCTGCAAAAGGCACACAGAGGATCGTTCCTAAGATCTGTTTTTCTTTCCGTTTTTAAAAAACTTTTATTTTTAAAAGTGTTTTTGGGCCAGGCACGGTGGCTCACACCTGTAATCCCAGCACTTTGGGAGGCTGAGGCAGGTGGATCACCTGAGGTCAGGAGTTTGAGACCAGCCTGGCCAACACGATGAAACCCCATCTCTGCTAACAAAAAAAAAGAATACAAAAATTAGCCGGGCGTGGTGGCAGGTGCCTGTAATCCCAGCTACTCAGGAGGCTGAGACAGGAGAATCACTTGAACCTGGGAGGCAGAGGTTGCAGTGAGCCGAGATTGCGCCGCTGCACTCCAGCCTGGGCAACTCAGTCTCGAAATAAAATAAAATAAAATAAAATAAAATAAAAGTATTTTTATACAAATAGTACATTTATATTATGGCAAAATTAGAAATATGGATTTTTTTAAATAAGAAATTTGTCTGGGTGCAGTGGCTTGTGCCGGTAATCCCAGCACTTTGGGAGGCTGAGGTGGGCACATCACTTGAAGTCAGGAGTTCGAGACCAGTCTGGCCAACATGATGAAACTCAAACCCAGTCTCTACTAAAAACACAAAAATTAGCCAAGCGTGGTGGTGCGCACCTGTAATTTCAGCTACTTGGGAGGGCGAGGCAAGAGAATTGCTTGAACCTGGGAGGCGGAGGTTGCAGTGAACCAAGATCACACCACTGCACTCCAGCCTGGGCGACAGAGTGAGACCCTGTCTCAAAAAAAAAAAAAAAGAAAAAAAAAAAAGAAAGAAAGAAAGAAAGAAAGAAATCACCTGTAATCCCACAACCCCAAGATACCTATTTTCCAGTTTAGAATGTGTTTTTCTAGAATTTGTGAGTGTGTTTGGTGGGGAAGTTACTTTTATTTTTTCCTGCACGAAGAACTTTTTTTAAAAAAAACACAGGAAAAAATCAATTCCAGCAATTGTTTTGCTTTTATTTTTATTTTATTTTTTTCATTTGTTATAGTTGTTTTTGTCAAAACTCAGTAAATGATCTATCTGGTTTGTATCTGTTGCTGATAGCAGAGGACCTTGGGGGTAATTGTGCTGGCTATTCAAATGCCCTGGGGCAGATCCCCTTCCTGTAAGCCCTGTGGCTCTAGCCGGTAGTTCCAGGTGGTCCCTGAGCAGCCAGCCCCACCCCTACCTCACCCTTTACCTTCTTGCCAGGCCCTGCCCTCAGGGGCAGCTGAACAGGAGCAAGGGGTCAGGCTGTTGGTAGGTACAGGAATGAGCCCCAAAGAGGCACCCCTTCTGGGTGGGGCCTCCCTGGCCTGGAGGAGCATAGCGCCCCTGGCAACTGCTAAGTGCCTGTGATTCACCCTGTCCTCATAACAGCCACCATGTCAGTGACTTTCAGATTGTTTATTTTATTTTATTTGAGATGGAGTCTCACTCTGTTGCCCAGGCTGGAGTGCAGTGGCACAGTCTCGGCTCACTGCAGCCTCCACCTCCTGGGTTCAAGCAATTTTCTGGCCTCAGCCTCCCAAGTAGCTGGGATTACAGGTGCCCGCCACCACACCCAGCTAATTTTTGTAATTTTAGTAGAGACGGGGTTTCACCATGTTGGCCAAGCTGGTCTCGAAATCCTGACCTCAGGTGATCCACCCACCTCAGCCTCCCAAACTGCTGGGATTACAGGTGTAAGCCACCACACCCAGCAACTTTCAGGTCATTTTAAAATTAGTTGAGAAGGCGCCATCCTTGGAGTTAGAAGTCAAGGATCTCACTGCTCCTCTGGGGGCTGCCAGCTACCTTCTTTCTGGAGGGAATGGGACCCATCGCCTGTAGGAAACAAGACCCACAGGCAAGTAGAATGGAGGTTGAAAAGCCCACCCTGGTTGGTGAGCAGGTGGCATCTGGCCTGAGCGTGGCTGGGCCAAGCGTTGGCCTTTCCGCCTCCAAGTCAGATATCTACTGGGATTGGGATTGACGTGGGCAGGTGGGAGGGTGCCTGAAGGTCTTCGGGATTACAGGTAAGTGGAATCAGGAGAGATGAGGCAGGATGACCCAGACTGGGACAGATTCAGACATCAGGGAGCAGGGTTAGGACTCAGACCTGTTCCCGAGCCCTTGTGCCTGGGTGGCTAACTCCAAGTCCTAGTGAGGACACATACGCCTCTTTCAGTGACCTGTGATTCAGGGCTGTCCATCTGGGCTCTGGCTCTGTCTCTGTCTTTCTCTTTCCAAGTGTGTTTTTTTGTGTGCATTGCACACATATGTAAGTCTATGCCTGGGCGTATGTGTGTGTGTGTGTGTGTCTTAGTTAGTAAATTTATAGAGAGTTAAGCAAAAGGGTGTTCTAAATTCTTTTCAATAAATTCACTTGTTTTCACAAAGCCCCGTGTTAAGCAATCTCTTTCAAACATTATTGAACCAGAAATATCTGAGCAGCAGCAGCCAGGCCTCTAAAAAGTAACATGAGTAGGTTCAAAAACCAAAGTGAGCAGAATAACAAAAATAATTTGACATGATACAAGATCTATGAACTCAATTCAGTTAAAGCAGTCGTGAAAAGTGTCAGACTGTCAAAAAATGTACAGCTAATAGATGACAAGCCATTAAGAGCATGGAAAAGGAATATGAAAATACCAAAGAAAGCTGAAGTTGAACGCCTCATGTGTGAATCCAGAAAAGGATTCTCGGCTGGAGGGTATCTGAAGAACGCGTGTTTGAGTGAGCATGTGAGATTTGGGAATTTAAGACGCACCAATGCTAAAACCAAGTAAGACACGTTATTTTATGCACTGCTAAGAAGCTGAACCACAGACTATGTTACACATTGATTATAGACTTATGTGACTCCAGAGATGTGAAATCTGAAAGGTAAACATCTTAGACTTGATGACATATGCTGTGTACTAGGAACAGAGCAATTTAAAGGAGTCCCTGTGGACCCGGTGAGGCCACCGCGTGTGCCTGGCCCGCTCCCAGAGGCCAGGGAGCCAGGGTCTGGCAAACCAAGGCTGCCGGCTGCCCGGGTTCCCAGGAAGGGAGAGAATGCAGGGTAGAAGCCAAGCCTCATGGATGGCAGACAGGTGGCAAGCTGATAATGGCCGCTGACAAGTGTGCTGAGGAGGGAGCCTTCCTCCACCTCTCCCCCTCCGAGGGGAAAGCACCCAGGAAGAACACAGCAGGTCTACAGGAAGCAGATCCACAGGGACAGACCCCACCTGAGGGAAAACCTGCTGTGTGCAGTGGGCCCGCAGGAAGCACCCTGTGCCTGCAGGCAGTGCAGACAGGAGATGGCAAAGGCGGGGCACCAACCAGGCAAAGGCAGGTGTCCCCGGAGAAAATGTCCAGGAAGGTGTCTTCATAAGGCTTTGCTCTTGGCCCTAAGCTTTGACAAGGAAAACAGAGAACTTACGTTCAAAGCACATTCTAGAACAGGAAGAGAAAGAGTCAGAGCCCAAGAAGGGGATCATAGAAGCTACAGAGCCGGCCCAGACAGCGGAGGGGTGGGGAGCGTGGTCTAGACGGGTGGGTGGTGAGGAGCATGGTCTGGCCTCAGTGTGTGCAGTGCAGAGAGGAGCAGCCCACACATGGTGTTGCATTCTGAACCTGGGCCCAGAAAGGTCCTGCATCAGGGTACGATGGCCGAGGGGACAGGGCAGAGTGGCCGGTAGGGGGAGGAGTCTGTTTGAAGGGCAACCGTGCCTGGGTGTGACCTAACAATCCCCACCCAGTCAAAGCCAGGAGGGGCTTCCAGGTGGACAGTGTATTGACATCCACAGGCCAGCAGGAGTAGGTGGGTCCTGCTGGGACAGGCCTGGGGGTTCCCACCCACAGCAGGCCAGGTCCATATCCACCCAGCTGTGTGCCCACAGTCAGGACAGGTCTGCTCATGGCTGTGCCATCCCCAGACTGTGCAGCAGGGCCTGGCAATTGGAGCAGCATTTAGTGGTTCCATGGATTTGCCGCCTTGGGTCAGGATGACAGACAAGAGTTGGAGCCAGGAGGAGGGATGGTCAGGGAGGGTCTTCCATGCATCTGGGACTGGGGATGCAGAGAAACAGTGGCAAGCAGGGGAGCTGCCCTCACTCACATCCCCCAGCACGTTGCTAAAGGTGGTGCCTTTTCAGCAACTGTAAAAGGCAAAATGTGAACAAGGTGTCATGTGCGTTTTTCATGTGCACGATCCAGAGTCCCGGCAGGAGGCAGATGTCTCATTAAACGGGGGAACTTGGGGAGAACATGTAGGGACAGGGCATAGGGATACCAATAACAGGCAGTACAGCCCCCCCGAACTCATAGTAGTTACCACCCTGGGAAGATCACAGGCAAGAAGCAGGTGCTGGAACCCAGAGGGGGCCGCCCAGCAGGCGCTGTGGCCTCCCGTGGAGCTACCATGGAGACCTTACAGGATGCGAGCAGGGCAGTAGATCCCCTCCCCCGCCAAAAAACTTTCCTCTCATCTGGCTGCGGCTCCCATTGGCCAAACCCAATGAGAAAGCAGGGGGCAGGGAAGCGAATGAACTGGGGAGCAAATGGAAGATGCTCAGCACGTGAAGGCCATGGTGAAAAGGCGCCCAAGGAGACAGAGGGAAAACAAATGCCTGCGTCCCCCGATGAAGCGTCCAGGTTCGAATCGGGAGGTTAGCACCAGCCACACTTCTGACCAAGGAGGGGACTGCCCTTGGTTCCTAATGGCCCAGGCTGCCACACTTCGTTCCCCATTCCACAGCAGCCGCCTTCCTGAAAAGAGTTGTTAAGTCATTTTGAAACAGAGAAGGAAACCATGAAGGCCCAAGTCAGCCGGGACATGATCCCCGCAATGGTTACCGGCGGCCCCCAAGTGATGCCCTCGGACACGTGGATTTCTGCCGTGGCAACTCTCCCTTTTCCCTGGAGTGAACGCCTCCGCCCGTTAGCAGGTAGGTAACTAGAGCACAACACAGGAAGCCTGATTTTGAACAAAACCAAGAGCAGCATTGCCTTATTTAAGTAGACTTGTTAAATTATGACATCTTGACCAGGTAGGGTGGCTCACGCCTGTAATCCCAGCAATTTGGGAGGCCGAGGTGGGTGGATCACGAGGTCAGCAGTTCAAGACTAGCTTGGCCAACATGGTGAAACCCCATCTCTACTAAAAATACAAAAATTAGCCAGGTGCAGTGGCAGGCGCCTGTAATCCCAGCTACTCAGGAGGCTGAGGCGGGAGAATCGCTTGAACCCAAGCAGCAGTGGTTTCAGTGAGCCAAGATGGAGCCACTGCACTCCAGCCTGGGCGACAGAGTGAGACTCTGTCTCAAAGAAAAAAAAAAATTATGAGGTCTTGGTCAGACATGGTGGCACACGCCTGTAATCCCAGCACTTTGAGAGGCCGAGGTGGGCAGATTGCTTAAGCCCAGGAGGTGGAGACCAGCTTGGGCAACATGATGAAACCTGTCTCTACAAAAAATACAAATATTAGCCAAACGTAGTGGTGCACCCTGTAGTCCCAGCTACTTGGGAGGCTGAGGTGGGAGGATTGCTTGAACCCAGGAGGTGGAGGTTGCAGTGAGCCACAATCACACCACTGCACTCCAGCCTGGGCAACAGAGCAAGACCCTGTCTCAAAAAGTATCTATATATCTATATATCTATATCTATATCTATATCTATATCTATATCTATCTATCTATCTATCTATCTATCTACATATATATCTACATATATATCTGACATCTCAGGCTCAGAGTAGCCCTCCCTTCAGAGCTTTTAGGATCAGCAGAATGGGCATGAATTTGTGCTCACAGCCAAGAGTCAAGCAGAAAAAACAAACAAACAAAACATGGTAGGAGTTAGTTCAGATTGTGAAACAAAATACTCTTCTCTTGCCTCCCATTATAATTTCTAGGTCTGTGGAAAGTTCTGGGTGACTTCCAGCAGGATCATTTTTACAGAGTCTCTGCAGACAGCTCCCCACCAAGCCCAGCTTAGAATCAGCAGCTCACTCTGCGTCATGTCATAGTTGCTGTGCCTGCCTTCCCCACAAGCTCATAAGTGGTTGAAGGAAAGGAACCCTGCTTGGCTCAGCCTCGTAGTCCCCCAAGTCTCCTTGCAGAGAAGTTTGGTTGCAAACATAATGACATAATGGCAGCCCCCACCACTGTGTTGAGGGGCATGTGCATTGCAGAAAATGGACCTCTCCATTGAAGAAAGGTGTTGAGGGAACCAGAGACGTGGATTGCCAAGCTGGGACTTGCAGGGAGAGGCACCTTTGTCTGACGGCTTGGCACCTGAGCTCACTCAGGTAGCAATACTCCTGGGGAAGGTACAGGGCAAGGGGAGAGGGGCTGCCTGTGGCCCTGGGGTTCAGGACGAGAAGGGCACCCGGGTCTTTAAAACAAAGAACAGCCGTTGTCCAGACTGCTGGAGGCTCAGGGCTGCACATGCTGAGAAGTGCTGCATTTCCAGAAACAGTTCCTGGGCTCTGACTTTCCAACACCATCCAGGAAAGTCACACCATCCAGGAAAGTCATTGCACAGGCTCAAGTTTCCCAGTGGGTAATTTTAACTTTAGCACTGTTTGCTGTCTCTAAATGAGGCGTGAAACAGGACTAGGCACAGAGGAAGGCCATGCAGGCAGAGCAGGAGCCCCGGGGTGCTAGGAACCCCCCACAAGGCTCTTCCAGGCTTCGTTTTAAATGGAAGAGCATATAGAATGATTGTGGAGATTTTACCAGTGGCGGGACAGTATTAAGAACTGGGAAACAGGCCAGGCGCGATGGCTCACGCTTGCAATCCCAGCACTTTGGGAGGCTGAGGCGGGCGGATCACCTGAGGTCAGGAGCTCGAAACCAGCCTGGCCAACATGGTGAAACCTCATCTCTACTGAAAATACAAAATTAGATAGGCGCGGTGGCACATGCCTGTAATCCCAGATACTTGGGAGGCTGAGGCAGGAGAATTGCTTGAACCTGGGAGGCAGAGGTTGTGGTGAGCCGAGATTGTGCCATTGCAGTCCAGCCTGGGTGACAAGAGCGAAACTCTGTCTAAAAAAAAAAAAAAGTGGAAACAAACCAAACCAAATACCCTGCTTCAGTTGCTCCCCACACCAAAGCATTTGTTTCAAGTTAGATGAGAAAGCCACTAGAGAGGACGGTGAAAACACCACTCGGCTGTGGTGGAGAGAATGGTGTGGGTTTGCGGGGTGGCTGCTGTTTTTATTACTTCCATTTCCCAGTGGGGAGACTCCCCGCCTGTGGAGGCTGGGAAGTTTCTGAAAGCCACAGAGGGCTCCAGGTCTCGGAGCCCACTGACCCAGGCATCCACACGTCCCAAGGCTGAGTGAGGATCAGTGTGGAGTCTGACGGTGCAGGCCGAGCCTTTGAGTTCTGGAAGGAGACCTCCTGCCGCGTTTGCCCTGCTCTGAGCCAGCTCATCTGAGGGAAAGGCTGGAAGCAGCCTCCTGTCCAGCTCTTACTAGGGATGGGGGCCACCTCCTCCCGGCCTGGCCTCTCCCCGCTCTGCAACCCCTGAAATGCTTTCCTGTACTTCTCTCCTGCCCTCAGGATGGTCTCAACCTTTAACCACCTCCTCTCCCCCAAATTTAAGAATCATAGGGCCCCACGTGGGTGAAGAAGTGGGGGAGAAAGAAAGGTCAGAGCATGGGTGTCTTGGGCCCTTGGGGCCTGGCAGAATTTGAGTTTTGTCTTAAGAGTGGTTTGGAGCTGGCTGGGTGCGGTGGCTCACACCTGTAATCCCAGCCCTTTGGGAGGCCGAGGCGGGCAGATCACAAGGTCAGGAGATCGAGACCATCCTGGCTAACACAGTGAAACCCCATCTCTACTAAAAATACAAAAATTAGCTGGGCGTGTTGGTGGCGCCTGTAGTCCCAGCTACTTGGGAGGCTGAAGCAGGAGAATGGCGTGAACCCGGGAGGCGGAGCTTGCAGTGAGCTGAGATGGCGCCACTGCACTCCATCCAGCCTGGGCGACAGAGCGAGACTCCGTCTCAAAAAAAAAAAAAAAAAAGAGTGGTTTGGAGGCACTAAAGGCAATTAAAAGCTGGTGTGTGTGTGATGTGATCAGATTTACATTTTAGAACTATCACCTCGGCTACGGTGTGGACGCTGGGCGTCCAAGCAACCCCACTCTAGTGCTTGAATTAGGGAGATGCAGCAGCAGGAGAGAGGCAAGGATGGAGCTGGAACCAGATTAGCCCATCGAACAGGGCACGGTCGACAAGCGAGAGCCAGCGAGAGTGGCCCTAGATCTCTGGCTGCAGTAACTTGGTTGATGTTGGTGATATTTAATGAGATAGGAAAGGTGGGCAGTGTGGTGGGGCTGGGGGACAGATTTGGGAAGAGCTTTTGAGGCCTCCTTCAGTCCCAGGAATCTCTCTTCAGCCACATGGCTTTGAATGGACTCCAAAATGTTTGTTCTTAAAAAGAACAATAATTGAATGTGGCTTTTGTTAATAGAAAAAAAAAATACAAACAAAACAAAAACAAAACAATCAGCTCTTCCTCTTCCCTCCCTTCTCTTTTTTTAAAAACATTTTATTGGTTCCTTTCCTTTCCCTTCCTTTGAAGTGTCCAGGGCCAGCAGACCTTGGACCTGGGGCCAGGGAGGTGGTCAGGTTGCAGGAGGCTGCAGAGCCAGTGGGGACGAGGGAGCAGCTGGGATAAGGACATGACGAGGGCCTTAGAAGTCTGCACAGCCAGAACCAAGGAGGTGGTGATGTCAGGGGAGCAGCAGAGCCAGAAGCAGGGTATACACAGGGGAATAAGCATGTAATCCAAGAAGGGGATTACCCTTCTTGGGGATAATACATGGGGAAGAAGCAGGAGCCAGGCTTCTCACTCTCAGAGAAAGGAGCTGCAAACACAGAAAGGAGAAAGGTCCCATGGCTGTGGGGCATTGGATTGGAATGGGAAGTGTCTGTGCCAACTCGGGCTTTTAAGATATACAGGTAAATACCGGTCAGGTGCAGTGGCTCACACCTGTATTCCCAGCACTTTGGGAAACCGAGGTGAGTGGATCACCTGAGGTCCCAAGTTCGAGACCAGCCTGGCCAACATGGTGAAACCCTGTCTCTACTAAAAATACAAAAATGAGCCAGGCCTGTAATTTCAGCTACTTGGGAGGCTGAAGCAGGAGAATTGCTGGAACCCAGGAGGCAGAGGTTGCAGTGAGCTGAGATCGTACCACTGCACTCCAGCCTAGGCAACAGAGTGAGATGCGGTATTTTTTAAAAAAAAGATATATAGATAAATACAGGTGCATGAATGAGTGTATGTGCACACACTATTTCCTCACTCTGTCTGCTGCGAGAGCCCACAACACTCCAACAGCAATGAGAACACCTGCTGCTCAGATCTTGGCTGCTAAATGTCATCCTCCATGAAAGATAGCCAGTGCTCCTTGAGAAATGGCTGATTCTAGCAGCCTTTGAATCGAGGCCAAGAAGATCTAACAAGTACCTGCAACACCTGTTGCCCCAGAAAGCAAGAAAATGCTAAAATAATGGCGATTTGTCAAACAGATACAGGAGCCAGGAGCCAACTGAAGGAACAGTTGAAAGGTGCATCCAGCACAATTCAAACATCAAAATGAATAATAAAAATAATTATAATCCATCGAATAAAATAGAAATTCATGAGTCTGTACTGACATAAATAAAGGAGAAGGGACGGCTCCTCCCCACAGTGGAATGCCAATTAATAACCGTCGAAGCGACAACAAAAACAGTCACCATTTGGCAATCATCATAGTAATGACTGATTCAGGCAAGAATCGTCAATACATGCTAAACAAAGTGGGTGAGAGTTTGAGGAAAAATGTTATTACATTGTTCTTTTTTTTTTTTTTTTTCAAGACAGAGTCTCACTCTGTTGTCCAGGCTGGAGCGCAGTGGCATGATCACAGCTCATGGCAGCCTCAACCTCACAGGCTCCAGCGATCCTCACACCTCAGCCCCCCCAAGTACCTGGGACTATAGGCATGCATCACCACGTTTGGCTAAATTTTTTGTATTTTTTGTAGAGGCGGAATTTTGCCATGTTGCCCAGGCTGGTCTAAAACTCCTGGACTCAGATGATTTGCCCGTCTCGGTCTCCCAAAGTGCTAGGATCACAGGCGTGAGCCACTGCGCCTGGCCTTAAATTGTTATTAAAAGCAAAAACTAGTAACTTTACAATCCTTATTGTAACCTGGCAGCCACCAGCTTAACCAAGTGTCCAGTGTTAAGTTCTGCAGTAACAGCAGAGCGCCATTGTACCCCCTGAGATGGGTGCACAGAGGACACAGCATTGCTGCTATGCACTCCTGCAGAAAACGCAGAATCCGGGCCATGTCATGTGGAGACACCTGAAAACCCAAAATTGAGGGACAGGGACAGTCTACAAAATTATTAGCCTATTCTATTGAAAAATGCCAAGGTCATGAAAGACAAGAAAAGGCAAGGAACTGTGCCCAATTAAAGGACACTGAAGGGATGTGACAATTACATGTAACACATCATCCTGGATTGAGCCTCAGCCCAGAAGGGGGAAATTATATGTGTGTGTGTGCGTGTGTGTGTGTGTATAAAAGTTATATATAACTTCCATAAATATGTAAATAATAGATGTATATATTGTTATTGAGACTACTAAAAACATTTGAACGAAGGATCTAAGAATTAGATGGTGGTGTTTCATCCATGTTAATTTCCTGATTTTGACGGTTGAATGTGGTTACAAAGGAGAGTCTTTATCACTTAGGAAAAACACACTGATATATTTAGGGACAGTGGGGCATTGTCAGCAACTTACTTGTCAATAATTCAGAAAAATGATAATAGTAATATGACTGAAATGATGATAAACAGTATGCTAAAACATTAATTGGGTAAAGCAGAGGGTATACAGGAATTCTTTGTACCGTTCTTGAAAATGTTCTATAAGTCAAATTATCTTTTTTTAAAATAACTGTCGAAGCAACAGTTTTTTTTTTTTGTTGTTTTTTTTTTAAGAGACGGAGTCTCGCTGTGTCGCCCAGGCTGGAGTGCAGTGGTGTGATCTTGGCTCACTGCAACCTCCGCCTCCCGAGTTCAAGCAATTCTCCTACCTCAGCTTCCCAAGTAGCCGGGACTACAGGCATGTGCCACCACACCCAGCTAATTTTTGTATTTTTTAGTAGAGATGCAGTTTCACTACATGTTGGCCAGGCTGGTCTCGAACTCCTGACCTCAGGTGATCCACCTGCCTCAGCTTCCCAAAGTGATGGGATTACAGGCGTCAGCCACTGCACCCGGCCTAAATAACCACTTTTTGAGCTAAACACTGTAATAGTTTGTTGAAAATCAGCCTATGTAACCTAGCTCATGTAATTGGTACGAGTGTGCACACGTGCATGCACACACACACAAAGCAGGGGGAGGTTAGAGAGCATCTTGTTGCTGGGCGCGGTGGCTCATGCCTACAATCTCAGCCCTTTGGGACACTGAGGTGGGAAGATCGCTCGAGCCCAGGAGTTAGAGACCAGCCTGGGCAACATAATGAGAACTCGTCTCTATTAAAAAAAAATAAAAATAAAAAATTAGGCCAGGCACAGTGGCTCACACCCGTAATCCCAGCACTTTGGGAGGCCGAGGCCAGTGAATCATTTGAGGCCAGGAGTTCAAGACCAGCCTGGTCAACATGCTGAAAACCTGTCTCTACTACAAATACAAAAAAAATTAGTCAGGCATGGTGGTGTGTACCTGTAATCCCAGCTACTCAGGAGGCTGAGGCATGAGAATCGCTTGAACCTGGGAGGCAGAGGCTGCAGTGAGCAGAGATCATGCCACTGCACTCCAGTCTGGGTGACAGAGTGAGACTCTATCTCAAAAAAAAAAAAAAAAAATTAGCTGAGCATGGTGGCACATGCCTATAGTCTCAGCTACTTGGGAGGCTGAAATGGGAGAATCCCTTGAGCCTGAGAAATGCAGACTGCAGTGAACCAAGATTGTGCTCCTACACTCCAGCCTGGGCAACAGAATGAGACCCTGTCTCAAAAAAAAGATAAAGACTGGTGGGCGCTGTGGCTTCTGCCTGTAATCCCAGCACTTAGGGAGGCTGAGGCGGGTGGTTCATGAGGTCAGGAGTTCGAGACCAGCCTGGCCAACATGGTGAAACCCCATCTCTACTAAAGATACAAAAAAAAAAAAAAATAGCTGGGCGTGGTGGCAGGCGCCTGTAATCCCAGCTACTCGGGAGGCTGAGGCAGGAGAATTGCTTGAACCTGGGAGGCAGAGGTTGCAGTGAGCCGAGATCGCGCCATTGTACTCCAGCCTGGGTAACAGGGCGAGATTCCATCTCAACAACAACAAAAAAATAAAAAAGAAAGAAAAAAACCATCTTGCCTAAAAGTGTCTATTTTTATCATACAAAAACATTCCCAGTCTATATACTTCTGAAGGTTTCTGTACAAAAGCTACAAATACCATGGAAACACCTACGATGCCCAAATAGTTGCAACAATGCCCACGCCAATAATAAAAAGGTCAATTACAGAGAACCAGAGTCACACAGCAACGCGCATAGACGAGGGTGAGGTGACTGCAGCAGCCCAGGACAAGCACTGTGGTGAGTGCAGGCAGTCCCCTTGCTCTTCTTGGCTGTCTCAGCTGAAGCGTGTGCTGTGGGACTGGCCAGAGGGGAGGGGCTGCATTCTCTTCAGCAGCACAAGTGTCTCAGCTGGGGCTGCAGGATGGAGGTGGATGGGCACTGTGCATTGGCATGGCAAAGCTAGGCTCCTGCAAGTTTCCATCCACAGAAGAGCAAGGCAGGTCTCATTTTGTGACCAGGAGAGGGAGGTACTCTGGCTGGGCAGAGGAATGGGAGTAGATAGGACATAGCTTCTGTTTTCTGCCACAACCCATGGCTTGATTTAGCTTCTGGAATGACTGAGCATCAGACAGAGACTGATGGTGTGCACTCTTTTGTGGGTCTCTGGGTACAAACCAAAGCCTAGCACTGGGCAGGGGGTTGTCCCCTCTCTGCCATGCAGAAGCTGCAAGACTGTGGATGGGTAGCTTTAGTGCCTGGCACAGAGCCCTAGGCTGGGACAGTGACCCTGGTGTTCTTGCGGTACCGGGGTAAGTGCCTGTCAGACACCTGCACATTAGGACCTGGCAAAGGAGGAAGGAACGGTGCCCCGTGCTGCCCTGGGAGGGAGCAGGGAGGGGCTCTTTGAGGGCATCTCAGAAATACTTGTGGGAACTTTCAAGGGGGCAAATTTCTGGTAGTCAGGCTGCAGGGAATTTGAGCTGGCACATCTCACAAAGATGGCCTGATTTTGTGGGTTCCTGGGGCTTGGAAGGCTCTGACCTGCACTTGGGGGGAGAGAAAGGAGGCAACATCGCAAGACCTCATCTCGTTTAAATAAAAAAGAAAGAATGGATGTTGACTGATCATCAGATGTGGAAGAAAGTGGGCCAGATGCGCCCACATATGTGATGCAATTTATATTTTATCTAATAGTGCAGGTGGGTTTGATATCTTCAGCTTACAGATGGGGAAACTGAGTCTTAGAGAGGTTGAGCAGCTTGCCTGAGCGGTCAGAGATGCTGTCAGAAGAGCAGCATCCCAGGGGACATTTCCAGATGAGAGAGATGAGAAAGGGGTTGGAGGTGGTGGGTGGGGGATCCCCGGACTCTCTAGCTGGATGATAGTGAGATCCCGGAGGAGGACAGGCACAGAGCCAGGGGGCTGCCAGCCCAGGGCAGAGAAGGCAGTCAGAGACGCTGTGGCAGACGCAAGCCACTCGGGCTCAGTGGGTGGGTAGGGTGGTGTGAAACCTGGCATTTGGGGCGTCTACCTCCTGGAGGACAGGAGGTCCGCCCCCTGGGGCTATGGTGGACTGAGAGGTGGGAGGGGGGAAACTGGCACTGGCTATCTCTGGGCAAGGTCCAGCCGCCACTGGCCTCTCCCAGGCATGGTCCCAAACCACATGTCTGGAGACTTGAAAAGGGTAAAAGCCAATGCCAGTCTCGGTCAGAATCTCAGTGTGCAGAAGGGAGTGCCGTGGCAGCGCTGGGGAAGAGGCCCAAGCTTAAGGGAAGGAAAGCGAAGACTGAGCCCAAGCACCCACCCTGTCTCCAACCACCCGCCAGCTGGGGCCAGCAGGGACATCATGACTCCCACCCCAGACACCCGGTTCTTCCCAGCTCCCCGGCAAGCACCAGGTTGTAACCCCTCCCCCAGGCCCTTGCTGTCCAGGGCTGGGGGGCCCTGGCACTAGTGGAGCTGGGTTCTATCTTCTCCCAACTACTTCATTCCAACCAGCCCCAACTTCCTGAAGCTAGGTTCTTCGACATTCCTCTCGCCTTGTTTTGGGCAGACTTCCCAGAATCACCTGGCATGGGCTTTGCCCCACTCCCCAGCAGTCTCTGCACTCCCTTCTAAATCACCCCTTTCTCTGAGTTCATAGCCAACACCCTCTTTGCTGTGAAAGACCTGAGCCTGTTGCCTCAGACAACTGCCTTTGAGCACTGGAGCCACCTTGCCCATGGGGAGATCTAGGAGAAACCTGGGAGGTCTACATTCCCTGTGCCCACCCAAGATAGCCAATGGGGGCCTGGAGTACACATGTAAAAGCCCAGTTTCTTGCCTCCCTGCAGGACAAACTTGGAGGTGTAATTTACACTCCACAGCTCCTTGTGGAATCAGGCCATCCTCCCCAGGCTGGGTCCCTGCCTACCCCCTGCCTACCCACCAGCAGCCCTGCCTACCGCACCCTCTGCTGGGGAAACCCTCATGCCAGGTCAACTCTCAGACATGGGCATCCACTTAGGCCTTATCCCCCATGAGCTGGGATTCCCACTGGGATGTTGAGATCATCAGGTCCCCAAATCTCTGCCATTCACTCCCTAGTATCTGTGCCATGGGAGTCAGGCCCATGCTTTCCTTGAAGATTCAAGCAGCTTAGAAAGTGCTTTGAACCCCTCACATCAAAGGAGCTCAGGATGGAGGGCTGGAAAATTGACAGCTTTGGCTGATACTGAAATGACAGCTCTGAAGTCTCTGTTAATGTCACCAGGATCAGAGCAAGGGGACAAGGATGACAATGCTCTCCATCAGCAGGTGCTCTGGGTATTTGGATGGTGGAACCCTCATCTGGGAAACTCAGGTCCACAATTAAGAATCCAGGACAGGATGCGTCCTTGATCACTAGAGTCACAGCTGACAGCTAGAAACTGTGCCTCATACCTGGCATCACAGTGAGCTTTTCAGTTCACTATGGGAAAGGTTTCTGCACTTTCTCCAAGAGCTTAGGTGCACTGGAGAAGCCCAGAGGAGGAGGAGGGGTGCTGTGGCAGAAGGGCCCTTCCCTGCTGCAGGGCTTTGCAGCCACGTCCTTGTAGCACCTTGCACTAGAGCGTGATGAATCTGTGTCTCTGCCCCACTGATGTTGGGCTTGGCCACATGACTCTGGCCAAGCCAGTGCAATGTGGGCAAAAGCACCAGTTCTGAGCTGAGGGCTTTAAGGGCACATTGAGTTTCTACTCGCCCTCCTGGGCCCCTGCAATCTGCCATAAGAAAGGATGGCCAGGAAAACTCCAGCCCTTCAGCCTGGCCCAGGAATGAGGATGTTAGGCACAGACCTGGACATGATTAGAAACCTGGAGTCCAGCCTGGTTCAGCTGAGTCCAAGACAGCCCAACTAGATTAGCCAACCACAGCAGACCTGCAGACCCAGGAGTGGAAAGTCAATGTTTGCTGTCATTAAGTATTGAGATTTGAGGCTGTTTGTTATGCAGCAAACACTGACAGATACAAGTGTGGTGGGAAAAATAAACTTTCCCCCGGGGTCTTCCTCTTATTGAAACTTCATGACATACTTATCTTCATTAACCCATGGGGAAGCTGAGGCTGCGAGAGATAAGGCAACTTGTCCAATGTCACACAACTTGTTTTATCATCAGTATCTGCCAATAGGGACAAATCGTCAAGTTCCACATGCTCATTCCCATAGCGACTGCTCTCTGACCTCCCAGTGGCCACTGTCCCTTCATCTCATCCCCTGTGCAGGCCTTCGGGCCTCTTTGGACCCCACCATCTCTCCAACAAGCCAGAACCCCACTGTGGCCCCCCAGAGCCACTCTCTCCCTGGCACCCTCCACTTGCTGGCAGCCTGTCC
This sequence comes from Homo sapiens, assembly GCF_000001405.40. Lineage (NCBI taxonomy): Eukaryota > Metazoa > Chordata > Mammalia > Primates > Hominidae > Homo > Homo sapiens. The sequence continues at coordinate 233,105,773 of NC_000002.12, read as the reverse complement.
TCCTGTGGCCCCTGTCCTCGAAGCTACTCGTCAAGATCCGCCCCACGATCACCTGCTGCCCTGGGCAGGGCTGAAGGAAAGCAGAGCTGGTGGTGCAGCAGCCAGCAGGCGGCCCGCTTGCGGTCACTACCCTCTTACCCTTCCCTTCCCCTCTGGCTCTCTTCCCCCCGGCTCAGCCCCCGGCATCAGGGACCAACACAGACCCAGGCCCTGCCCACAGTCCAGCAAAGGAGCAAGACACAGAACCATAAACAACTAAGAAAATATGACCAGGTGCAGAGGCTTGTGAAGAGAGGACAGTAGCTTGGGAGGGTGCTCCGGGAGACTCAGCCTGGTGGATCAGGGAAGGATTCACCAAAGAAGCTACTCTGCAGCTGAGATGCTCCTACTTCAGGTGAATAGGAGGTGGTGGGGCAAAGAGACAGGGAGCACCCTGGCGGGCGAAGGGAGCGGCACTGGCAAAGCACAGGTGTAGATAGAAATGACGGTTTCCAACCATAGCCAGGTTCTTACAGAGAGCGCAGCTGCTGTCCTACCCAGTTCCCTGGGACCCACTGACCGCCCCCCTGCTCCCATCCCCACTTCTGGGGGCTCTGTTGCTTTGCTGCCAAAGACCTAAGCCTGGTGCCTCAGACGACTGCCCTTGGGCACTGGAACCACCTCACCTATGGGGAAATCCAGGAGAAACCCGGGAGGTCCACATTCCCTATCCCTACCCAAGACAGCCAATGGGGGCCTGGAGTACATGTGCAAAAGCCCAGTTTCTTGCCTCCCTGTGGGACAAATTTGGAGGTGCAATTTATACTCCACAGCTCCTGTGAGATCAGGCCAGAGGTGAGACTTCACCTGAAACCACACCTGGTTTCCCCCTCTTCCCTGTCCTTTGTCCCCCACTCCCTTACTGGTTTCTCCTGGGAGCCCTTCTTTCATGAATTACTGGTACCAAGGCCTAGGATCTGCTTCTGGAAGAACCTGACCTATGGCGGTCAGCTCTCAAAATCAATCCTTGCACTTGTCCATCTCAAGCCTGTCCTCAACAGCTGACCAAACGATTCACCGTCAAGTCCTCAACTCAAGCCTCTCAGCACTGGGAAAGAATTTGGACCCCCCAACTTTATAGAAGAGCTGATCAGACATGAAAACCTTAGCTTCCTCTTCCTCTTCCTCCCCAACCATGGCCCATGAGGACCACGACCATCCCTCCCTGAGCCTACCCCCCATGGCTTCAGCACACTTCCGACCTCACCTTCTGTTTGCCCTGATCAGTCCCAAATCCTGCTCTTTAGCAGGGCCTCTGTCCCGTGAGTCCCTGAACCAGCTAGAGGGGATACCAGGGTGCCCTAAGTGTGACCGAGCATGCAAAGAAGCCTCAGCATTGAAGATGAAATGCATTGTGCATTTACCTCAGTGTTGGAAATGAATGAAGAAAAGGATGAATATTTTTTGAGTACTCAAACAGCTTCACTTAAGTTTCTGTTAGTCTTCCTATTTTACAGATAAAGAAATGGGGCAAGGCAGGCAGATCACTTGAGGTTAAGAGTTCAAGACCAGCCTGGCCAACATGGTGAAATCCCATCTCTACTAAAAATACAAAAATTAGCCAGGTGTGGTGGTGCGCACCTGTAATCCCAGCTACTTGAGAGGCTGAGGCAGGAGAATCACTTGAACCTGGGAGGCAGAGGTTGCAGTGAGCCAAGATTACACCACTACACTCCAGCCTGGGCGACAGAGCAAGACTATGTCTCAAAAAAAAAAAAAAAAAAAAAAGGCAGGGCACAGTGGCTCACACCAGTAATCCCAGCACTTTGGGAGGCGGAGGCAGGTGGATCATTTGAGGTCAGGAGTTCGAGACCAGCCTGGCCAACATGGTGAAACCCCATCTCTACTAAAAACACAAAAATAAGCCAGGCATGGTGGTACATGCCTGTAATCCCAGCTACTCGGGAGGCTGAGGCAGGAGAATTGCTTGAACCTGGGAGGTAGAGGTTGCAGTGAGCCGAGATCATGCCACCACACTCCAGCCTGGGCAACACAGCAAGTCTCTGTCTCCAAAAAAAAAAAAAAAAAAAAAGAACTACTTTTCTGAGAGAACACCCTAGCACTGGGCAGATCACCCCCTCGGCAGGCAGCCAGGATACAGAAGGGCCAAGTGACTTGCCCTGGAAGTGGCAGAGGCAGGACTTGAACCCAGATCTCAGGTTCCTTCCTCTAAGTTCTACGCTCCTGGACTCTGAAAGATTGCCGTTCTCCAATCTCTCTGCCTGTGTGTTCTGGTGCCTTTGACATGAGGCAAGCCTGCCTTGAGCTCCATTCCAAGGGCCTAGTTACTGGTGCAAAGCCCTCCCGTCTCTCTCAACATCTGTGCTGGATAGAGAAACCCAGGAACATAGACCAGGACAGCCATTGTGGAGAATAATCAGGTACAATTTAGGCAAATTAAATATGAGCATATGCTATGACCCAGCAACTTCACTCCTGGGCATATACCCCAGGGCTCACTTTGACAACCCACCTATATGGGTTGTCATTCTTTGTGCAGCAGAGATTTGCAGGGAACCTGGATGCCCATCACTGGGACAGTGGACAAGTAGTGTGGTCAAGGCATACATGGGGTGTTTTGCAGCAGCCAGAAGCAAGAGCTTGCTGTGCACGCAGCAGCATGGAAGATCCTTTGGTGAAAAGGGGGAACACAGAATGAAAGCTATGATATGACTTCAGTCAATTTAAAATGCATGCACCCAAGACAACAATAGTGTTTTGTAAGAACATATTCAAATAAAAAGACACCCATTCAAATGGTTTCCTAGGAAGGGGAGTGTTATACAAAGTGCAATATGGGGACAGAAGGGATTAAAACAGTTTGTAAAGTCATGGCTTTGTAGTGAGAAGGCGCTGTGGTTTTTTGGTTGTTTTTTTTTTTTTTTGAGACGGAGTCTTGCTCTGTCGCCCAGGCTGGAGTGCAGTGGCGTGATCTGGGCTCACTGCAAGCTCCGCTTCCCGGGTTCATGCCATTCTCCTGCCTCAGCCTCCCGAGTAGCTGGGACTACAGGCGCCCGCCACCACGTCCAGCTAATTTTTTTTGCATTTTTAGTAGAGACGGGGTTTCACTGTGTTAGCCAGGATGGTCTCGATCTCCTGACCTTGTGATCTGCCCGCCTCGGCCTCTCAAAGTGCTGGGATTACAGGCGTGAGCCACCGAGGCGCTGTGGTTTTGATCACATAGCCTGACTATGAAAGACCGGTTCTTAGCTCTGCTGTGGCTTCTCTGATTTGAGCTGAATTAATTGCCAAAACATTCTGTGCCTCAGTTTCTTCCTCTCATTCTGGCCCATGGGGAAAATCACGAAATGTGAAACTTGGTGTGAGTGAAGCAGGCGAGGTGTGGGACACTAGGGAGAGGCGGGGACTGGGGCCCATGGGGGAAACACCCCTTCAAAGGCAGCAGCTTCCAGTTAGCTCCAGTTACAGCATCATGGGGTAACACAGGCCTTGGGTGCTAGAATTTTAAATTTTTCAGAAGGTAAAAGTCCAGATTCCTAGATGAAATCTCCGATTTTTTAATGTTTGTGACTAAGTTTTAAAACACCATGTCAGCTACGAATGTCAATCTTAGCTCCACGACCAACTGGTTGTGCGATCTAGAGTACAGTATCTAACTCTCTGAGACCAAACCAGTTTCCTTGGCCGTGAATGAAGATTTCAAGACCTACTTGCCCAAGTGGTTTAACGAACTAACAGAGCCCGGGGCGTGGCTCCCAGTCAGTGAGAGCCACGGTCATCATGCAGCACCTGCTCTGCTAACTGTGCTAATGGACCAGCAACTCCCATTTCTCAGATAAATAAACTGAAGCTCAGAAGAATGGGCAGTTTGACCCTGATCACACAGTCAAGGAAGCAGACCAGGCAGGTAGAAAAAACATCCTTCCCAAACCTGATCACAAGGAAGAGGTAAAACTGATTAACTTATAAATAAGTTAATATAATATAATGTAATTATAAATATAATATAAATAAATATAATTTATAATAAATAAATATATTTATATTATATATAATATATATTATTTATATAATATGCAATTACTACTTATATAATATGTAATATATAATATCTATTATATGTTATATATTTAATAATAATATAATATATAATTATATATTATAATTATTTAATAATTAATTGATTTTAATAATGTTATATGACATATATGTCATTATTAATTATAATATAATATATGATATATCATTATTAATTTATAAAATAACTTATAAATAAGAGTTTGGGGATTAAAAGAGCTCTAAATAAAAAGAAGTGATTATTAATCTGTCTGACTCCTAACAGGTGTGACAGGAGTCTCTAATAAAGACGTCTACAGTCCTAGAGGCAGGCAGACCTCGCCAGGACTTGGCAGATGTGAGCTGATAACACACATGCCCATGGGGTGCTGGCACTGGCTCCTACAGGCTCAAATCCCAGTTTTCCAGGAACCCCAAGAGCTGGTTGTGAATGCAGCCACTCTGGTGGGAGCTGTGGTTAGAGTGTCTCCACGGTAGAAATAGGCAAACACTACAAATCACGGGCTTGTTTTCTTCCCTGGAGAACTGGTTGTCCAAGGTTTACCATGGCATGTGGTCCAGTGACATTGACCCTTTTGGCAAAATCATCCCTTCAGTCCCCAGAGACCAGACCTCCTGATACACCCGCCTTCCCTTCTGCATGGCCCCCATCTCCAGAAAGCAAGTTTGGATCAGGAAGAAATGCAGTTAGCACAAGATGGTGAATGACTCGTTGGGGGCACACGGAGGGGATTACCGTTCAGTGAGGAACACTGAAAGATGGCAAAGGGCCAGACCACGACAGGAAGCTTCCGCCTTCTTTGAGGGGTAGGTGAGATTGTCTGAAACCAAGAAATGCCAGAAAGGGACAGTAACAGTGTTCTGGGTGGCAAGTGCAGTGACAAAAGTGAGCCCTCCAGCTCCCCAGTGGGGCCCACCCTGCCCTCTGGGGAAAGGAGGCTCTAACAGGAGCAGACAGGTCACACCTGCAAAGGAACTGAAAGTCACTGCTCTGAGGAACTGGGACCAAACCCCAAGGCAGAAAACAGGCTGTGACGACCCCAGCTTCCGTAGAACCAAGCCTCATCCCAGGGAAGAGAGAGAGCTCTGGGTGAGCGAGCTCAACCGGGGGTGCCCATGAGTCCATGGGGGATGCTGAGAGGAGAGAGCCAGGACACCTGAGGGCAGGCCAGGGGGAATTCTGATTGTCACCGGGAGTAACGTGGGCTGTTTTGGAGTTTACAGTGTAGTGAGCTTGACGTCCACCCCAGGCAAGAGGCTAGATGAGATTACTAACAGCATGATCTGTGAGGAGAGGCAAAGCAGGTGCTGGGCCTGGGAACCAGCAGGAGGTCACTGGGAACACACCAAGTCAACTAAACCTGTTTACCAGTGTGTGGTTGCTGGCCTCACAAGTTGGGTAATTAGTTGCGTCTGATGAATATCATAGCTCAGTGGCCTACAGCAGTCAGGCGGGTGATGTAAATGAGTGGAACAGGCTGCGAGTGAGGCGACAGGGCGAGGTGGGGATGGTGACACATCAAAGAGAACTGCCCCATTGAAAGGGAATGCTTCCACTCTGATATGGTTTGACTGTGTCCCCACCCAAATCTCATCTTGAATTGTAACTCCCACAATTCCCACGTGTCGTGGGAGGAACCCGGTGGGAGGTGATTGAATTATGGCGGCTCTGTTCTCGTGATAGTGAATGGGTCTCATGAGATCTGATGGCTTTAGAAATGGGAGTTTGACTGCACAAGCTCATTCTTCTCTTGTCTGCCACATGAGATGTGCCCTTCACCTTCCGCCATGATTGTAAGGCCTCCCCAGCCACGTGGAACTGTGAGTCCATTAAACCTCTTTCTTTTGTAAGTTGCCCAGTCTTAGGTATGTCTTTATCAGCTGCGTGAAAACAGACTAATACACGCCCCACCCCAGCTACATCACTGTGGAATAATCAAGGGTATCAGATCTTCAGATTTTTCAAGGAAAGCTGAAAATCCAGATTATTATGTAGAAATCTCTGAATTTTTAAAAATGCTTGTAACTGGTTCATAATTTTTAAAAATATGGGTTGGGTGAACAGAACACTAAATCCAACATAGGGGCCACCAGATTGTGATCTTTAATCTGATATCTATAGGTTTCCATAAAGCATTTTATGGGGTTCATTTGTGATTTTGTTGTTGTTGAAGAGCACAGGGAGAGAGATGGGCCTGGCTGAGGCCACACCAGTGTCAGTCCAGACATAGGCGTCTGTGCTGTTGGTTCCTCCTTTCATTCACATCAGCAATTCAGATAAGGATCCAGGAGGCAGGCCTTCCAATGTGGGGCTGCCATCCAGCTAGGAGGATGGCACACATGCCAGGTGCTAGAGCCAGGATGAAGCTGACCTCAATGGTCTGGAGTAACGGGCTGGTGTAGCCATGGGAAGTTTAGGACAAAACAATCTAAAGTTCCAAGTCTCGGCTGGGCACGGTGGCTCACACGTGTGATCCCAGCACTTTGGGAGGCCAAGGTGGGTGAATCACCTGAGGTCAGGAGTTCGAGACCAGCCTGGCCAACATAGCAAAACCTCGCCTCTACTATAAATACAAAAATTAGCCAGACATGGTGACGCACACTTATAATCCCAACTACTCCGGAGGCTGAGGCAGAAGAATTGCTTGAACAAGGAGGCGGACGTTGCAGTGAGCCAAGATCGCACCACTGCCCTCCAGCCTGGACGACAGAGTGAGACTCTGTCTCAAAAATAAATAAATAAATAAATAAATAAATAAAAATAAAGTTCCAAATCTAGCTTAGCAGGAGCACATGTGAAAAAGACGATGGCATTTTAGTCGATGGCAAATACATTGTGAAGCTGGATCGCTGAATGGGCGCCCCCTGGTGCCACTGTCTGTGAGACTGCACTCGTGGAGGGGCGCCCGGTGGGAGGGTCAGTCCACTCTGCAGGCCTTGGGTTCTGAGACCCCCATTAGGAAGGACAGGCACCAGGTTGAGTGTGTCATGGGAGGTGGATCTGGGATGGCCTGGGGTTAAGAGGGGCGTGCGGAATGGCTGAAGTAACCCAGAGGGTTTGGCCTGAAGAAACCTCAAGAGAGACCTGCCTGGTTTTTCAAACAGTTGAGGCTTCCATGTATCTCCTGAGGGGAGAACCGGGATCCAGGAGTGGATTTTATAGGAGGCCGATTTCTGCTCTATTCAAGGAACACGTTAAAGAAGACCAGAACTATCTAGAGATATACAGGTTGTGGCCTGAGAGTTTCCTGGTGTCTGGCCCTGACCACGCCTCCAGCACCACGTCTCACCAAAGAGGAGCCTCGCAGTGGGTTGAGCTGGCTCAGAAGACCCTGTGGCTCACCACTGGCTAAGTTTTCCAGCTCCTATCCACGGTGCTGGTCCCATTTGGGCACCATTCGGTGAGTGCCCATCTCCCAGCACTCCTGTTGCACTCCTTGTCTTTGACTTGCATCCTCCTCCTGGAGCAGAAACATCCTTGGAAATCGGAAGTGAGACAACCAAGGCCGGGTGCAGTGGCTCATCCCTGTGATCCCAGCACTTTGGGAGGCTGAGGCAGGTGGATCACTTAAGGTCACGAGTTCGAAATCAGCCTGGCCAACATGGTGAAACCCTGTATTTTAAATCTACTTAAAATACAAAATTTAGCCAGGCATGGTGGCGCATGCCTGTCATCCCAGCTACTCAGGAGGCTGAGGTGGGAGAATTGCTCGAACCTGGGAGGTGCAGGTTGCAGTGACCGAGATCGCGCCACTGCACTCCAGCCTAGGCGACAGAGTGAGACTCTGTCTCAAAAAAAAAAAAAGAAATGAGACAACCAAAAGCACCATGCCACTGATCTGCAGCATTGCACGGCGGGTCCCAGCCAGCACAAAACAGATCAGAACAACTCCCCTGTCCCTAAATGAGTTGCATTGGAAGGAACAGACTGTCTGCCATTATTTGCACAAAACAAGATCATTTACCTAGGGAAGCCAAAAGAATAAATTCAGAAACTATTAAAATGAATAAGAGAATTCAGACAGATATTTAAGAGTACCCTACCGAAACTATCACTTTCCTAGATACCCACAAAACCTAACCAGAAAATGTCATGATGGAAAAGGAAGATTCTGTTTGCAAAGGTAATTAAAGCTACATCACACTCAGTAACAGAGCAGGTTTAAGAACTATATGGAGAAAGCAGAAAAAAGATATAAAAGAAAAGCTGAATAAATGGAGAGAGAAACCATGATCTCAAATTGAAGGACTTGATGTTATAAGAACATAAGTTATTTATAAATTAACCTATTAATTACATGTAATTGCACAAAATTCTAACTGGGATTTTTTCAGAGAACTTGACAAGCTGATTTTAAAAATCACCTGGAAAAGAAAATGCATGGCAAGCAAGGACTAATGAGAATAATAAATGGGAACTTAGTCTGCCAGATAAGGAAACACACAAGAAAGCCACCTCGATTAAACCTATGCAGCTGGGTCAAGAGTAGATTAATCTATCAATGGAACAGGAGGAGGCGTTTCAAATCAGATTAGGACTATGGGGGAAATTAGCACATGATATAATGGCATTGTGAATCAATGGGAAAAGGATGGGCTATTTAATACGGTGTTGGCTATCCATTTGGACGGTGAAGTTATAGTCCCTATTTTATACCAAACATAAAAATAAATAAAGAGCTAAACATAAAAACACATTAAAAATTGTTAGAAGAAAATAGCATTTTCCCTAAATAAATAATATTGGGATGGGTGATTCACAAAACTCAGAATCCGTAAATGAAAACATTTGACTACCTAATGGTTTTAAACTTCCACATGACAAAACGCACCATAAACAATGTTTAAAAACATTGCAGGCTGGAGAAAATATTTTCATATAACTTACCCCCAAAATTAATATACAAAACATATAAAGGGTTTTTAAAATCGGAAATATTTTTAAAAAGGAAAAAATGGAAAAAGAATATAAATAGGCAATTGACAGGAAAAGAAACACAAATGGTGAATGCATATATGAAAATAGGCTCAGTGTCATTTCTTTTGAGATGGGATCTCGCTCTGTCACCCAGGCTGGAGTGCAGTGGTGTGATCTCGGCTCGCTGCAACCTCCGCCTCCCAGGTTCAAGTGATTCTCCTGCCTCAGCCTCCTGAGTAGCTGGGGTTACAGGCATGCGCCACCACGCCTGGCTAATTTTTGTATTTTTAGTAGAGTTGGCATTTCACCATGTTGGCCAGGCTGGTCTCGAACTTCTGACCTCTGGTGATCCGCCCAGCTCTGCCTTCCAAAGTGCTGGGATTATAGGCATGAACCACCACGCCTGGGTCATTAGTGTCATTTCTAATGAGAGAAATGCAAAATAAAATATTGCGATCACATATTTCACTCATTGTCTGCTGAAAATTACAGGCACTGGTAATGTCCAGAATTGAGATGTGTGAGCATCATGAGGACCAAGAGACACTGGGTGAGAAGGTCACTCGGAAGAGCCCCGGGCAAAGCAGTTTGGCAGTATTTTACAATCATATACGCATTCCTTCAACCCAGTAATAGTTTTTCTTGGAGAAAGCTTGTATGCACAGTCACAAGCAAGCCTTGCTTATTGTAGCATCTGTCTTTTGTAGTGAGAACAACAAAAAAGAAAATCATCTATGTATCCATCCATTATCGTTCAACTGTTAAAAAGCACAAAAGATGCATGAATGAACTTGGATCCATCTCACGGACAGATTGCTAAGGGAAGAAAGCAAATCGCAGAACAGTGTATACGGTATTATCCTATTTACAAAAACAAATATAAATATATAAAACATTTGAAAACAGTATCTGAGAAACTGTCAACAGTGGGACTAGGGTGGGGGATTTGCAGGACATTAGGGTTACCAATAGGAGAAGGGGATCTCTATTTCCTATGTATTTCCTTTGGTACTGTTTTAATTTTTTTTTGACCAAGCTGAGATATAACTTTTAAATGTAAAAAAAAAATTATTTTAAAAGTTCTATCTCCATTTTGGGAAGCCAAGGTGGGAGGATTGCTTGAGCCCAGGAGTTGTTTTTTTTTTTTTTTTTTTTTTTTTTTTGAGACAGTTTCAATCTTGTTGCCTAGGCTGGAGTCCAGTGGCTCGGTTCACTGCGACCTCTGCCTCCCAGGTTCAGGCGATTCTCCTGCCTCAGCCTCCCAAGTAGCTGGGATTACAGGTGCCCACCACCACCCCCTCCAGCTAATTTTTGTATTTTTAGTAGAGATGGGGTTTTACCACGTTGGCCAGGCTGGTCTCGAACTCCTGAGCTCAGGTGATCCACCCGCCTCGGTCTCCCAAAGTGCTGGGATTACAGGCGTGGGCCACTGCGCCTGGCCAAGCCCAGAAGTTTAAGAACAGCCTGGGCAACACAGTGAGATCCTATCTCTAAAATACAAGTTCTATCTCAACACTCTTATGTATGTGCAATCTTGTGTATATAATCTATCCCTTAAACAAAAACCAAAAACTATCCTACAACAATATCACCCTGCAACTTTTTTATTAATGTTTGAAATCTTTCCAACTCATTACACACAGCTCTACTTTAATTTTTTAAGCAGCTGCATAGTCTTCCATTGGCTGGACCACAGTGTATTTAAGCAGTTCCCTCTTCATCATGGTTAGGTTGAATGCTAACCTAGGCAACATGAGGTTGTTTGTTAGGATTCTTCTTTGACCCCTATTTGAAATAATGCTGCAGTGGGTGTCCTCGTATATATATCTTTGTCCATGTGACTTGTTGGACAAATTAGGGGTGGGAGAACATTCCTCACTGCACCCAGACATTACGGATGTTGATAGACATTGGCAATTTGCCCTCCAGAGCATTTGTCGGCATTTGCACTCCCTCCCGTGGTGAGTGAGACTGACTGCCATTCCCCCAACCCACACATGGTCTTCAAACCCTAATGTGCATCAGGATCACCTGGGGATCTTGTTCAAACGCTGATTCTGAATTCCCGGGTCTGGGACCTGATTGTCCACATTTCTAACAAGCTTCCAGGTGATGCTGATCTGCTGGCCTGTGGACCAGACTCTGAGCAGCAAGGTTCTAGAGCAATGATGCCCAGTGAAAATGTAATGTGAGCCTTATATACAATTTTAAATTTTCCAGCAGCCAGATTTTAGAATTTTTTTTTTTTTTTTTTTTTTTTTTTTTTGGGATGGAGTCTTGCTCTATTGCCCAAGCTGGAGTGCAGTGGGGCAATCTCAGCTCACTGCAACCTCTACCTGCCGGGATCAAGCATTTCTCCTGCCTCACCCTCCGGAGTAGCTGGGACTACAGGCATGCACCACTAAGCCCGGCTAATTTTTGTAATTTTAGTAGAGACGGGGTTTCACCATGTTGGTCAGTCTGGTCTCGAACTCCTGACCTCAAGTGATCTGCCTGCCTTGGCCTCCCAAAGTGCTGGGATTACAAGCATGAGCCACCATACCCAGCCTGGGAGTTTTTAAACATCGGGATAAAATCAATTTGATGAATGTATTTTATTTAACCCAATATATCCAAAATATTAAGATTTCAATGTGCAATAAAATTATCATGAGATATAGGACATTCTCTTTTTTGGGGGGGGAGGGGGTGTATTCTAAGTGCTCTGTGACCCCATGTGGCCTGTGGCTGCAGCACTGGCCAGCACAGCTGTAGAGAATCTCTTGGGCTCTACCAGGCAGGGGACCACGGCAACATCTGTTTCTCAGACTCCAGGGAGAAGCACAGGGAAAACGGGCCAGGAGGCAGAAGAAGGGTGCTCAGGAGGCATGCATAGCGTGTTCTTCTGCCAAGGGAGTGTGGCCTGAAGCCACCACTGGGCAGGTGGCAGGAGAGAGCCAGTGGTGGGACCAGCTCTGGACGTCATCACATTATTATTGACAAATTTTTGCAAATCTTTTCACCCCAAAATTGAAGACTGTCCATCTCTACCATCTCTAACAAATGCCTCATTGAACACTTGATGAGCTTAACATAAAGTCTTTTTTTTTTTTTTTTGGAGACAGTGTCTCACTCTGTCGCCCAGACTGGAGTGTGCAGTGACGTGATCTCAGCTCACTGCAACCTCAGCCTCCCAAGTTCAAGCGATTCTCATGCCTTAGCCTCCTGAGTAGCTGGGATTATAGGCAACTCGCCACCATGCCTGGCTAATTTTTGAATTAGACAGAGACAGAGTTTCACCATGTTGGCCAGGCTGGTCTTGAACTCCTGACCTCAAATGATCTGCCTGCCTCAGCCTCCCAAAGTGCTGAAATTACAGGCATGAGCCACTGCACCTGGCCTTACCATAAAGTCTTGAAGACCATTTTTAAGATGTCAAATATATTCCAGACTCTAAAGTTACATTTTAGAGAAACATATCTACACTGATAGTTTCCCAAGAAGGAAGGCTTATTTCCATGTCAGGGGATTTTACTTCTGTTTTGTATTTTCAATTTGAACTTCCTCACCCTCACTACTGCCCTAAGAGAAAAAGCAGAAATTATCAATATTAATCTGCCGTAATCCTTCTCTGTCCAAAAAAAGAAAAGAAAGATTAGACAAGAGAGGAATGCAGTGGCCCATCAGACCACGTGAAGGAGACCCTGACTTCACAAAGCCCTCAGGTTGAAGTCTGCTTATTGTTCCATTTCTCTCAAGACACATTCTTTAATTTCTCTTTCTGTTTCTTCCTGGGTAACCATTTTTATCTTAGAGTCAAGATTCTTTCACCCATGCCTTTTTCATCCAGCGGAAATCTACTAAGCCCTGTCAGGGGCAACGTGTCAGGTGGGGCTGAGGAATGAAGATGGCTGTAGGGGTGCTGGGGGCTGGGGTGGGAGCACCCCTGGCTACGTGGGAGCCACTGACAGTGATGGGCCTGGGGCTCCTTGGCCTGTCTCAAGATGGAAGAAGGGACGGGAGATTGAGGGATAAAGGGATGCTGTTGGGAGCATCCAAGGCCTCCTCCACCTCCCACGTTCAATGTTTGCCTTTGAAATTGCCGTTTCCTTCTGCCACATGCAATTAAGGAAGCTCATCCCCTTGCTATTTCCATTTCCCCTTTCCTTCTCACCCCAAGCAAAGGTCCTGTATTTACATGCAGCTCCATTTAAACTCCTCCCCTTCGAGAATTTAACCACACATCTTTTGGTACCTCACACCCGTATAGATGGCATTCATCATTGCACAGGCTCATCAATGCTAAAAACCTGCCCTAATCATTATGTTTCAAAAGCCCTCATGGTTCCACTGGGCCCAGGAAGGCAAGCAATCTCCATTTTCCCCATTGCCCAGAGCCTATGAGGGATATTTTTATCCTTAATTACATATCCCTGAGACGCTCTTCTTTCCAGCTTGCTTCTTTTCTTTTCGTAAAACTCTTGAGGTACTCTGGGGAAGACAGAAGTGACAGCTGGCAGACCAGCCCAGAGTCCCCAGCCCTGGGAGCAGCCTGGAGAGAAGCTGCCTGAGGGGGCAGAGCCTGGGACGGCTCCCTGATAAGCCTGGCAGCTCGGGCCCCCAGTCACTCCGGCCGCCCGCCTGCCTCATCCCAGACCCAGCGCCAACCTCGCAGAGCTGATTATGAAACATTGGCCCTGAACGCCTACATCTTGGGAGGCTTTGCTAATCTTGTAGAATGAATCAGATAATTTCGGAACAGGAAAGCTTTGGGGGTCTCCACTCTCCTTCCCTCCTTGGCCTTTCCCACTTTGTTTGTATTGCAAATTTACTCCTTCATTCAATCATGCAGCAAATGTTTACTGAGCACCTACTCTGTGCCAGGCATCCTTCTGGTGCTACAGAGACAGTGGAGAGCAAGATGGACAAGGTCTTGGCTCTCGTGAGTCTTACATCCTCGTGGTGGAGACAGATAATAAATGAGTGAGTCAATACAGAATCAAGATAGTTGCTGCGGTAGAAAAAATAACGGCCTCCGCCTCCCAAGCCCTCCTTATCCCTGGAACCTGTGGCTGTTATGTACCATGGCCTGAGGGAGATAAGGTTGCTCATGTGCTGGCCTCGAGGTTGGGAGAGGATCCTGAATTATTCAGCTGTTCCCAATCTACGTTCAAGAGTCCTCATAAGGGGAAGAGGGAGGCAGAGAGTCAGAGCCCTAGAAACGGCATTATGAGAAAGACTTGATGGGCCATTACTGGTTCTGAAGACAGAGGAATGGGCCATGAGCCAAGGAATGCAGGTGACCCCTAGAAACCAGAAAAGGCAAGAACAGGGATTTTCCCCTGAAGCCTCTGGAAGGAGCTCAGCTCTGCCAACACCTTGACCTGAGCCCAGTGAGAGCTTCTGGACTTCTGGCCTGCACAACTGCAAGATAATAAATTGTGTTGTTTTAAACCCCTCTGTTTGCTGAAATTTGTTATAGTGGCAATGGAGACAAATCCCCTTGCAGACAGCGATAAGGGCTATGAAGAAAAAACAGGAGTGCTATAAGGAGCGGCTATGGGACAGGGCATGATATTAGATGGGAAGACCTGGGAAAAGGCCTTGGAGGAATCCTGTTGGCCAGTCAGCCACATAGTGACCTGAGGGACGGAGTCCCAAGCACAAGGCAGGGCAGGTGCCAAGACCCTGGGGCAGGAAGGAGTTTAGTGTCATAAGAGTAAGTATCTCCCCAGCACCTTCGTCAGGGGAGAAAGCAGTTCTATTGTCTGGTTTCCCAAGCAGCCAGTGGTATCTTTCTTGTAGACTTCCAAGTTACTTCTTTTTTTTTTTTTTTTCTTTGAGACGGAATTTTGCTCTTGTCACCCAGGCCAGAGTGTTGTGGCGCGATCTCAGCTCACTACAGCCTCTGCCTCCCAGGTTACAGCAATTCTTCTTCCCTCAGCCTCCTGGGTAGCTGGGATTACAGGTGTGCACCATCACACCCGGCTATTTTTGTATTTTTAGTAGAGATGGGGTTTTGCCATGTTGGCCAGGCTGGTCTCGAACTCCTGACCTCAGGTGATCCACCTGCCTTGGCCTCCCAAAGTGCTGGGATTACAGGCATGAGCCACCGTGCCCGACCCCAAGTGACTTTGAATCTGCTTGTTGGAATGTCCGTTTTCTCTCTTTAAAGGCTGGGACTATGTTCTCATGTTCTGTCCTTGTGTCTGTGTGAGGGCGCTGAGAACTCTTTTTAGGGTCTTCATAGCATATATTTGTGAGATGTTTGGATTTTGGAAAACACATTTCTCCATTTCAAGATTTCAGATCCTTTTTCCTGCCAGTCATGAAGGGCATAAATATGGGGGGGAGATGGGTTGGGCATCCTGATGGCCACCAGCCTGGCAGGGTCTCTTGACTCAGACAAGCCAGGAAGAGCAGAAATGAAAGAAGTACTCTTCCATGGCGAATCTCTTTATAAAAATCACTAACTGCTCATGTATGGATTAATTCAATATTTGAGAGAGAAATTTGGATTTTCCTCTCCTGGGGTTGCTCAAAATGAAATACAGTCTGCTAAGAACAGGGCAGACTAAAGTTAACCTCAAAGGTTTTGTGGGCACTGAGTGGTCAATAGAAGCCTCTTCTCAAGCCAGGTCCAGCTGGGCCTTTCATTCAGGGGATGGCGACGCATCCTCTGTCCTGTGCCCAAGGGCAGACACTCGGGCGACTGAGACCCTTGTTCTCAAGGCCTCCACAGCTCACTGGGGGAGACAGACACCGGGTCGCCTACCACCCCACAATGCGAGGATGTGGACGCTGGGCGGGGGGATTGTTTGGAAGCACAGAAGAGGGACTGGGCGCCTCTCAGAGGGTTCTTTGGAAGGCATGGCTGGGCCATTCATTTCCTCCCACTTGAGGGGAGCTCCTTGCACTGTAGAAGTTTCCTGAGACGCTTCTCCCTCAAGATGTAAAAATCTGGGGTTCAGAGTCTAATCTTGAAAATTGCTTGTCATTGGTCTCTAGACCGAACATCCTATGAAGGAGGGACTTTGAGGGTGGCTGTTGTTCAGTTCCCAATTAATATTCACTGAATAAATGAATGAGCTGCCGGGAATCTCTAAGCTGTCATTCTGACCCTCAAGGAATATAGTCAGGACATACGGCTATAACGCTCACTGGACTTGGCTTAAAAGTAGAGTCATCTTGGGTCTCATTCAGGAAGGATCATGACTCAAATACTGCAAAGCCCTTAGCTGGTTCCATACATAGCTGGGGAACCTCCAGTGGTTGGAGAAACAAAGGCCAGTAGCCTTTGTGTGAAGCTCACCCTCCAGCCCAGCGCCCCAGGCTGCAGGGCACAGAGCCACAGCATGGCTCCAATGACATCCCTCTTCTGTCACAAGTTTTATGAAACAGGCAAACAGTGTTATCTCATCTGAGCCTTTGTTTCCTTGAATTTAAAAATGGGAATAGTGATCATAGCAACAATAGTAGTAAACCCTTCCCCAGGATTAAAGAACACGGATGAAGTGCCTAGCTCCTGACAGGGGCTCAACAAAAGGCAACCAGGCCAGAAAGGGATGACAAGATAGGCCCCAGGTGGGAGTTGTGGGGCCTCCCGCTGGTCCCTCCCGTGTCCTCAAGGCTCTCTCTTGTCACCTGGTTGGGACCCCAGGCATCCACCCTCGCCCTCACCCCGCCTCTGTCTTCCTCAGTTATCCAAAGCAGCAGTGACGTATGCCCAGTGAGCAGGCACAGGACAACCCCTGACCCTTAAGGAATATAGTCGGGACATACGGCTGTAATGCTGTTACAGTTCTCAGTTCTCAGAGGATCCCAAGGCAGACAGGGTCTAGGGTCCCTACTTGGTGCCTCTGTCCTCCATGACCCTCGCGCCTGGGCCCCGATCGGGCAGTCAGGATTTCCAGGCACTTGTCCTCCTCTCCAAGGCCCCTTTGGATGGCCTTGCTGTCAATCCCAGGACACCTGAGTTTTTTGTGTCCCAAAGTCTCAGCCCTTTCTCCTTCCCCTGTGCCTGGTGTCCCCAGCTCTTGGCCAGTCATGGGCCGGGGCCTCTGCCCGGTGACCCCATGTTGGTGTCAGCGAGCTGACTGGCCTCTGTGCGTCCTCGCCATTTTAAAACAGTCATCCATGGAGTCACGTGTCAGACATGAGCTGCATGTTTACATAAACCATCTCTTTTAGTCCTCAAAATCTCCACAGGAGAGAAGTACTGCTGGCCTCCCACTGTTTCTGAGGAGGAAACAGAAGCTTGAGAGAAGAAACTGCTTCCCCGAGGGAACTAGGACATTACACCACCCTGAAGACCCGAGGAAGAGCCTTCTCTGGAAATGTGGCTGCTGGAACTTGTCTCGGGACATCTCGGGAAGCATCGGCAGCCTCACGTGGACGTCAAAAGGCAAGGCCTTTATGACCCAGGAGTGAAAATCCCAGGAAGAGGAGAAAGATGAACAGACAACAGGGCCAGTGAAACATGAAGATCAGCCAGGCAAGGCAGGCTTGCAACAAAATGAGAACCTTGGCGGGGCTGGTGGCTCATGCCTGTAATCCCAGCACTTTGGGAGGCTGAGGCGGGCAGATCACAAGGTCAGAAGTTTGAGACCAGCCTGGCCAACATGATGAAACTCCGTCTCTACTAAAAATACAAAAAATTAGTCGGGGGTGGTGGTGCATGGCTGTAATCCCAGCTACTTGGAAGGCTGAGGCAGGAGAATCGCTTGAATCCAGGAGGCAGAGTTTGCAGTGAGCCGAGATCTTGCCATTGCACTCCAGCATGGGGGCTAGAGCGAGACACTGTCTCAAGAAAAAAAAAATGAGGAGCTCAATTCAATGCTGAAATGAGGATCCACTTTGGAGGGAGCTACAGCAGAACTGAGTCCAGAAAAGAGAACCCGTCTCGAATGCAGAGGAAGTTGACCAAGGCATGAAAAGCAAGTCAATAGATAACGGCGGATCCTGTGGAGGACAAATTTAAGATTGATGACTACAGCAAGGGTGAGATAAATCATAATTTTAAGTGAAACCTGTAGCACTTTCTATCTTCTTAATGGTGGCAGAAGAGTTAATTCATTCAATAAGTATTTATCAAGCACTCACTACATGCTAGGAATAGTTCTAGTATAGATGATAAATAAGTCAATATAAAAATGTATATTTTCAAATACCTCAGGGCTGGGCATGGTGGCTCACACCTGTAATCCCAGCACTTTGGGAGGCTGAGGCGGGCAGATCACAAGGTCAAGAGGTCGAGACCATCCTGGGCAACATGGTGAAACCCTGTCTCTACTAAAAACACAAAAATTAGCTGGGTGTGGTGGCATGTGCCTGTAGTCCCAGCTACTCGGGAGGCTGAGGCAGGAGAATCACTTCAACCCGGGAGGCAGGGGTTGCAGTGAGCTGAGCCGAGATTGTGCCACTGCACTCCAGCCTGGTGACAGAGTGAGACTCCGTCTCAAAAAAATAAATAAATAAATAAATATAATATAAAATCAGGTAGTCACAAGTGCCACAAAGAAAAGAAAGGAGGGTAAGGGGTTAAAGAGCAACAGGTGAAGGGTGGGGTGACTATTTTTCTGGGGTGATCAAGTGAGGCCTCTCAGAAAGACTTTCTTCTATTTGGCAAACCCGAAGTGGCCTCTTGCAAATCTGACAGACACAATTAGACCCGGAAGCTGATCTCGAAGGGCAAAGTCAAGATGAGAAGCGAAACCATCCTGCAATAAGCAAGAAATCATGCCTCCCCAGTGCACAGACATTGTTAAAATACTGATTGATTTTTGTGCTTTTTCTGGTCAGGGTTAGAGAAAGAGATGTTGAGCCCAAGGATGTCTGACAGGAACATAAGTCATTAGGAATGTCTGGGACAGGGCTGGAGCAGGTCCCAGAAACACGACACAGGCTAAGGAGAAGGAAGACCCAGAGACTGTGTTGTCAGACCGTGGCTCATGGGCATTTGGTGCAGTGAAACTCGATATTCAATTTGAAATTTTCACTTTTCTGCTTTGAAATTCCCCTGGGATAGTTTAAACCTTTGTAAGTTAGGACACTTTTAGCTGTTAGAAAACCCTAACTCAACTAACTTGAGCAAAAAGAAATTAATTAACTCACAAAACAGAAAATCTAGAGGAGGGCAGATCCCAGGTTGCTTCATTCTGTTCAGCAAATTCAAGGGCATCATCCAGGACCCAGGTTCACTTCTCCTTTCCGTGTGTTGGCCTCACTCGCCAGCTACCTCTCCTCATGGTTACAAGGCAGCAGCAGAGACCCAGCTATCACATCCTATGGCAGCTTCCAAAGGTAGGAAAGAGGCTATCTTGGCTGGGTGCGGTGGCTCACACCTGTAATCCCAGCACTTTGGGAGGCCAAGGCGAGCAGATTACCTGAGGTCAGGAGTTCGAGACCAGCCTGACCAACATAGTGAAGTCCCATCTCTTCTAAAAATACAAAAATTAGCCCGGCATGGTGGCAGGTGCCTGTAATCCCAGCTACTTGGGAGGCTGAGGCAGGAGAATCACTTGAACCCAGGAGGCGGAGGTTGTGGTGAGCCGAGATCATGCCATTGCCCTCCACCCTGGGCAACAAGAGCGAAACTCTGTCTCAAAAAGGAAAGAAAGAAAGAAAGAAAGAAAGAAAGAAAGAAAGAAAGAAAGAAAGAAAGAAAGAAAGAAAGAAAGAGGCTATCTTATCCCTATGTCTGTTTTTAAGACAAACAGACCTTTACTAGAAGCCCACAAAGCCCTTCTCTTCACATCTCATTGGTTACACTTGCATCCCATTCCCCAGTCTAAACTTATCGGCTACATGGTGCATGTTGATGTTAGTTCTAGACCGCTTTGGGTAACAAAGACAGGAAACAGGCCCATGATCTGGGGCAAGGTGAACCAGAAGGCTCTGGAACATGGAGAAACAAGGACAAAATGGCTAGTGGGGATGGGGAGAAAATAAAGACAGTCATTTGGAGGTAGAGATGACAAATGGCATGGATACTCTTTCCAGAATTCTCTGACAGACTGGGGAAGGGATTAGGGATCTTGCAGCCACACAAGAGGGAGGGGCTGCTCAGTCACAAAGGCATGTGTACCCCAGGGGGCTAGAAAACGGGGGGAGGCTTGGCTTTCTCAGGGGATTAGAAGAAAGATGCCAGAAGAGCTGGAATAAAAACTTACTCAAAGACCTAACAGAAGAAAGGTCTTTTGTGTCAAAGAACAGAGTTTGCAAAGTGAACAAGCCGAACACATTGCAGGTACTATCAATGAAAGGAAAATGACAACACTGGAAAAGAATTCCCACCGGCTTCAAAGTAGAAAAAAAGAAAAAAATGGGTCGCCTCTATAGGAACCAGCACAAGTTTGGCCTTGGATTTTGTACTCGGAACTATTCATAACGCTACATTCTTTTTTTTTTTTTTCTTTGAGACAGTCTTGCTCTGTCACCCAGCTGGAGTGCAGTGGTGAGACCTCAGCTCGCTGCAGCCTCTGCCTCTCAGGTTCAAGCGATCCTCCCACCTCAGCCTCCGGAGTAGCTGTGACTACGGGCATGCACCACCACACCCGACTAAGTTTTGCATTTTTAGTAGAGACGGGGTTTCACCATGTTGCCCAGGCTAGTCCCAAACTCCTGACCTCAGGTGATCCACCTGCCTCAGCCTCCCAAAGTGCTGGGATTACAGGAGTGAGCCACTGCACCCAGCCTGTAACACTACATTCTTGAAGGTAGTGCTGTACCTTTTACAGGATTTTGAGCGAACAGTTGGTTCCAAGAATTTTATATCTATCAAATTACTCTTGAATGTGTAGACAACTAAAGATGTTTTGAGATATTCAGAGGCTTGGAAAATAGATCTGTCCATATTCTGCAGTAGACAGAAAAACCAATTCAAAATGCAGGCTTCTAGAAGGTGAGTGTCAGAGCATAAAGGAACCCCTCCACCAGCACGGACCCCCTTGGGGCCCATTGTCCTTGGCATGGCTGTGGAGCCCACACAGGGCAGCCCTGGCCGTGCTAGGCTTCTATGCCCTGAACCTTTTCTGTGCCCCTTGTTGTGCAACTTCAGGAAGTGTGTTAGAGCCACATCCTTTGCCCGGCGGCTCAGACGGAATCTTTACTTCACTCAGTGACCACTCAGAACAATAACAGCTGCCACTCGCTTCCTGAGCTTAATAACAATGGCTCAACCGTTCACCTCCCGGATGCTTGTGACGGAACAGCTTTTAGAAAGTTGTTTTGTTTTCCCTCTCCAAAAGCCATGTCGCCCGGAGATACGTGACAGCCACCGTCAGGGACCAGGGACTTGAGTCACAAGTGTCTCTTCTTTAGAACTCACCGGAATGGCTCAGACCACTGGATTTTTTCTTCCAAATCGGGAAAGAATAATGAAAGGGTCTATGAGATAGATATTTTCTAACTCTTCATCTAAACTTGCATGAAAACCTGGGAGTGTGGCTGGGCATGGTGGCTCACGCCTGTAATCCCAACACTTTGGGAGGCTGAGGCGGGTGGATCACTTGAGCCCAGGCGTTTGAGACCAGCCTGGGCAACATAGTGAAACCCTATCTCTACAGAAAAATACAAAATTTAGCTGGGCATAGTGGTGCACACCTGTAATCTCAGCTACTCAGGAGACTGAGGTGGGAGAATTGCTTGAGCCTGGGAGCAGAGGTTGCAGTGAGCCGAGGTCGCGCCACTGCACTCCAGCCTGGTCTACAGAACAAGACCCTGTCTCAAAAACAAAACAAAACAAAACAGAAAAACACCTGGGGGTGCTCCCATCTTGACTGAAACAATCAATATCCTAGATACAATCTCAACCTCAAGAAAAGACAGGAAGTTCACAGAGAACATTGATGTGATAGGGGATTATGGGTAGTTCTAATTTTCTGCTTTATTCCTCTCGGTGGGAAGGATGTTAGAAAGGACGCAAGGGCCAAAAGGTTGTAGGGTGGAGCCGAAGGGCCTCTTTTGCTTCAACTGTGGCCCTAGGTTTGAGACAGCCATTTATGCGACACGTCTGAGGCCACTCCAGGCCTCCCTGGCCACCCTGGAGCTGGCCCATGAGGGCGGCTTGCAGGACCTCAGACTCTTCCTTACTTTCCCAAAGAGGGGCCATTTCAAAGGCAGCAGCAGCCTCCCAGCTCAGTCTGCAGCGAGCAGCTCAAGATAGGCACCGCTTCTCTTAGGGGAGAGTCACTTCCCTTTCCAAGTCAAGAAAGGAGTTTTGGCTTTACAAGAAACCCACTCTCTTGGTGTGGGACAGTCAGGCCTGCGGGGCTGAGCCGTTCTGCCTTCGTCTGGCCTCACACAGGGCTCAGAGCACTGCCCCAACCCTCCCCCAACCAGGAAAAGCAGTGCAAGCTGAGTCCAGAAGGTTCTCAGGGTTTGAGTGGCACAGCAGCTGTTGAACAACTGCTTAACAGTTCCAGAGCGTACTCAGGTCCCTGAAGACATGAAGCCCATAGCCCAAAGAGCAGAGCTGAGGGAGATGGAGTTCCAAAATTTACCCCTCCTTCCCCACCACTCCCAGCACTGCCTAGAATGCTCTAAAGCACCTCCAGCTCCCTGCTGTCTCCACCCTCCTCCCCAGCAGCTTCCTTGTGCTGGGAGGTATGTGTGTGATCTCTACTTTCCAGCAGTTTCTTGGCAGTCCTTGCCCAAGGCCACATCGCTGACCAAATTGGACTTGAACCCAGATCCCAGCCGGGAATGGAGTCTGCTTTCATTCTAGGGGCACCTCACTGATTTACCACAAGGGACAGATGCCACCTGGGATCAAATATTATCTATAACCATGTGAAGGGCAAGAGGCCAAGCTCTCTGAGAGGCCACATTGCCCTGTCTCCCTGTCCCTCTGGGCAGAGTCCTGGGCTCATCCTTCCCCAGGGGACTCCAGACAGGCTTGGAAACACCTTCTGGATTGGAAGGAAGAAAGCTTAGCCGGGGAGGCCGGGAGGCCTGGCTGTGAGTTCCAACTTCCGCAGTTCTCAGCAACACTCATATTTAGAACGAGGGGGTTGGATGAAGTTACAGTTTGCATCCTGCCCTCCCATCTCGGATTTTTTTTAAGTCTGTGAAAGATGGAGTGAGAGAAAAGAGTCCCCCAGGTGAGGCAGCTCCTCTCCCTGATTGATACAGGGCTGTCATGGGCTATGACACGTGGGCCAACTCCATGAAGTTGGTCTGCAAAGAACAAAGATGAGATCTTTGGTGTTGACAAGAGAACAGAAGTCCCCAGGAAAAGAGCTAAAGTTACTAAACTAAGAAACAATGAAAGCCTTTCGGTGCTTCACTTGGCAAAATTTCAGGCCAGATTCTTATTTTGGGGAGCCTCGTATTCTGGTGGCACTGAACAGGCTCAGGTGTCAGGAATGAGTTATTTAGAAACTGTGGCTAAGCTCAGAAAAGACTGTGAGGTTTTGCCTCAACATGAAAAGAGGAACTTGAGTTAAAATAGGCAGAGATCAATAACTGCTAAAGCTTCCCCGAAGGGCTCTGAGTCTGCTTAATTGGGCATGAGTGTGCACTTGGTCCTCAGTGGACGTCTGCTGTCATTTACTCTTGGAGGTAGATTTTCGAAGGTGAGTCCACCTGGGAGAATCCTATGAGAATTCCCCTTTAATTCACCTTGAAGGAAAACCTCTTCAGACCACCTAGGTCCACAGCTCCCTGTACCATGTCAGCTACTGCGGAGGTCACAGATCTAGTGCCGGGGTCAGGAGCAGAGAAGTCCAGCAGAGCCGCCCATCTTCTCTGAAAGCTGCCCGCCCACTGTCCTGGCTAAGCGGAGACCTTAAGGAGGCACGCTGCCCCCACGACTCTGTCCCCATCTCTGAGAGGCAGAGGGGGGTACCTGCTCCAAGACAGCCGATTCATACACAGACTGGCAGCCCCTGAGTGGCTCATGCGGAGAAAGCCGTGGAGGCTGAGCCATCAGACTCCTTCTTAGGACTGGGGACTGAGAAGGGAGGCTGCTGGCTGGGAAGAGCGGCCCCACAGAGAAGAGCTGATCCATGGGAGAAGCTGCGTGCAGACCCCATGCTCTTCTGGTTCCAAGGCCCTAGGGCGGCCTTCTCCTTCCTGGCTCTGCACATCTCCACAAAGGCTGCCCACCCCTTACCCCTTACAGAGTCAGCCAAGGCGAGTTTCTGTTCCCTGCACCACCACCACCCCCTGCCCAGTAGCCTGATGAGGCCCCGGATTTCATCAGCAGTTCCCAGGGTCACAAGATGTCACAGTAGCAAGAGTATGATGGTGACAGAGAGGGGCAAACCGGAGACGCAGTCTACACATTTACAGGCGGCGGGTGCCGACTCTACTAGAAGCCACAGAGTCATGTCTTTTCCAGTCATACTTAAAGTTTTCTTCACTTTGAAGGAAGAGAAGAAACCACAAAGGGAAAAAAGATCAAAAGCATCGACCAACTTTTAACTTAAGAGAGTTTGCCGACTCCTCTCAGCAAACCACCTATCACAGATGCCAACTCTGCCAGAAAAGCTCATGCCCTCCTAGACTTGAAAAAAATGGTAGAGGTCATTGAGGCCAACTGCCTGCCCCAGACAGGGCTCCCCTCCGCTGCTCACATCCCACACATGGTGAAGAGCCCCTGTCAGAGACAGACATTCCCATGGCAAATAGCTGCCAAGCGCTGGAAAGGACCTTCTCGTACTAGGTGTGCCAACATCTGCTCCTGGTGACTGCTAAGAACCAGGCCAAACCTGCGGGCGCCCTAGGCCAGTGGAAAGCCTTCAGCAGATGTGCCTTAGAGGCTGCAGTGGACTCAGGGGCAGGAGGATGAGGCAGCCGGCAGCAATGCCAGCCTAACTACGCAGGGAGTGGTTCTGCTTGAGCCTAAACTCGCATCTCCTAAGGAGGCCTCGCAGCAAATGCCCCTGGACCGGGCTGCATCACACATGCCCCTTGGGCCTCTCTCAATCACATCGCTCCTCGAAGCAATTCCTTCCATCCTCATAAGCTGTCTTCCTGAGGGGCGTTCTGCTCACCACGCTCTCCCTCTTGACAACTTCTGGAGGATTTTTGCCTCCAGGGACTTGCCTGTGGTCTCCCCACACCTTGAGTCCAGCTCCCTGTCTACTACTGCATCCTAGTTAGCACAAAATGAATCATTCCCTTCAAGCTTTGAAACTGAAGAGTGTACCCTGCCTCTCCCCTCCCACTTCCACTTTCTTTTCAAACAAACTCCTCCAACGCCGTCATTGCTCTTCCATGACATGATATCCAAACCTTTGTCGACCCCGGCTACTCTGCTTGGGACGTGGATGCACTGCTGTGCCTCTTACTCTAGTCCCTGAGAACTGAGCATCTCTCTCTCTCTCTCTCTGTCACGTGCACACACACACACACACACACACACCCGGGATGTGGAAACTTTGTCTCCTTCCTTCTTGCCACCTCCATGTGCTCTTCATGTAGCCAGATAACAATAGCTTTCCTGGCTTCCACACACTCAGTTGTCACATTTTGTGGCGAAACAAAGGCTTTAGTAAACCGTGCTTAGGGTGGCCTTCCCGGGCTTGGACGGGTGCAGCTGATTTTTGTTTTTAAATTTAACTGCAGCCTGGCGGGGTGGCTCATGCCTATAATCCCAGAACTTTGGGAGGCCGAGGTGGGCAGATCATTCGCTGTCAGGAGTTTAAGACCAGCCTGGCCAACATGGAGAAACCCCATCTGTACCAAAAATACAAAAATCAGCCGGGCATGGTGGCGGGCACCTATAATCCCAGCTACTAGGGAGACTGAGGCAGGGGAATCACTTGAACCTGGGAGGTGGAGGTTGCAGGGAGCCGACATGGCGCCACTGCACTCCAGCCTGGGTGACAAGAGTGAAACTCTGTCTCAAAAATAAAAAATATTAAAAAATGAACTGCAAGTTTTGCACATTTTGACTTTGCTTGGTGAAATCAGATGCAGTGAGCACCAGCCTCGGACAGAACAGAGTTCTACAAATGGAAAGGCACTGTTTTGTGCTAGTCTCGCAGCCCCTCAGAAAACACGGTCTGTTCTCCTGTAAGTTCACCTCCCTTCTCTCCCTCCTGAGCCACTTCCTCTCTCTCCTTTGAGAGACTGAAGACAACAGTCGGCCAAGCCACAGCCCCTCCTTTCCCTTCATCTCTGGACAGTCTGCTTCACCTTCGTTTCCTCTTCACACCTATGGACCACAAATAGCCTGTGGCATGCAACTCCGTCATGTCACAGAGCAGGGTCACTTGGAGGGCCCCAGTTTACCAGCTAAGCCACCCCATGGACACCTGGGAGGAAGCCAGGCTCAGCCAGGCCTTCACGTCCGGCTACCTGCGCGTGCACTTCCTTCCTCATCGTTTACACCCTTTCTCTGCCAGTATCGGCTGAAGTCAGGTTCAGATTTCTAGGTTTATAAAGGACTCACCTGAACAGTGAATTTATCATCTTCATTGGGCAGAATTCTGTAAGTGTAAACGCAATTCCGATACCTGAAATAGATCAAAGACTTTATTAGAACCCATGCAGGAAGACCCGGTTTCCTCTTAACTGAAAAGACAAGACTTCCTGACACAGCTTGAGGAATCTGGACACAAAGTCTCCGAATTTCGGAGCTGACCGTTCTCTTAAGATGGAGGTGAGTCCTGACGTCCAGCAATCGTGGGCTGAGGCACTCTTATTCCCCCACTGCTTCTGCACTCAGGGAGCACCAGGAAAAGGTTGGGGGGGGTCATTTAGGTGGGGACCCGGCAGCTAAAGGATCTGATCTAAAGGAGTCTGCCACATGGAGGGGCTTTCTTAACCTCTCGGCTGCCAAGAAGATAGAGCAAGAGTGGGTGCTTGCAGGCCAGGCACGGTGGCTCACGCCTGTAATCCCAGCACTTTGGGAGGCTGAGATGGGTGGATCACAAGGTCAAGAGATTGAGACCATCCTGGCCAACATGGTGAAATCCCATCTCTACTAAAAATACAAAAATTAGCTGGGCGTGGTGGCGCACACCTGTAGTCCCAGCTACTTGGGAGGCTGAGGCAAAAGAATCACTTGAACCCAGGAGGCGGAGGTTGCAGTGAGCCGAGAATGTGCCACTTCACTCCAGCCTGGCGACAGAGTGAGACTCCGTCTCAAAACAAAACAAAACAAAACAAAAAAACAACAAAAAAGAGGGGGTGTTTGAAGAAGAAACACGACTCCAGTGGGCCCAAGCAGAGCGGCCCATGGTGAATGGAAAGCCAGGCCCAGCCACAGAGGGGCCACCTGTCAGGGGCAGGGATCACTCAGCACCTCGTTCCCGCTGAGCTCCCTGCCACCCCCAAATGGCTTCATCCTCTTGGACACTATGCCCCGTGGATTATCTCCCAGGGGTTGGCCACCAGCCTTGCCGAGACCTGGATTTGCCCCAGCAGCTGGAGAGCAAGTCTTGGGGTTGTTTCTAACAAGAAGGTCCTAGGAATCCCAGATTCTCTTCTCTTTCTAGAAGCTCTACCTTCCTTTGGCACAGTCATCTCTAATGTGAGGAGGAGAAGGTACTTTTCACTTTCCTAAAACCTGTGAGAGGAAAAGGGGGCTGTCAAGTGCTAGCACCTTGGGAGAGGGGCACACTGCGGTGGCCCTCAGCCTGCTGAAACCCTGGCAGCAGCTAACACCCATGGAATCCATCGGCTGCTGAGGCCAGAAGGCTGTCAGGAGATCGAGGGAAAGCTATTTGGATCTTAGGCTCTTACTTAAAGCTGCTGGTCTGTTCTCACCCACCATAATCTTGCCCCATTTTGCTACTTAAGATTCTCCTGAGCCCGGAAGGCTCACCTGGCCCGTAGAGCCCTGTAGACAGGACCAGCCTCTGTAATGAAGCCAGTGCCTCAGTGTAGAAGCTCCACACACTCACCCCCTCAGGTACAGGCACTCCACTGAGCATTTACATATGTTATTGGTATGTTTTGTTTAACTAGATTTTTTTTTTTTTTTTTTGAGACGGAGTCTCACTCTGTCACTCAGGCTGGAGTGCAGTGGCACGATCTCGGCTCACTGCAACCTCTGCCTCCCAGGTTCAAGCAATTCTCCTGCCTCAGCCTCTCAAGTAACTGGGATTACAAGCTCCTGCCATCACACTTGGCTAATTTTTGTATTTTTAGTAGAGAGAGTTTTTTTTTTTTTTTTTTTTTTTTTGAGACAGAGTTTTGCTCTTGTTGCCCAGGCTGGAGTGCAATGGCACGCAATCTTGGCTCACCGCAAACTCTGCCTCCCAGGTTCAAGCAATTATCCTGCCTCAGCCTCTCAAGTAGCTGGGATTACAGGCATGTGCCACCACACCCAGCTAATTTTGTATTTTTAGTAGAGATGGGGTTTCTCCATATTGGTCAGGCTGGTCTCGACTCCTGACCTCAGGTGATCCACCCACCTCGGCCTCCCAAAGTGCTGGGATTACAGGCATGAGCCACTGCACTTGACCCTGTTTAACTAGATTTTTTAAAATATATACTAACTTTAAAAAATGAAATCCATACAGAAAGATATAAAATAAAAAATAAACATCTCCTTCCCCACTCCCATGAGCCCCTCTTCTTAGATTTCCTATTCCTGTTTGTAAGTAAGTTCAGAAATTTTAAACATACCCACAAGATTATATATGCATATCTTTTTAGATGCCAATAATATCATACTATGTATACCGTTTTCTGAAATTTGTTTTTTTCACCAAAAAAGATCATAGAGGTCTTCTCAAGCCAAGTGAGAGATGGTTTATTACTATTTTCATCATGTTTCACCATGTGCTGTACACGTGTTGACGTTTATTAGTGATTGTAGGTAAATCACTAGAAGGTGACAGCTGGCTAAATGACCTGGAGATTTGCTATTTTGATAGAGACTACCAACTGTACCAACTGTCTTCCAATGAAGTTGTGGCCTTTTTTTTCTCCTACTAACCGGATATGAATGTGTCTATTTCCCCACACCCTGCCAACTGGCTGTTATCAGACCTTTTAATCTTTGCAAATCTGAGAGGTGAGAATGATAACTTGCTTTAATTTGCCTTTCTTTATGAGAAAAGTCCTTCAGCATGTTCCCATGTTTAGTTATCTGTATTTCTTTTTCTGTGAATTCCCTTTTGTGTCTTTGACTCGCTTATTTTGGTATCATTTTTTGCTTAGTTATGAATAAGACTCTGATATATGCTACAATATATTTTGGAGTTATTTTTAACAGGTTGTTTTTAAAGCTGTGTAGATGTTTTACAATTTTATGTGGCTAATTTTACAATATTTTATTTTATGGCTTTTGCATCATGGGTACTTAAAAAGAATTTTGAGTAATTTCACTTCCACATGTCTCTTCACTTCACATAGAAAAGGTGATTTTTCTGTCTTTCTTCCATGGCTTTAGTCCCCATCCTTCTGCTCCCTGTCCTACCTCCAGAGCCTGAATTGATACAATCGTCTTGCATCAGAGATAGCAAGGATGAATCTCTAGTCCAGTGACACTACATCTCCCAGGGACACCTCTGGGACACAGAGAACCACTGGCCTCAATCCCCTTTGCAGAGCCTGCCAGACAAATGTGGAGATAGCTCAACTCTGCTGTGCTCTTATTTTTCAATGCTCTCTTCCCTTGGCACTTCCTCCTGTAGGTATGCAAATGAGGTGAGGGGTGAGAACAGCCTCTTATTTGGCTGAGGGCAGCTGACTTGTGGAAGAGCTCCAGCCAGCCCAAACATCAGCCTGTAGACAGAGAGAAAGAACATAATCACGAAGGGAGAGTCAGAGGCAGGCGCACAGAACAGGAAAGGCTTTTTGGTTCAATCAAGTGTGGCAGACAAACCTTTATGGCTTTTTCAAAGATGTTCTAGAAACACTGAAACAAAGAAACAGCTCCATGTTACCAAAACAGATCAGAATTCAAAAGCTAGTATAACAGGAAGAAGATACTTCCCCCTTAGACAGTAACATCTCAGCAGATGTTAATGACCCTGCATAGCCAATGCACAGGGCTGGACATTCTGACCCCCAGGGCTGAATCAGTTTCAACCTTCAAGGGAAAACATACAGCACCACCCCACACACACCCCATCAGCCCCGCCACACACAAGTCGTTGGGTGAGCAGTAGTACCAAACTGTATTCCACGGGTGTGGAGGCTCTGCCAAGCGGTGGAGGAAGGTGCTCACTTGGCCTGCCACCCCACCAGCAGTTTGTACTTCACTCTGGTCCTATATACACACACACACACACACATATACATGTGCACACACAACATATGCATACATGTGTATACATGTAACATGCATGCATGCATGTGTGTATGTACACATGCACACACACACACACAATATCTTGCATGCAAAATGTTTAAAGCAAAGATTCTACAACTAAATAGTGTTTGGCAATTGCTGCCCTGGAACATAACCTGGAAAACATGCTCACTGCTCTTTAGGGGCAGTGGGTCCCGCCCAGCCCTTCCCCAGCTCTTTGTGGTGATTTGGTAACACCTTGTTACGCTAACACTGGCTCTCAGCTGAGACTCCTCCCAGTGACTGGATGACCTTTCAGAGTAATCAGATCAGGATTATTCCCATTGGAGATCTGGGTTAGGATAGCACTGGGCCCAACAGTACTTCCTTCTGCTAACAAATGAGATTTGTTCCATTCCCAAATGAAGGGGGGCTTACAGCAAATTTCCCATGTGACTCCCACAGGTGCTGGGTGATGACAGGTGCCCACCCTGTGCTGAGTGTGGAGGCAAAGAAGAGGCAGGAAGGTGCTTCTCAGTAGAAGAGCATTTCTGGACCAGGTCAACCCTGATGTAGTACGAGAAGTTCTACTCTAATATGGGAGGACAAGCCCGTGGAAGTAGGAAGAAACATCATCGTGTTTGATTCTTTCAGATAAATCTTAGCATTTCTGTGTGGCCATTCCTAGCCAAATGAACACTGACAGCCAGACCCAGGAACATCTTCACCATGGACAGACCCACAGAGAGACAGAGAATCCAACTATAAAATTCAAGAACCTCTTTGTGTTCCTATCTTGCTTTGCTGATCTGCTCCTGTAATTGCTTTTAAATCCTTTTGTGACTCTTGTTACGTATCATTTCTAATTTCTAATGTTTTTGTCTGTGTTTTTGCATTTTCTTAAGACTTGTGTTTCTGCAGATTTCTGGACAAGATGGGGTAGGAGAACGGGGGCTGGAAACCCTGCGTTCAAAAAAAAAACACAAAAAAAACTATTTGCACCAATGTAGAAGGACAAGAAAATGTGTGGCAACCTTGGGAAACAAACTGTTCACCATTCGCCACTCCAAACCTTGAAGAATCACAGCCAGAGAGAAAGCTAAAGTTGATGAATGAAAAGAGGCCATTTCTTGCTAACATGGACCCCTCCAGAAGGGAGAAAGCATTAACAGGTGGCTCAGCTGGCCAGGAGGTGAGAGATGGAGGTGAGGCTGGCCGAGTATTATTGGGAGCTGGCTGAGCACCCCCACAACAGCTTGAGGGTCCAGCGGGCTATTCCTCGTCTGACAGCTACTCAAAGACAAGACCCAGGTATGAGGCGCCCCCTCTCAACCCTTGGAGGGAGCCCATCCTCTGTGTGTCTCACCACACCCTCATCTCTGGCCCCACCACCGGCTGGATCTTGAATTGTCATCTCCCATCCAGTGCCAGTCGTTTTAACCCACTCCCATCTCTGAACAAATCTGATCCAATTGTTCTCGACAGTTCTTTGTCAGAAAAGAAAAATCACCTGACCTATGAAAACATGTCACCATCCAGAAAAGGGCATTTTCCTAAGGACTCCAGGGAGTTACTTCCATCTTAAATAGAATCACTGATAAAAATAAATTCTGGACAAGTCTGATTTGTGAACTCAGGAAGATTCGAGAGACCACTGCATATCAGAAATTGGAGGGATTGATTGTGAAAAATGAGCAAACTGAGATAAAGGAAACTGACCATTAGGGACAGCCGGGACGTTTAGAGTCAGAATTTAACACACGACAGAGGCAGGAAATAGCAGCTATGGATTGGAGAAAGTGAACGAGGAAAAAGACACACTCAAGAAAGTGGTACTAGAGGAAAAGACAAAGATTTAAAAAAGAGAGGGAAGAAGAGAAATACAGAAGCTGATCTCAGTCCTACAGATGCAACAGGGCTTCCTGAAAAGACAGAGATTTTTTTTTTTTTTTTTTTTTTTTTTGAGATTGAGTTTCGCTCTTGTCGCCCAGGCTGGAGTGCAATGGCTCGATCTCGGCTCACTGCAACCTCTGCCTCCCAGGTTCAAGCTGTTCTCCTGTCTCAGCCTCCGGAGTAGCTGGGATTACAGGCACCCGCCACCATGTTCGGCTAATGTTTGTACTTTTAGTAGAGATGGGGTTTCACCATGTTGGCCAGGCTGGTCTTGAACTCCTGACCTCAGGTGATCCGCCTGCTTCAGCCTCCCAAAGTGCTGGGATTACAGGCGTGAGCCACTGTGTCCGGTCCAGAGATCATTTTTTAGAATATAAAAACAAAAAGCAGAAGAGATTAACCAACCTAAGAGCCTGTCACTTGAAAAGTAGGAGATTAAATGGACAAACCTGTGACAAACAGAATCAAGGAAAGAAACAAATGCGAGTGAGCTGGACAGCCTCTCCCTGCCTCCCCTCCCCCAGCGAGACCCACTCTCTACCCTTTTCCACCTGCCCTGTGCAGCCAGCAAATCTCCGGGGGCTGCTTTACCCAGGTTTGGCTGAAGCGAGGCACCAGCAGGGTGAGTGAAGGGGGGATGGGCTGATTTGTTCCACTGACCCCACCCTGCCTGCTGCAGATTTGCAGGGACAGAACTCCACCTCTGGAGTCTCCTAGCTGCAGCCCTGCCAGGTTCTGGTGACACAGCTCTGGCCACTGCCTCTTCAGTTCAGGGGTGGGAATGGATCCTGAGGGTGCCAGCCACTGGCTGCCTTGCCATTCCTGTCTTTATCACTCCTGTTGAACATGCCATCTATTTCCTGCCAGGACCCTGGGCACCACAAACAGTTAGAAATGAGAAAATGAAGACAGCCACAATAAAAGAGAAAACTTACAGTTATACAAAACTATGCATGATTGTTTGCCAGAAATTTTGAAAATCTCAACAAATAGATTGTTCTCTGAAAATTACGTATAACTTAACAGAAGTGACATGGGAGGAAATAGAAAACAAGACCAATTCAACACTAAAGAATAAATTGAAGTAAATATTAAAGAATTATCTGTATAAATGGCATTGAGAAGAAGTGGCTTTACCAACTTTTTTTAAGTATTTCAAAAATCAGATAATAATTATGCTACATAAATGCCTCCAGAATATTTTGTAAAATATACATGACTTAAAACCATAACATAACCAAAATCAGGTAAATCAACCTCAACTATGAATACATATATAAAAACCCTAAATAAGTTTCAGAGTACAATAAAAAAGTATTGTATCAAGAATAGTTCATTGTAATCATGCAAAATGGTTTCACATATATAAACCAAATATAAATATATAAAATTATTTTACCAGTAAATGAAATAAGGGGTATAATATAATCATCACAATAGATATTAAAAAGGCATTTGATAAAAATTAAATACTCAGTCCTTCAGAACTCTTTCTAAAACTAGAAGAAGACTGCTTCTTCTTGGACATGACAAACAGCAACAATTACCTTTTATCAAGTGGTAACTAGGTGACAGAGGCTATCCCATGCCCTTCCCAGGTGGTCCATAGCGATTCTCACAGTATGTCTCCTTGAGGTGGATGTTTTCTTTTTCCAATATTCCCCACTGTAGTGTTTTAGAAATACTGGCCCATGCAATAAGTTATGAAATCTGAATAAGTGTCATAAGTATTTGGAAAGTACACCACAAAACAATGGTAATTTGTAGATGACACGAGAGTCAAACATGAGAGTCAAACAAGAAAATCCCAGAGAAGCAACCAAAAAACAATTTGAAATAATGAGGAGTGAGTAAAGTGACAGAATAAAAGATGGATTTATAAAATCTAAAACTTCCCTGTATGTTATCAGTTATAATGAAATGTAGGGGAAAATGTATTCACAATAGTAATAAGAGTATAAGATAATCAGAAGAAATTATAACAATAAATATGCAGGATCTATATGAAGAAAATTACAAAATTTAAAATAACAGGGACAACCATATTTGTTAAGACTGAATATTACCAAAATGTCAATTTATACCAGCTATATTATGGATTTTGTACAATTCCAATCAAAGTCCCAATAGTAGTTTTCTCCAACTTGGCAATATTATTAGCTGGTTCACCTGGAAGAATAGATATGAAAATCACCTAAAATAAAATATTTTATAAAATTAGGTGGTATAATTGTTATGATATTGGGGAAAGAAAAGCAGATATACATGGAACAGAGTACAAACACAAAGAAAGATATATGACTTAAAATATGATAAAAGAGGAACCCCAAAGGGTAAAGGAATGTTATTCAGTAAGAGGTTTTGGGAAAGATGATTAGCTGAGAAAAATACACATAAATCTTTTTTTTTTTCCTTTTTTTGAGGCAGAGACTCACTCTGTGGCCCAAGCTGGAGTGTAGAGAGGCACAATCTTGGCTCACTGCAACCTCTGCCTCCTGGGTTCTAACAATTCTCCCACCTCAGCCTCCCAGGTAGCTGGAACTATAGGCACACACCACCACGGCAAGCTAATTTTTATTTTTATTTTTTTTGTATCTTTAGTAGAGACAGGATTTCACTATGTTAGCCAGGATGGTCTTGATCTCCTGACCTCTGGTGATCCGGCCGCCTCGGCCTCCCAAAGTGCTGCAATTACAGGTGTGAGCCACTGTGCCCAGCCTAAATCTGTATCCTGCATCATTTGTTAAATTAATTCCAGAGAGATTAAATGGTTCAATGTAAAACAAACAAACAAAAACAAAAGTAAAAAACCCATAACTGCTTCATTTGTTTTTACCAAGTACTGTGCTAAAAACATGATACATATTTTCCATCCAATCTGCCCCACAACATTACCACATAGGTATTCTTAGCACTGGTTTTCGAAAGGGGAACCAGGGCCCAGTGGAATTAAATAAACTGCTGGATCCTGGCCGGGCGCGGTGGCTCACGCCTGTAATCCCAGCACTTTGGGAGGCCGAGGCGAGCGGACCACAAGGTCAGGAGTTTGAAAGCAGCCTGGCCAATATGGTGAGACCCCGTCTCTACTAAAAAATACAAAAATTAGCTGGGCATGGTGGCGGGAGCCTGTAATCCCAGCTACTCGGGAGACTGAGGCAGAAGAATCACTTGAACTGGGGAGGCAGAAGTTTGCAGTGAGCCAAGATCACACCATTGCACTCCAGCCTGGGTGACAGACAGAGACACCATCTCGAAAAAAAAAAAAAAACCTGCTGAATCCTTAGCCCAAGTCTATTAGCTCCAAAGTCTCTGTCATAACCCACCTGCCTTGTACAAGAAGAAACAAGTGAATTTCTGTGTGCAGAGGGATTCTCTGCATTGAAAAGCGAAGGGAGAAAAAAGGAAAAGACTGAGAGACTTCACTATATAAAAATTTACAGTCCCTGAATGTCAAAAAAAAATCATAAAACTTAAAGGAAAATCACAATGAAAATATTTGCAACAAGTGTGATATAAACTTGTGCAAGTAGATAACAGAAAAACTATAGCTTCGATAGAAAAATGGCAAAGAGAATTGAACAGACCATTCACGAAAGAGGGATTATGAGGGTCAATAACTCTATCAAATAAGCTCAACGTGACCACAATCAAATGCAAATCAAAATGAACATTCACCACCTTCACCTTGCAATGTATTGTGTTTTGAAATGAAAATATTCAGAATAGGAAGGTTAGAATGAGGCGGGCACTCTCTTGTACAGCTTACTGGTGCATATATGGAAAAAAATTTCTGGAAAGCAATGTATCATTCTGTATCAAGAGCCTTAAAAACATTCCTGTCCCTCGATCTAGTAATTCCACTCCTCGGAATCTATAACCAGACATGTTTATAACATTTCTGCAAAAGACCTTCATCAGTCATATTTATAACAACAAAATGCTGTTGATAACTTAAATATCTGATAATAGAAGAATCATTTCATGAAGTGTCGCACATCATGTAATAGAATCCTGTACATCCATTAAATATGATCATTAGGAAGAAAACCTAACTAAATGGGAAAATGCTAATGCTGCTAGAAATCTCAGACTAAAATTAAAATATGATATTTAGGAAGAAATTCTAACTAAATGGGAAAATGCTAATGCTGCTAGAAATCTCAGACTAAAATTATACATATACATGTAATACATGTATATACAAAATGGAAATTACATACATACAGGGAGGTAGAGAGAAGAAGAAGATACACCAGTGAATTAACAATGGTTATTCTAGTGTCTCAGTGATGGGGTGGTTACTTTTCTGCTTTTTGCTTTGTACTTTCTGTGCTTTGTATAAATACCATTTTTTAAAGTGACTCTAAAGAACAGGACATTGCTGTTTATCAGATCTATTTGTTTCTCCATTGCCACTGACAGCTGTGTGGTCCAGCAAGCCTCTCTGCTCCGGGGAGGTCCCAAATGATCTCTCGGGGACAGCCCTCCGTGGGGTTGTTTACAGTAAGTATTGAACCCAAACTGTTAGGGGCCTGCACTTGTTAATATCGTGTTTTCCTAATGAAAGGGGACAACAGGAGCCTGAAGTGAGCAGGGGAGAGAATCTGGTCCCCACGTGCTGCCGCACCTGTCAAGCCTGAGTACCCCCGTCATGGAACATGCTGTGCTCCTTCCATCGTCCTCAGCCCCAGGACTTCAGTACCCTCTGCACCCACCCCCTCAATTGGAGCCCAGTGGTCTTCAGATGCCTGCCTTTCTTCCTGATGTCATGTTCATTGCCCCTGGTTTCACTCTGTGTGCCTCTGTGCCCCCATCCCTTCCTCCTGCTGGCTTCCAGGCTCCCAGCCCTGTCCCCAGCAGCCTCCGTCACAGGGGCATCACTCAGTCCTCTTCCTGCTTCCATCTCTCTGAGTGCTTCCTCCAAGGAGGCCTCAAGTGACAACTCAGCATCCCCCAGAGGCCTCCAGGAAGTTTCCTAAGCAATCCTCTGCCCCCATTCTCTTCTCTCCTCTGTATGGAATGTTCTTCACAGATGGGTCCTGTACTCCTCTGCTTCTGAGATGTCACTAGTCACTTTTAGCTCATAAAGACTAATTGCCAGCACGATTTTTTTTTTTAGACGGATTCTAGCTCTGTCGCCCAGGCTGGAGTGCAATGGCACGATCTCGGCTCACTGCAACCTCCACCTCCTGGGTTCAAGCAATTCTCCTGCCTCAGCCTCCCAAGTAGCTGGGATTACAGGCACCCGCCACCATGCCCAGCTAAATTTTTCGTATTTTTAGTAGAGACAGGGTTTCACTGTGTTGGCCAGGCTGGTCTCAAACTCCTGACCTCATGATCCTCTTGCCTCAGCCTCCCAAAGTACTGGGATTACAGGTGTGAGCCACCACACCTGATCACCAGCATGATTTTTTTTTTTTTTTTTGAGACAGAGTTTCACTCTTGTTGCCCAGGCTGGAGTGCAAGGGTGCCATCTCGGCTCACCACAACCTCTGCCTCCCAAGTTCAAGCAATTCTGCTGCCTCAGCCTCTCGAGTAGCTGGGATTACAGGCATATGCCACCATCGCAGGCTAATTTTGTATTTTTAGTAAAGATGGGGTTTCTCCATGTTGGTCATGCTGGTCTTGAACTCCCGACCTCAGGTGATCCACCCACCTCGGCCTCCCAAAGTGCTGGGATTACAGGCATGAGCCACCTTGCCCAGCACCAGCATGATTTTTATGTGTGCAAAGCATTCGGTGGGTGCTTACCACATGCCTGGACTTGGGCTGTAAATGTCACTCACATCTTTCCATTTTGTCCTCTTGATAACCCAAGGAAACAAGGAAAAGACAAACAACCCTGTTTTCTAAATGTACAAAGGATCTGAATTGACTTTTCTCCAAATACAAATGGCCATTAACCATGAGAAAAGACGTTTGGCATCATTAGCCATTAGAGAAATGCAAATTAAAACCACAATAAGACATCACTTCACACCCACTAGGATGGCTATAATAAAAAAGATAATAACAAGTGCTGGTAGGGAAGTGGAGACATTGGAACCCTCAGATGTTGCTAGTAGGAATGCAAAATGGTGGATCCACCAAGGAAAACAGTTTAGCTGTTCCTCAAAGTGTTAGACTTAAATGACCCAGCAATTCTGCTCCTAGATATAGACCCAAGAATATTGAAAATATATGTTTGCACAAAACCTTGTATATGAATGTTCATCACAGCATTATTCATTATAGCCCAAAAGTGGAAACAACCCAAATGCCTGTCAACTGATGAATGGATAAACAAAATGTGGTTCTTTCAATACAGTGGCTCATTAGTCAGCCCTGGAGAGGAGTGATTCATGCCACAACACAGATGAAGCTTGACAGCATTGTGCTCAGTGAAAGAAGCTGGCCCCAAAGTCCACATGTTGTATGTTTCCAGTTATGAAACATCCGGAAAAGATAAATCCATAGACAAAAAGTCATTTAGTTGCTGCCAGGGTTTGGGTGGAGAGGGAATAGGGAGTGACTGCTGTGGGTACAGGGTTTCTTTTCTTTTCGAGGTATTGAGAATGTCCTGGAATCAGACAGTGGTGTTGGTTTCACAACATTGTGAATGCACTAAAAGCACGATAAAGAATTGTATACCAGGGCCAGGTGCAGTGGCTCACGCCTGTAATCCCAGCACTTTGGGAGGCCTAGGCGGGCAGATCACCTGAGGTCAGGAGTTCGGGACCAGCCTAGCCAACATGGTGAAACCTCGTCTCTACTAAAAATACAAAAATTAGCTGGGTGTGATGGGAGGCACCTGTAATCCCAGCTATTTGGGAAGCTGAGGCAGAGGATTGCTTGAATTCAGGAAGCGGAGGTTACAGTGAGCCAAGAACACACCATTGCATTCCAGCCTGGGCAACAGGGGTGAGATGAGACTCTGTCTCAAAAAGAAAAAAAAAAATTAGCCGGGCATGGTGGCATGCGCCTGTAATCCCAGCTACTCAGGAGCCTGAGGCAGGAGAATCACTTCAACCCGGGAGACAGAGGTTGCAGTGCGCCGAGATCATGCCACTGCACTCCAGCCTGGGCAACAGAGCAAGACTGTCTTGGAAAAAAAGAAAATTAAGAATTGTACACCATAGAAAGGGTGACTGTATGGAATATGAATTATACCTCAATTTGAAAAAATAACCCAACGAGTGGGCTTTGGCCTTGTCATCCTCATTCCACCTGTGAAGATGCTGGGTTGACACAGGAAGGTTAGCATTTTGCAAATGCAGCCCAGCAGAGCCAGCAGACCACAGAGCCTTGCTCCTCAGGAGTGCACAGCATGGCACGAATTATTGAGGGAAGAGCAGAGCTCCTCTCACTCTATGTCTGGGGTGGGGAGAAATGCCTGGCTGTGAGGACCACATGTCATCATGACGCAAGGGTTCATGTGCAGGGAGATGGCACCAATTGATTGAGAGGTGCTGATGTGAGGCTGCGTGCAGCGGCTCACACTTGTAATGCCAGCACTTCGGGAGGCCAAGGTGGGAGAACCACCTGACTCCAGGAGTTGGGGGCCAGCCTGGGCAACATAGCAAAACCCTGTCTCTACATAAAAAAGATTAGCCAGGCTTGGTGACTTGCACCTGGAATACCAGCTACTCGGGAAACTGAGGCAGGAGGATCGCTTGATCAAGCAAGGCTGCAGTGAGCTGTGATTGTGCCACTGCACTCCAACCTGGGCAACAGCGAAAGACCGTGTCTCAAAAATAAAAAATAAAATAATAATAATTTTAAAAAAAGGCCAGGTGCGGTGGCTCACACCTGTAATCCCAGCACTTTGGGAGGCCGAGGCAGGTGGATCACGAGGTCAGGAGTTTGAGACCAGCCTAGCCAACATGGTGAAACCCCATCGCTACTAAAAATACAAAAATTAGCCAGGTATGGTGGTGGGTACCTGTAATCCCAGCTACTCAGGAGGCTGAGGCAGAAGAATTGCTTGAATCCTGGAGGTGGAGGTTGCAGTGAGCCAAGATCATGCTATGGCACTTTAGCCTGGGCGACAGAGCGAGACTCTGTCTCAAAAAAAAAAAAAGAAAGAAAGAAAGAAAGAAAGAAAGAAAGAAAGAAAGAAAGAAAGAAAGAAAGAAAGAAAGAAAGAAAGAAGGAAAGAAAGAAAGAAAAAGGCTGGGTGCAGTGGTTCATGCCTGTAATCTCAGCACTTTGGGAGGCTAAAGAGGCCAGATCACCTGAGGATAACACAAAAAAAAAATTAGCCCGGTGTGGTGGCAGGCACCTGTAATCCCAGCTGCTTGGAGGGCTGAAGTAGGAGAATTGCTTAATCCTGGGAGGCGGAGGTTGCAGTGAACCAAGATTGCACCACTGCA
Source organism: Homo sapiens (assembly GCF_000001405.40). Lineage (NCBI taxonomy): Eukaryota > Metazoa > Chordata > Mammalia > Primates > Hominidae > Homo > Homo sapiens. The sequence goes on along the minus strand of NC_000002.12, from coordinate 233,065,359 downwards.
CTCCAGCCTTGGCGACAGAGCAAGACTCTGTCAAAAAAAAAAAAAAAAAAAACCCAAGAAGTGCTGATTGTGTTCATGAATTTATGAATTTAACCTACCAGGTAGACAAACATGCAAAGCATCAAAGCTGGAGCCTAATCTCTGGACCCGAAAGGACTTTTCACGGGGGCTGAGCGTAGGCACAGAAAACCTGGAGACTCCATTTTAACATGCTTGCTCTGCGTCACTTCACATGGAAGATACAGTTAGTGAGTGAAATACATAGGCCTTCCAGGGCACATACCCCTTCCTGGTCTTGCATGCAGAGAGAAAACCCGGCACAGTCAGCCTTGGATAAAGCCCCTTGGCCGGCTTTCTGGTGTGAGCCAGATGTCAGTAGCTCTGGCTACGACCTGGGCCAGCATTTTTTCCCACTGACTGTCAATATCAGATATGAAAAATAGTGCCTTATTGCATTTGCACAAAAACAATTAACAGTGTCTATTTTACTGAAGCTTCGAAAGGGAGACTTAGCCACCCGCTCACACCACAGCTTTCCAACTCTGTTGGACTCTCTGAGATTAGGAGTTTCGCCCTCCCAAGTCCCTTCTCTGCGGCTCCATCACGAGAAGTTCCCTCTCCAGGCTCTGCCCCGCCCCACACAGGCCACCTTATGGTCTCTGTTTCTCGCTTCCAGGAAGATCATGCATGCAATCCTGGCCCTTTTATTTGTTAGTCCTGTAAACTAGGCCTGTTCCATAAACCGCTCTGCACCTCGGTTTCCCCATCTGTAAAGTGGAGATAATAAGACCTCCTTTGAAGGTCTTCGTGGACATCAAATGAGTCAATATAAGCCTAGAATGGTGCCTGGCACAGAGCTCTTTGGAAGTTGCCTGCTGTTATTAGGCGGAGCAGGTTGGTAACAACCTTCTGCTGGTGAAGCCAGGTCTGTCCGGTGCACTGTCTACACTGCCCCTGGGAAGGGGTAAGCAAGACCCTGCCATGGTGCCTGGGTGGCCTGTGGAAGGCCACATGTGGAGGGAAACCAAAACCACACTGTCAGCTGTGGCCAGACCAGGCACTGGGTTCTGAGCCAAAGGCAGCCACGTGCCTTCGCCTCCCCCATGAGGGAAGCCCCCTCTCTCTGGAGTGGTTGGCTGGGAACGCCGCCCTCCTGCGCAACTCCAGGCTGGATGGCAGACAGCTGAGCCGGCCACTCTAGGCCTGATCCCGGGCCCCAGCTGCTCCTGCAGAGAGGGCAGCCTATATACTGACATTGGGCCTTTGATCAGCTTTGCCTGTGCAGATTGCACAAGGGGATGCCGGCTCGGCCAACCCATGGACCCTTGCATTGACTGACCCCATTCCCAAGGCATCTCTTCTTTGCAGCATAAGGCCCTGCCAGGTGTGCTGGCCCCTGCGTGGCAGGAGAGGGCATGAGCCTGACAGCTCTTAATGTCTCCCACCCACGATGTACCCAACGTCCCCTGGAGGCACCCACAGACTCCCCCCGGAGCAGGGCCAACTCTGCCGGGGGATTTGAGTGGGGACCAGGTGGGGACAACATAGGCTCTACTTAGAAGAGCCCCTGGCTGAAAGACGGCAGAGTTGGACCCAAACCAGGCAGCCACCTGCTGGAGTCTTCCCACTGCAACTGTCTGTGCCCCGAGATGGAGCCCAGGCTCCCTGTCAAGCAGGGCTTTCCAAGCTGCTGAGGTGAGATCAAAGCTTTCCTGCCCAGTGGTAGGTGACGGGGCTGACCTCTCTCGAGGAAATGCAGGGTTTGCTGGGTGTGCGCAGAATGTGCACTCCTAAGTCACATGGGTGGCACTGAACTGTAGCCCTGTCTTTTGATGTCCAACCCCCGCTCAAGTCCATTTACATAGTCAAATCCTGTTCTCTTTCCTGAGCACAAAGGCCCCTCCCTGGTGAGGCTGCTCTCAGTTCCTGAGACTCCAGGCACACTTGCCCAAACCATCAGGTGGAGACTCCGGCCGTTGTCCCCTTGCCCACCAGAGGGGGCCTGGGAGGGAGTGCTGCTGGGGCCCAGGCAGGATGAGGTCAGGGCACCTGGGTGATCTGAGGGGCCATGGGGCAGGTATACTTTTCCCATGGACTTTGCTAGGGCAGGAGGGTGAGTGTGTGGCTTCCTTCTGCAGTCACTTCTAGAGCAGGGTGGCTCCAGGCTTCCAGGGCTAGGGGGGCAAAGCCTGCTACTTCTGCAGCCGCAGAAAACCCGGCTGCCCTGCACACCCCTCAGCCTGGGACTGTCTGCCTCTGCCGTCTCCGTCAGGCCACGGCGACTCTGCAGGGAACACAGAAAACTAAGGGTGGTAGGGTTTGTTTTTCAAGAAGTTCAATCTCTTTGCTTTAAATGACTGGCTTTTTTTTTTTTAATGCCCTTCCTGCCTCTTTTGGTGTCAAAGGCTGCTTTCTTTCAAGAAATGAGGTGTTGGAAGATGACAGTTTGTTATCATTCATTTAATTAGTTTTTAGTTTTAAAATCTCCGTAATTGGCAAAATCCAGGGTGGCAGCCATATGAAGCCTGCAGATGTATGGAAAGTCTGCAGGTCCATAGCAACCCACGGCCTACAGTGGAGCCTGACCCTGCAGGAAGGGAAGCTTCCCACCCTGAGCAGAGGAGAAAGGGAAACACTGAGCCCAGGGTTTGTCTGGCCAAGGGGTGGGACTCCTGGTGTTTGCAGCCCAGCAGCCTCAGGATAGGAGGCTGACGAGGCTTCGGCTGAGAGGATAGTGGACATCTGTAGGCACCACAGGTCCCTCTCTAAGGAGCAGACACTGCACACCCATCATGACTCTGAGAGAACTCAGTGCAGACAAGGGTTCAGAGAGAAGAGGTAGAGGAAGGAATACGAGAACTGGCCTGGATCCCAGCAGTTTTGACCCCAGCCAGCATGGTGGACAAAGGCCTCAGGCTCTCTGCCCTCTGTCTACCTCCTGAAAAGCCAGGGCTGTTGCACCAGAGCTTCTCCAAGGCCTCTCCAGCTCTGACTCTGGCTCAGGCTAATCCTAGACGTTAAGATGCTCACGGCTCGGAGTCAGAGAGACCCACGCCCCATGTCTGTAACCTGAGCAACCACAAAGCAAGCCCTGGTCAAAGGGCTGTGTTGAAGGTTAATGAGATGGGGCCCTGGAAGCCCTCGGCTCAGCCAACACCAAACAGCCAGGACAAGATCCCACTGGGCCAGGAGAGAAATCCAAGTAACCCACATGGGCCAGGTGGAGTCAGACTGGGCTTGTGAGAGGCCTAAGAGAATCTTCCTGCTCCTTCTAAGGCCCCGGCAGCAGCAGGTCCCCACTGGGGAAGTCCAGGCAGCCTGGGCCTGCGTTCCTTCCCCTGAGGCATGAGAGAGGGGACACAGGAAACCAGTCTTTGGAGGTGGGGCTGCAGACTGTCAGCACAGGCCAGCGACCAGCTGCGAGCCTGGCTTGGTTTCCAGTGCCCCAGCTGACCCTGTAAACACTGTGGCTCCCCTTGCTTCTTTCTCCAGCCCTGCAAGGCTACATGCCTGCCCCGCTGGACTGGGAGCAGGAGAGGTTGGGCCACAGGCTGCTGGTCTCAGCTGCAGCCTCTGGGGGCAGATGGCCGTGGCTTTGACTGTTGTCACTCACTTAACCTGCCAGGGCCTCAGATTTCTCATCTGCAAAGTGGGGCTTTTAACAGGACCTTCACTTTAGGTTGTGGTGAGGATGAAATGGGCTAACAAATGCTTAGCACGACAGGTCCCAGCTGTGAGTCAGTATTCAAAACAGGTCTGGGTTCATCACCCAATTCCCCTCCTGCCTGGAGAAGCACAAGGCCCTGGCTGCTCGGGGGAACATTTCTGCCAGCCCAGGGATGCTACTTGAGATGTTCAGGTGGACACACATTTCCCTGACTACACTCCGGCACTGCCTGAGGCCCCGGCAAAATGATTAGACCAAGAGCTGCAGGGCAAGGCCCCCCTATGATTAGACCGAGAGCTGCAGGGCAAGGGCCTCCTTCAGACGCTGGACAGGAAGGGGGTTTTAGAAAGGAACCTTCAGCAAGTGGCTGGTTCCTCCATTGTTAGCACAGCTGGTACATTCAGTAACATCCCCAACCGGGCAGTGGGAGGAGTTGATGGTGACAGAGACCCAAATTGAGGGGGTGGGGGGTGGGCAGCGGTCACAGCCAAGTGCTCAGGAGAGAGAAGAGGCTGCTCGCTGGTGGTAATGGTGACTTCCTCTGCTCTCAGGCCCCTGAAAGCAGCTTCTGACTGAATGGAAAGTCCTTTCTTGATTAAACTCACCCCATATTCTTGGCTCGCCAAACAACAGCTTCCTCCAGGGGCCCGAAGCCTGGGTGCTCCAGGAAGGGTCCCCCTTGCCACCTTTGCTCTTCTCAGGGTTTCTGAGCTGGGCATCTTTGAGCTGATCTCTAACACACCCACCTCCACAGAGCCCTGAGCTTCCTCCTGGCTCCAAAAGCCCAAACTCCCTTCTCTCGGTCCCCAGACTCCAAGGAAGCCACAAGGTCCATACAGCTCATGGGAAGCTGGGGTGTAACATCAGGCCTCAGAGTGGTTCTGACAGCTCCAAGGCTGCAAAACCTGCCATGAGACCAGCTCTCTGAACTCCAAGGACAAGGTCCATGACAGGGTGGCGGGGAAGTGTGCATGTCAGATCACTCTGTCCTGTGACATAAGAACAACCCATCTCAAAGCTGGGCCCCCTCTAAGCCCCTCTGTCATATCTGTGCCCGGGGAGGGAGCAGGTTGTACTCACAGCACGCAGAGCGCGTATGCCCGGGAGATGGACTCGCTGGCACGCACGAGGAAGCTCCCGTCCTTGCCTGTCCTGGAAAGCAGCTCCTCCGCCTTGGAGCGGGTGATGTTGCCATGGTTCCAGCAGGGGACCATGGTGGGCGTGGGCCTCCTCGGCCGGGCCGGCAGGCACCCCCAGGACCCACACACCACCGAGGGGAGCGGAGGCCCCTCCACTGCAACCTGCCGCCCGTTGCCTCTTGGTGGCCTCGGCTGCTGCCACCAGCTTAACTGACTGACTTCCTGTTTCAGGCGCTCAGTGAGGGAAAGGAAACTGAGCTGCGGAGAACTTCCTCATTACAGAAACCAAGCAAGAGAGAGAGAGAGAAAGAGAGAGAGGGGGGGGCCCTGGCCGTCCACCGTCCCCTACACCCTGCCACGGCTGCCGCGGCTCTCTTGCCAGCCCTCTCCTTCCTGGCAACTGGTCGCAGCGTACAATTGAAGTGTCCAGTGGCAGCTGAAGTCCCCCTGGGTGGAATGACCGGCTCTGGAGACGTCAGGAGAGTTGTGGCCACTTCTGAAGAAGCATGGCCTAGCAGGCATGGGTGGGCCAGAGAAGTGGTTCTTCTGCGGCCGTGCTGACACCCACGTGGGATGCCATGCCCTAGACAGGCCCCCGAGCCTTCTGCTCTCCCTCAGGGCTTTTCAGCACCCACCCTGAACCTCCAAAACACCCAAGGGGGCACAGCTTCTCAACTGGGACTACGGCCTGCCCAGGACAGAGCAAACTTGAGGGGGAGGGGACAGTCGAGCCCCACCCCTCCCCTTTAGAGACTCCCAGCGGCCTGGGTGCTGGGAGACCTTGGCTGCCACCAGCCGAGGGCGCCAAGGTCCAAGTGATGGCTCTGTGACCCCATTACCCTCATTCCCAGGGGCGGGTGGGTGCTGCACGGGCAGCACAGCTCTGATCCCTGCAGTCCAGCTTGGAGACACACAAAGGGAGCTTGGAGGGGATGTGGGCCGTTTACAGCGGGAACATAGGCTGGGTTTTTCCCTGGGCTTCTCCAGGATGCTGGGGAAACAAGCTCGGAGAGGAGAACCCCAAAGCCCCACAGGGCAGGCTGGCCGCCTGGCCAAGGACAACACTGGGTGCTGAGTCCTGCGTCTCAGCAGTCGGGGTGGCCGGTCGGACTGCACCGCCTCCAAGACTGGGCATGGCCACATATGCCCACCACTCAAAGAGGAGCTGCCTCTCCAGGGACCGCCATCCAGGACCAGTCATTTCTGAGGGCTCTGCGGTGGACACCCATCCCTCAGCCCCCAGACCTGGGCACCTTCCGTCCTTGGGTCCGGCCCACCAAGGCCGAAGGGGCACGTGTTGACCCGCTGCACAAAGAGTGCCCCCACCATCCCACATCCAGGCCTTGGCCTCCAGGACATGACAACAGACTCCCTCCAGGAAGGGGCACCAGCCAGGCAGCGCCACCACATTCAAGCTGTGGGAACCTGGTCAAGTTTCTTCTCTCTCTCGGCCTTGGTTTCTTCTTGTCTAACTTGAAGGACGTAGCTCGTAAAAGAGCTCACATGTGCCCAGGGGCTCAACATGTGTCACACTGATGGTTGTCCCAGAACAGGGCCCCCAGCACCTCCCCGCTGAGCAACACACATGGCAGGCGAGTCTGTAGGGCAGACAAAGCACTCCCAGTCAAGGACCTCTGGCCAGGCTGGGAGCCAGGCGTGGGGATAGAGTGGTGATGGGAACTGGCCTCCATGCTCCGGCCCTTCCGCAGCACGCCACCTCTGCAGCAGCCCAGTGTGGAGGCCTCTCATTCCCCACCCACGCCTCCACTCAGCACCTGTCCACCCCCTCCTTATGGGGTCATCTCCTATGCTCCCATTGTGTACCTTCACACCCTTCTCACTTCCCTGCTGGCCTCCACCAACATCCATGAAGTCCTGGACCACGCCACCAGGAGGATCCATTTGCAATACTGGTCCCTTTACACCTCCACCCACTCATCTCTAGAGACCCCTACCATGCCAAGACTGCCCTACTTAGAGAGCTTCCCCCAAACCCCCAGCCCCCCACCTCTCACACCTCTATTCCCACGGTCCTTGCCATTCCACAGAGTGAGATCCCCTGGCACACACGCCACACGGGCACTCTTCCCTCATTTTTAAGGCCCATCCCAACTTTGCTTCCTTTTCCACCCAATTGCCTGATCTATCCAGCATGGTCAGCTGGCTTGTCCCCCACCCTTCTGCCCTCCACATTCAGGAAATCCCAGTATCTAGATCAGAGCTGCCCTTTTGGTGGGTGGATTTTTTTTTTTTGTAGGTCTCCAGTCAATATAAATAATTTTAACGTATTACAAAATTCACAAACTCATGTGAGGGATAGTGATTTATCAATGAAGACTTCAAATAATGGCTAGAGAGTGGCCAGGCACAGTGGCTAACACCTGTAATCCCAGCACTTTGGGAGGCTGAGGGGAGTGGATCACCTGAGGTCAGGAGTTTGAGACCAGCCTGGCCAACATGGTGAAACCCTGTCTCTACTAAAAAAAAAAAAAAAAAAAATCAGGTGGGTGTGGTACGTGCCTATAATCGCAGCTACAGCTACTTTGGAGGCTGAGCAGGATAATCACTTGAACCCAGGAGGCGAAGATTGCAGTGAGTCGAGATCGTGCCACTGCACTCCAGCCTGGGTGATAGAGCGACACAGTAAAAAAAAAAAAAAATTACTGTTCCAAATTTTATAGCATAAAGGTAGAACCACACATCTTCCAGCCATATTCTCTTGAATGTGTTAGGCCATAATCACTGCATTCCTACCTTGAGATCCCATTTGATGATGATTGCACCCTGGCCCTCCACATACAAGAGCAGTCTCACTCTCCAGGGATGTCTGCCTGCATCTGGCTTGGCAGGATCAATGTGGAGAGCTCAGCATCACCACATGGATGGGAGGTGGGAGATGATGCTGATGGGAAGAGCCCGTGGGTGTATCGGTGCTGTGGAGCAATGTCCTCGAAAGACGTTGGAGGAGGCAGCTGCCTGATAGTGGACAGGAGCCTCCAGAAGGGATAAGGGACTGCCAGCTGCTGCTGGCAGGGGTGATGAGGGCCTAGACCACCTGCCACTATCCTTGCTGTCCTCAATGCTCGGGGCCACTCAAAGGAGAAACCTGCTCCCCAGGCTGTGCCCAGGAGTCACACCCAGCCATAGGGCCCCAGAGCGATTGCATAGTGTGAGTCTATGCATTCCTTGGAGCATCTGGTCAACCTCACCCATGGGGCAGAGGCTTGGAAAGCAGCTGAGGGGAAGAAGTGGGGTCAGACTCACTCATGTGATCCTGGGTCCAGACTGGGGCACCTGCCCAAAGGCACTGCCAGCCCTGGCAAGCCCCAGGCCCCATCAGGGGACTTGAACAATTTCTGGGAAAGCTGGGCAGTGAGAAGCATCAGGGTGGTCTGGCAGGCACCTGGTCATGGGCACTCAGCCAACTCTAGAAGCTCCGGGAAGAACAGACAGGCCTCAGTGTTGAAGAGGAGGGCTGACATGGCAGGGCCAAGGCATTGGAGCAATTCTGCTTTGGCAACCTTAAGTGAGGGCGGGTCACAGGAAGGTTTGAGTCTCAGGACAGGGTCAGGGCAGGCTGGGAGAGAGGGACAATGGAGACACCAAGCTTCTTGTCCAGGGGTCCTTCCACCGTGGACAAGAAACAGAAAGAATTTCAGGGTCTGAGAAGGGACTGAGCCAGGAGAGGGGAGGCAGAGGTCAATATATACTGTATATATATATGTGTGTGTGTGTGTGTATATATATATATATATATACACACATACACACACACATTACATCATATATATAGTGTGTATATATATACACACACATTATATATATATAATATATATTTACTATACAATGTTAACAGATATACAATATATCTAAGCATTTGTCTCTGTACTTCCCTTCCCCTCCTGTGTTCATCGAAGCCCTTTACTATGCCCCAGGGCTCCCACTCCCCCCAGCCTGGGTGGATAGATAGATATCACTCATGGCTTGGGGTGCAGGGGCTGAAAGTGTTCACTCACTGAGTGCTAAAAGCAAAGGGAGCAGTGATGGTTAATTTTATGTCAACTTGGCTGGGCCTCAGGACCCAGATATTTGGTCAACATTATTCTGGATGTCTCTCTGAAAGTATTTTTTAGATGACATGAACATTTAAATCAGTAGACTTTGAGTAAAGCAATTCCTGTGTGTAGGCCTCATCCAATAAGCTGAAGGTCTTAATAGAAAAAGACTGACTTCCTCCAAAGAGTAAATTTGCCAGTAGATTGCCTATGGACTCGAGCCGCAGCATCAACTCTTCCCGGGGTCTCCAGCCTGCCAGCCCACTCTACAGACTTTGCACTTGCCAGCCTTGACCATCCTATGAGCCAATTCCATATCTATCTATCTATCTATCTATCTATCTATCTATCTATCTATCTATCTATCCATACATCTGTGTATCTCTCTAGCCATCCACCTATCTATCCACCTATCTAGCCATCTATCTATCTATCCATCTATTTATCTATCTAGCCATCTATCTAGCCATCCATCTATCTATCCATCTAGCCACTATCTATCTAGTCATCTATGTATCTAGCCATCCATCTATCTATCCAGCCATTTATCTAGCTATCTAGCTAACCATCCATCCATCTATCTATCTAGCCATCTACCTATCCATCTATCTAGTCACTATCTATCTAGCCATCTATCTATCTATCTGGCCATCCATCTGTCTAGCCATCTGTCTAACTATTACCTATCTATCTATTGATCTATAAATCTATCGATCTGCCTATCTATTTAGTCATCTATCTATCTAGTCATCTATTTATCCATATATCTATCTAGCCATCTGTCTATGTATCTAGCCATCTGTCTGTCTATCTATCTAGCCATCTATCTATTTAGCCATCTATCTATCTATCTATCTATCCATCCATCTATGTAGCTATCCATCCATCTATCTAGCCATCTATCTATCCATCCATGTAGCCATCCATCTATCTATTTAGCCATCTATCTATCTATCTAGCCATCTATCTCCCTATCTATCTAGCCATCTATCTCCCTATCTATCTAATCTATCTACTTATCTATCTGCTTCTCTGAAGAACCCTGATTAATAGAAGGGCAAATACTTGACCGTGAAGTTAGAAAGTTGCTCACTGGCTGGCGTAATCAATAGTGAACTTCCCTCATCTTCAGACCTGATAATAAGACATCCTTTGCTGGAGAAGGGAGCAGCCACTCACAGGGAGCCTCCTGGGATCAAGCACCACTGTTCCCCTCCCAAGGAGCCCAGGGCAGGTGGGTCAGCCCCCAGGCTCCTGCTTCCTGCCACTGAGGAAGACCAGCCGGGAAAACCAGTCAAAAGCAGGAGCCAGCACCTTATTCACAGTTTGTTAAGAAGGATGGATGCTCTCCTGTGTCCTGAGAATCTACCCTGCCCACATCGGCCCCTCTCAAATCAAAGGCCAAGGTCGCTTACTGAGATGGTGGAAGAGGAAGTCAAGTCCCAGCCCCTGACTAGGATGAAGGGAGACCGTCCCACTGGAGACGTCTGGCAGAGCTGGAGCACTCCCAAACTAGCAGATTATGATCCCTTATTGTCTGCCAGAAAAGAATTTCTTCCCTCCCAGCTCTCTCTCTCCCCACCCAGCCTTCTCTCTCTCTCTCTCTCTCTCTCTCTCTCTCTCTCTCTCTCTCTCTCTCTTCTCTCTCTCTCTCTGTCCATCCCTCTCTCTCCACAGTTGTTTTTGGAGCTCTGTCAAGATACCAGGCTCCACCAGCCTGCCTTTCCTTTTCCAGTTCCATTTCTGCTACCGGCATCTTGACGTTTCCAGATCCACCCAGGCCCCTGCAGGCACAAATTTCATTCAGATTTGCAGAGCTAGTGGCCACAGTCCTCTGAATTCCTGACAGATTTTGCCAGAGACCATCCATCTATGTGGCCCCACGGCTTCCTGGGGCTTGGTGCATCCCCAACAATGGGAAGGCAACATCTCAAATCATGGCACCCTCCACCCCTTCCCTGTTCTGCTCCTCTGATAAGCTCCATTTTAGTGCTGCAAATCAGACTCTGAATTAGACACACAGGAACAAGGCTGGGATCCAAATCTCAGCTTTACCATGACTATGTAGCATCTCTGGATTGGTTTGCATCTCTGTAAAGGGATAGTGACACCCTGTTGAAGAATGTCTGTGAAATTATGTAATGTGTCTGGCACCAGGTAGGTCCTCACGATGAGGCGGGTCTCCCAGGCGGCCCCCTGACCAGCTCCTGAAGGGCAGAGCTTCGGTGGGCTCCTGGGGGCTCCAGCGGGCAGCTGGCATCAGTGACCTTCGCCACCGGTTTAACCCAATTCTAGAAGAGAACTCTTTACCTGCGACTACAAAGAACCTGAACGGGTCCGGGTCTGCGCCTTGTGACTCCCGGCCACCAGGTGGCGCTGCACTCTGGCCTCCCCCTGGGACCAGAGCCGGGAACATCGCTGACAGGCACAGGGGCGATCCCCAAGGAGTCCAAGGGCCCATGGAGTCCATAATTGTGCTAAAGGACATCTGTGAATACCGAAGGCCTGGCAGCGAGCATCTCCTGTTTCACTGAAGATGCCGGAAAATCAAATGAGCTTGAAAGAAAACAAGGAGAATTAGGATTGACTTTGGGAAGAATTGGGTAAGAGGAAACCATGTCCAAAAAGCCAACATATGTCTCTTGTCAAGATTCTTAAGGACAGAGGGAAATATTCGTAATACAACGTTTAGTGAAAAAACAAATCAAGGCCGGGTGCAGTGTCTCACACCTGTAATCCCAGGACTTTGGGAGGCCAAGGTGAACAGATCTCCAGAAGTCAGGAGTTCAAGAACAGCCTGGCCAACCTAGCAAAACCCTACTAAAAATCCAAAAATTAGCCAGGTATGGTGACAGGCACCCGAAGTCCCAGCTACTTGGGAGGCTGAGGAAGGAGACTCGCTTGAATCCAGGTGGCGGAGGTTGCAGCGAGCTGAGATCGCACCACTGCACTCCAGCCTGTGCGACAGAGTGAGACTCCATCTCAAAACAAACAAACAAATCAAGAAACCAAATGGGAATACATTACGATTCCAACTATGGAAAAAGCTCTATCCTGGAAAGACACTGGAGGTGAACAGGGTTGAGTTAGGCGGCATATCCACGAGCAATTTTTTTTCTTCCATCTACTTTTCCAGCTTTCCTTTACTGCCCACATAAAAAAATTAAATAAAAAGAGAACTCCAGATCAAGGTAGTGTGTGTAAAATCCTGCTGGAAGCATTTTGTTTTGTGTGGATGGCTGGTTGTATCCTGGGAGACTCTTCCCCCATCATTCCTCTCAGGATTCCTAAGAAAGAGACCAACTTTTCTCTCCTTAACCTTTTTTTTTTTTTACATTGAAAAGTAACATGTGCACATAGTAACATGTTATTTAACATGCTCAAAAGGGTTTACAATAAAAAGTAAGTTTTCCTGCCAGCCCAGACCCCAGATCCATTTCTCCAGGGCCAGTGTCTTGTGCAGTCTTTCAGTGTTTTCTATGCATATACAACCCGATTTTTGCAGGGCCCCCTTTTTTAAATACTCTATTATGTGTCTTTCATTTTTCACTTCAGATTTCTGGACATTTCGTGGAGCTAGTTTATATCTACCACATTCTTTTAAACATACCTACTATTCTATATCATAACATGGTGCATTTTACCAGTTTCCTCTCCCTGGACACATAGATTCCAGGGTTTTTTTGGTTTTGTTTTTGTTTTTGAGATGGGGTCTGGCTCAGCTGCCCAGGCTGGAGTGCAGTGGTGAGATCTTGGCTCACTGTAACCTCCGCCTCCCAGGCTCAAGCGATTCTCGTACCTCAGCCTCCTGAGTAGCTGGGACTACAGGCATGTGCCACCATGCCCAGCTATTTTTTGTATTTTTAGTAGAGATGGGGTTTCATCATGTTGGCCAGGCTGGTCTCAAACTCCTGACCTCAAGGGATCCGCCCACCTCAGCCTCCCAAAGATTCCAGTTTTTAGTTAGTCTATCTGCAAGAAAAATCCCTAGAAGAGGAATGAGCGTTCAACGGTTGTGTGCATTTTTAGTTTTGATTAGTTATGCCGTATTGTCTTCCAAAGTGGTTGCACCAATTTACATACCTACTGTTGGTGATAACTGGGGTTTAATATTTTCTAAAACTCAGAGGGGCAATTCTGGAGTGTCCTACTTTAAGAAAGTGACATGGATGAAAATCCTACTTATGAAACAGGTTTTTAAAAAACAAGCCCTGGGGACTTTTATTTCAAAGGAATTCTTGACTTTCATTACAATATTGATTTAAGAATGAGCTCTCTCCTTGCGTTTGAACTTTTAGGAAAATGTATAAATACATTCCCTTTCTAGAAAGCTGTCTAGATCTGTTTCTTGCACTGAACATGAAGGGGCCAAGCCCATGGCCTCTTGGTAGCTTTGTTGCAGTTAAGCCTACACCTGGATGTGAAGCAAGGCAGGCCTGCGATCCCCACCCCCACCACTGCGATTGCCCCACCCCACCCCTATGGAGTGTCCTTGTTGCCACAGCAACCACCCCTTTCCTGGCTCTCCGCCCCCAGAGTCAGATTTTACAAATTCTAGGAACAGCAACTCTCAGCAACACTCCCCTGAGCCAGACCCTGAGCCCAGCCATCGCCAGCGTCCGCCGGTCTACCACGGCCACCACGCCCCAGGCCCCGGAGCCTCCTCCAACCTCCGTTCTGGCCTCGAGCACTTCCCAGGCATGAATCATGACCGCCTCCCTTGGCAGGCCCACTACCATGCTTCCTAAATGCAGTTCCTGCCAACAGCCACTCTTTCCGTGGCAATTACGTGGCAGCTTCTTCCCAGCTCCACGTTCTGTTCCTCTTCCTCTCTGCTTCTTCAGCCAGTAGTTCTCTGAACTAATGTGCCAAAACAAACAAACAAACAAACAAAAACACCCCACCTGGTTGGTCCCAGCTTCATTTCCATCAGAATCTGCTTCCCAGCATGGTCTTCCTCCTGCCCCCTCCTCCTACTTGGCCGGACTGGGTCTCAGGAAGCCCCAGGTTTTCTTGACTGCATCCTCGCCAGCTCCTAAAACTATGGGGAAACATCTCTGAAATGGCTCCCCACTCTTGCCCTTCCAGCAACTATCCCTGCCACCACCCCTACCCGGAAGCATCACCTCTTCCCTGGACCATTCCAGCCTTGCAGGCTACCCGAAGCAGGTGTCTTTCTCTGATGCTCCGCCACTCCGTGGCATATCAGCACTCCTTTATCTCCCCCACTCTGCCCCGCCCCCGCCCTAGCCTGCACAACCTGCCTGCTCTTCTCTTAGAGCCTTTTCCTATCACGACTTGCACTATTTTGTGTGCACCTCTCTTCTCCTCTCATTAGATTCTCACCTCTGGGAAAATGCAGATCTGTCTTGTTCATTGCACGCTGCAGCAGCATCCGGCTCATGCTGCCAGGCAGTACGCACCTGTCTTTGTCAGCTTAGGCTGCCATAACTAAGTACCATAGACTGGATGGCTTCAGCAACAGGCATTTATCTTTCATAAGTCTGGAGGCTGGAAGCCCAAGATCAAAGTGCCAGCATGGTCATGCTCTGAGGAGGGCTCTCGTCCTGACTTGCAGGTGGCCGCCTTCTCACCTTGTCCTCCTGTGGCCTTCCCTCCTCTCCTCCTTTTTTTCTATGGCCACCAACCCTGTCAGGTTAGGACTCCATCCTTGTGACCTCATTTAACTTTAATTACCTCCTAAAAGCCCAATCTCCAAATACAGTTACACTGGGGGTCAGGGTTTCAGTATATGAATTTCAGGGGGCGGGACATAACTCCCCTAAAGTACCCAGTACCAGTCCATAGCAGTACCCAATAAACATGTGTTGAATTAATAAAAATGGCCAATATCTATCTACCAGCTAACCACGTGGAAGCACTGCTATGCTCTCTACACGAGTTGCCTCGCTCAATCCTCATGGACAACCCACAAAGGGAAATCCTATTATTATGTCTATTTTACTGGCAGGGAAATTGAGACCAGAGAGGTTAAATAATTTGCCTGCAAGTTAGTGGCAGACCTGAGAATCTAGCTTACATCTGCTTGATCCCAAAACCTCTGTATACGCTACACACCTTAAGTTAAATGAGCTGGAACTTCTGCGCTGGGCTCTGCAATGCATAGGGCCTAGAGCCTCCGGCCTGCTCACCTATACTCTCCCCTGCATCCTCTCCTGTCTGGAAGCCTCCTGGCCTCCCACTGTTACTTTTACACAGACCATTATTGGAATTAGCACAGATAAAGAAATTACTGGGTCTAAGCCCAAGGGGCTGGTCCCCAGCACACAGAAGTGTCAGATGACCATTTTCAGGGTCCTTGGAGATGCGTGTGGCATGGACATTTAGAGGAAATTCCCTCTGGAACAGAAGCATGGGTCTCATCCTACCTTCTAGGTTTTTACTGTGAACTCAAAGATGGCTTGATGAAGCTGGGTGCAGTGGCTCATGCCTGTAATCCCAACACTTTGGGAGGCTGAGGCGGGCGATCACTTGAGGTCAGGAGTTTCAGACCAGCTTGGCCAACATGGAGAAACCCCGTCTCTACTAAAAATACAAAAATTAGCCGGGCATTGTAGCAGTTGCCTGCAATCCCAGCTACTCAGGAGGCTGAGGCAGAAGGATTGCTTGAACCCAAGACGCAGAAGTTGCAGTAAGCTAAGCTCATGCCACTGCACTCTAGCTTGTGCGACACGGCAAGACTCCATCTCAACAAAACAAAACAAAACAAAACAGAACAAAAAGATGGCTTGAAGCACACTTGCTGGAGGTGTGGGAGAGGGAACCAGGGCCGGGGTGGTGGTTAAACCTGTCAAACTGCACATCCCACCCCACCCAGAGGTGATTGGTCTCATTGCAATTGTGACCTAGTTAATCTCCCAAATCTTCAGTTCCAGATCTTCAGTTTGCAATCCAGACTGCAAAGAACTGTGCAGGTTCACCCTAAAGCCTCCCGTTCATCCCGTGACTCCCCTGCTGAGTGATTCCAACAGCTGCTTACTGCCTGTAGGACAAAGTGTGAAATCCTTGACAGTACTTACAAGACTGGAATCTGACCATTTCCTGACTTTTTCTTATTTCCATTCCACCCCTGAGAACTTGGCAGGAGTCCTTACTCCATACCTGGATCCAGCACCTCCTGCCAACTCTACCCATTGTAGCTGCAGCCCAGGGAGTGCCAGCAACTCAAACCTTAGCCTCCCAATCACACTCCAGCCCTCGGGCTGTGATTGCTTCCCCTTTCATCTCTGGCCAGCCCCAAGCCCTGCCCTGACCACCTCCTGTTCCCTCCTCTCCATCACACACATCTGCACAACCTTTGTCCTCCCCATGCCCCTCAACTCCCTCACAGCTCCTTCTTCTCCCGCCACACCCAGCCAAAGGGGCTGCTGGTGTGGCCAGAGAAATGCCTCTGCCAGGCAGCGCAGCCCAGGACAAAACCCGGCTTCCCACTAGCATGGAGACCAGAGCCTTCCAGCCTCTCCCCTGCCTTCTCCGTTGGCTGCGGCACCAAAGCCTGCATTTTTCCAGTGGACCCCGCTTCCCTACCTCACCTCCCCACGCTCCTCAGGCTAGCTCACTTCCAGAAGCCACCAAACATTAAAGCCCCTCACTATTCTGCCCACAGATGCTAGATGGGTCTCCCAGGCTGCTTTCCAATGCGTCCACACCCGCCTCCATCCCATTGTCCCCAGGGGCTCCTCCAGATTCTCCCCTCCTGTGGCTGGGATTGGCTCCCACAGCCACCCCCACACCTCTGGATTTTCTCCCTCTCCTCCCCACCCACTCCTTCCCCTCATCCTATAAGCGAGCTTAAGATTTTTCCATGTTATAAAATAAAAACTTAAAAAATCCTCCCTGACAAAGGTTCTCAGTCTTGGCTGAAAGTCTGAAAGGCCCCACCCCAGACCAATTAAATAAAAATCTCTAAGGTGGGGCCAGGACCTCCCCAGAAGAGTGCCTTGGGTGGCCAAGACTGAGAGCCACAGCTCCCTGCCCTTTCTTCTTGTCTGGGTATCACCTGGGTGATTTTGGAATAAATTGGGGAGCTTTTGGAATAAATTGTCCTCACTCAGCCTCCTACAGCAGCCTTGTCCCCACCCCCAACCCTCCCACCAAAACCTTTTGCAGCAGCTTCTTTCTCCCAGCACCCCATCATCATCATGACCCCTCTACAGTGAGCAACCCTGCAGGCCTCTCCCTCCCTCTCAAAATCCTTCCTGTTGCTCCCCCAAGTTCTACACCTTCCTCCCTGAGCCCCCTTCTTCCCAGGCTTTTGTCCTTGGTCATCCCTTTTGTCTCCTCCATACTCTCCCAGAGCATTTTCCTCACTTGTGGCTTCCAAATCTGTATTTCCGGTCCTGACCTCCTTCAGATCCACACTTCCTGCTGCCTGTGAGGACACCCTATAGACACTTAAAAGCTCTGTCATCTGAATTTTCTATCTTTACACCGAAAACCTGTTCTTCCACACACATCGCCTATCTAGATTGCTGTCACCAAACTGGCTTCTCCCAAGCCAGAAACCACCAACATCTTCATCTCTGCCCCCTCTCTCACCACCCACATCTGATGGATCATCGAGTTCTGGAGCTCCTTGGAATCCATTCCCTTGGCGGCAGCCCCACAGTCCCAGCCTTCTTTGTTGCCTGGACTATTTCGAGAGGGCCTTTGCTAGCCCATCCTCCTCCCGCCTCCTCCTCCAGGACACCCCACTCGCATCTCTGACTCTGTCCCTGCATGCCTACCAGGTATCTCTTTCTAAAATGCAAATCTGAGCCTGCCACTTCTTTAGGTTACATCGCCTGTGGTGTCCCCCGCCCTAGGATGAAATGCAAGCTCCGTGGCAGGTCACACCAAGCTCTTCCAGCCCCACATCTCATTTGCCTTTCCTGGTCTCCTCCTCCCTCTCCCACACTCACTCTGGGCTCCAGTATTACTGAATTGGCACCTTACATATGTCTACTCATTCATTGATTCAACAGATATTGACTAAGAATCTACCATGAATCCAGACCCTGTCCTGGACCCCAGAGATGCAGGAGGGAACAAAACCCCCTGCCCTCCTGGAGCTTATACTCTATGTTGGGTCTTCTTGCCCCGCACTGAGATTCTTGTCCAGGGTTTAACTCCTCCCCAGCCAGAGCTCGCCTCAGTTCTCTGTGGCCAGACGGGGAAAAGGACAGACTCTAGAGCCTGATCTCCTGGCCTGGTCACTTACCAGCTTGTAAGATCATGGGCAAGTGGCTTAATCTTTCTCTGCCTCAGCCTCTTTCTTTGTGAAATGAGGGTGATAATAGTAACCTGACTTAACAGGTTGTTGTAAGGATTCAATAATAAGGATTCAACACTTGTAAATGGCTTAGACCAATGCCTGGCACATAGGTAGCTCTCAGTAAACATTCTTTTTTTTTTTTTTTCTTTTTTTTGAGACAAGGTCTCACTCTTTCACCCAAGCTAGAGTGCAGTGGTATGATCACAGCTCAATGCAGCCTTGCTCTGGGGATCAAGTGATCTTCCCAGTTCAGCCTCCGAAGTAGCTAGGACTACAGGCAGATGCCACCATGCCTGACTAATTTTTTAATTTTTTGTAGAGATGGTGCCTCACCATGTTGCTTAGGCTGGCCTCAAACTCTTGGGTTCAAGCAATCCTCCTGCCTTAGCCTCTGAAAGTGTTGCAATTACAGGCGTGAACCACTATGCCCACCCAACGTTCACTTTTGTCTTATTTCCTTAGCACAGTACATAACACATAACGGATACTCAATACATGTGTTCTGATTGGAATAATGAAGAAAAAAAGCATAAGTAGTTAGTGCATTAGAAGTTAGTCATTGAAAACCAAATGGCTCTGATATTATAAGACTGCACTTGGAATGTCACTTAAAGATCTAGAAAGAAAGAAAATGCTCCACATGTGGAAGAAACATGGCTCAGACAACAACCACTATCTGGACATCTCCTGACCTAGAGCCTCCTTGGACAGCCTGTCTGTCCTCCTCCTTGGAGGGCCTGACTGTTCAACCAGTGCCTTTTGGGGTGTGAAGGAAAAGGAAAGGAAGTGACAGTCATCGGGATCTTTCACTGGGACCCTTGAGCTTCTGGTCCAGGGAGTTAGTGGGGAAGGCCCTGCCGAGGCTGGTACCATCCTGACCAGGACTGTGGGACTTTGAGCAAGCCACCCAGCCTCCCCAGTCCTCTGTTTCAATGCTTGTCAAATGAACGAAGCTAGGCCAGGTAACACCCAGGGCCCTCTGACCTCTGTGATTCTAGAACTTTTTTTGTGTGTGTGTCCACCTCTGGTCTTATATCTAGATTATAAACAACATCAGGGAGAAAGCAGGGACCATAACTTGTGAATTGAAGAACAAATGCATTATTTAGTCAATTTTTCTGGGAGCTCAGTTGTTTAAAAGTATAAAAGAGGAAAGCCATTTCAGGGCATTTCAAATTATAATTGAGCGTTTTTCTTTACACTGGCAAGCGCCCATTTCAAGAGATATCAAATATTCATCTTTGACGCGATCATTCCTTTTAGAGGATTCAATTGACAGAAATAATCACAGATAAGGGCCAAGACTTACCCACAGAGATGTTCATCTCAGTGTTATTTATAACAAAGAATATAGGAGTAACTTCTGTTTCTAATACTAAAGGAATGCATAAGTAATTCACAGCATGTCTCTTTGACGTATTATCTTTTGCTAGAGAATAACTTGGAGGAAATGCTTGTGATATAATGTCAAGTTGGGGGATCAAAAGCATGATCCTAGATCAATTTTGCAGCAGGTTCATCTGCAAAATGGAGTAAAAAAAATGTGCAGCATGATCTCAGTTTTGAAGAAAAAGGAAAATTCACAGATAAGACCAGAAGAAAATGTGCCTCTGGTTAGTAAAATTATGGGTGATTTTCCCTCCCTAGTTCTTTGTACTTCCAAATGTTTGGCATCTATTACTTTGAAGCCCTCTTCTAAAAACAGTACAAAAATGGAACTTGAAAAAGCAATACCTTGCCAAAAGTACAGTCAGCTTTCTCACCTCTTCTCCGAGCAGCACATTTAAATACTGGATTCCTTCCTTTCTTCTTCACTTGCTGGGCATGAGATGTGGATGGCAGTGTGGCCCCAGCACTGACTCCTCACGATGCAGACACGGGGGCCTTTGAGACTGAGCTCTTCAGCAATTCCCGGCTTGGTGCAAATCGCTCCCTCCTAGGCTGTCAACAAGGGAGGATGAAGCCTGTATCTCAGCTCTTGACATCCTTTCAGTTCAGACACCTCAGGCTGGCAAGTCCACAGGCCAGAGCTGGCAGCCTGAGCTCCCTTCTCCCCCTCGAATCTGATGAGGAGATGAGGGAAGGGCAGGGAAGGCGGCACAGTGCCCAGTGGTTCAGGTCACAGGCTCCAGAGACAGGCTGAGCAGGGTTCCACATCCCAGAACCTGGAAACCCTTTGTACTTCTTGGATGTTCAGACAGAGACGAAGGAGGTGCCCAGAACAGTTGCGGGAATGTTCCTCTGAGATCAGAAAAGCAGTTGCCTCCTAGGCCTGCCTCTAATCAGCTGTGTGGTTTGGAGGACATCACTGTACGGGACCCCTTTCCATTCCTGCCAAATGAGTAGGTCAGACTTAACAGACTTCAAGATCACATCCATCTCTGTAAGGCTAATGTTTCATGTCTTGCTACTGCCACCTGCGGCCTTAGCTCTAAGAATCGACAAGGTTGTTAGTCTTCGTGCAGCCATGTTGAAGCCAGTTAATCTCAGCTGTGCAGACAGCGGGTCTCTCCTGGGCAGGGCAGATTCTCCCATCAGCACCGCTGGGTTTAAGAGACCACCGTGCCTGCTCTCCCCACAGAGCAGGCTCTGAGCCTTCCATGGCAACCACCCTGGAGCTGCTCCAAGGCCCCTCTTTCCTTTCCCAAGCCACACATGCTTTTAGCAGGGGCCTTATGGACTTCAGGTTCCTGCCACCATCACCTCCCACCCCAGGTATCTGATGCAGAGGAGGGTCTCTCCTGGTGGGAATTGCAGACCATTTCTGGGAGGTGACAGGTACCAGGGTTAGGCCAGGAGGATCTGCTCAGGAGGCAGGGCCTTTCATGGAATGATTTGACAAGAAGGGCTGGCCCCTCTGGGAGAAGAAGACAGGAGCAGAAACTCGGCATGTGTGTGCTGTATTTGTGGTGTGTGTCTACATATGTGTGCATGTGTGTGCATGTGTGTCTACATATGTGTGCATGTGTGTGGCTTTGGCATGATTAAAATTTTTGAAGTAGGAGGCAGAATTTGACATGGTTGTATGAGCCTCGCCAACAGACGACTCTTATAGCTTTTAAATTTACTGTCTTGACAAATTTCAGGCAGTTTTCACTGTCGGGAGACAGTTGGCCCAGTGGCTGACTTCATGTCCTTTGGTCTCCATGCACCTGGCACACATGCTTGCTATAGGAACGAACCAGGCAGTGGGCTGGCCAAGGGCAGAGCGGGTGGCCCTGAGATGGGAGGCCCAGAAGGCTGCCAAAGTTCATCGTGTAGCTTCATGACTTTGGAATCATTTCAAAATCCATTGGCAGCCTTTCTATTAGGTTATGTCCCTTAGAAATGTTTACACTGAGGCAAGAGAATTACTTGAACCTGGGGAGCGGAGGTTGCAGTGAGCCGAGATCGCGCCACTGCACTCTAGCCTGTGCTAGACATGCAAGACGTCTAGCCTGTGCTAGACGTGCTAGACTCTAGTCTGTGCTAGACTCTAGTCTGTGCTAGACGTGCAAGACTGTGCTAGATGGAGCAAGACTCCGTCTTAAAAAAAAAATGTCTTTTTACATTACAGAATGACCAAAGAGGAACAAGACTTACCTTCTAAGTGCCCACTGATGGTGTAGTTCATTGCAAGGATGTGTGACAGAGAAAGAGTGCTGGCCGAGCCGGGGCCTGGGATAGACCACAACTAATTGGTCCATGGGGACAGGGAGACAGGGCAGTGAAGAAGAGATCCACGGAAATGAGTGGGCTACAAACCCACTGGCACCAAGGGAAGGTTCACGGAGACCCATGGACTGTTTTTCCAGGCCTAAAGAATATTTTCTTTGAATCGTTTAGTCCAAGTTAGAAGGGCATGCCTAGCCGCTCATCCTCTCTGCTCCATCAACAGGAGCTGTGGGCAGAGAGAAAAGCCTGTGCAAGAAGGAGCTCTGCCAACCTCACTCCCAGCCGAGATCATCAACCACCCTCATCTGGGGTCCCAGTTTCCAAGGCCGAAATTCCATCAGCAGCTACCGGTATAAGTGAGACCACCAGAGTAGTCAGGGTGGTCTTGGGGAACTGGGAGGAGCTTCCTACATCTTGAACAAAGTAGTGGGTAGGTTTAGCTCTACTCCAGGGTTTCTCAAGTCTGCAAACTTTTGCAGCATCAGAATCATCTAGGGGCTTGTTTAAACACAGATCGCTGGGCCCCCAGCCTCAGGGTTTCAGATTCGGTAGGTCTGTAGAATTTGATAGGACTCCAGAATTTGCATTTTTTGACAGGTGCAATAGCATGAGCCTGTTGTCCCAACTACTTGGGAGGCTGAGATGGGAGGATTGCTTGAGTCCAGGTGTTCAAGGATAGCCTGGGCAACATAGCAAAATGATGTACATAAAAAAAAAATTGCATCTCTCACAACTTCCCAGAAGTTGAAGGCAGAAACCCACAGAGCGGGCTCCGAGTTCAGTGAAAAGCAGGAGGCTGAAGTCCCTGGGTCGGGCAGCTGGCTGGACCTGGTCAGGTCCCGGTGTCCCTGACTATGGCTCCTTGAGGGGAACAATCAGGCTGTGTTAGCTCTCTTTGCCGAGGCCTCTGCTAAATGTCACCTCCCCAGGAGGCTGTCCTCGAGCAGCCCCACTTACTCCTGACCACATCGTTCCCTGGACATTCTCTTTATCGCTCATCAGTACAGACGTTGCATTTCCTACTTAGTTGTTTATTGTCCACCCTATCCCATAACATGAATTTCTTGAGGGCAGTGGCTCTGTCCTGTCACCATTGAATCCCACCTCCTAGAATGACATCCGGCCCGTTGCTGATGCTCAGTCTGCATGCGTTGTATAACAGGGAATTTCCCATCCTTTGGAGGCAAACTGAACTCTTGGTGCTCCTAGCAGGTGATACAGAAAAGGTGGCCTTGGCTATGTCACTGACCCTAGTCAGTTCCCCAGGTCCTCAATGGATTCGTTTTGCAAAGTCTCAGCAATAGGTGTGGCAACAGGCAAGAACACAGCCTGTCGCTCCCAGCACCTCCCAGTCATTTCCCATGAGCCATCAGATGCCTGGAACCAAGAAAAAGAGGAAATGAGTGGAGACGTGGTGGAAATGATGATGCTTTTCCTGGGGGTCCCTAATGGTGACAAGAGCTCAGTTCCTCAGCACTGATAGTGCTCTGACCTCTGGTGTCTGGATAGCAGGCATCTGGCTCCCAATGTCTCTCTCTTTGGGGATGTCCCTGGTCCTCAGGAAGCCCACCCCAACTGGGGGCTCTGAGACTCTAGAGACGTCCATAGGGTGCAGGCAGGGCTCCACGGGTGCTTCTATAGGGCCAGTTATTGGAAGGCTGGCCACTATTTGACCATGAATGGAAGGACCCAGATGGCACTGAAGATTGTTTTTTTGTTGTTTTTTTTAAATTTTGAGACGGAGCTTCACTCTTGTTGCCCAGGCTGAAGTGTAATCACGAGAGCGTGATCTCGGCTCACTGCAACCTCCGACTCCCAGGTTCAAGTGATTCACCTGCCTCAGCCTCCCGGGTAGCTGGGATTACATGTGCCTGCCACAACATCTGGCTAATTTTTTGTATTTTTAGTAGAGACTGGATTTCACCATGTCGGCCAGGCTGGTCTCAAACTCTTGACCTCAGGAGATCCACCCACCTCGGCCTCCCAAAGTGCTGGGATTACAGGCGTGAGCCACCGCGACCGCCCGGCACTGAGGATTCTTAAGACACCAAGGAGCTCAGCCTTGTGTTCAGTAGACTATGAAGGGCCTGGGTATTTACCCTCCTGCCCACAGTAGTAATTCTTGGGAAATGGCCCATGTCCCTGTGGGGCAGCTGGCGGGACTGTAAGGTTGTCATGGTAACACAGCCTTTCCATCCTCTCTAGAGAGCAGGTCTGTCCTTCCCCTGGGGATTTGGAGAGATGCAATCCTCTCAGACATGGAAGGTCTGGATTCCCTGGGTGGGATGGATGATTTTGCAGTCGGGGGAAAGGCCGTGACAACAGGGGTGGCCCAGCTTACGGATGCCAGTGTTCCTCTGTCATTTACCTTGAGCCATCAGATGTTGGGATTGACCAAAGAGAGGACTTAAAGAAGGATATGACAAACGTGGCCTCTTTTCCATCTTCCTTTTCCTTCATGTATTCCCCCTAGTCCATCCAGAAGGATCTGTGGTATTTTGGGCCACTGTGACCCTCGGGAATCCTGGGATGTATTGGCAGGGCCAGAGCTGACCACAGTATCACTGCCTTCTTCACTCACCTCCTCAGCACACACTTCTCAGGTGCGCATGCAAGAATAGCAAGAAGAGCCAGGCTGTATTCATTTTCTGCTGCCACTATAAAAAATGGCCACAAACGTGGTGACTTAAAACTACATACATTTGTTCTCTACAGTCCTAAAGGGCAGAAGTCCTGAGTCTGTTTCACTGGGCTAAAGTCAAGGTGTCTGCAGGGCCGCATTCCCACAGAAGCACCAAGGGAAACTTCCTTGCCTTCTCTGGCTCTAGAGCTGCATTCCCCGGCTAGTGGCCCCTCCCTCCATCTGCAAAGCCCAAAGCCAAGGATCTCACTTCAGTGCTCACAAGGCCTTCTTCTGTATTGAATCTCTCTCTGCTTCCTTCTTACAAAGACCCTTTGATTACATTTATGTCCCACCTGGATAATCCAGAATAATCTCACCATCTCAAGAGTAAGTGAATCATATCTGCAAAATTCCTTTTGCTATATAAAGTAACATCCAGAGTTTCTAGGGATTAGGATGTGGACATCTTTGTGGGCAGCGGGGGCCATTATTCAGCCAGCCACACAGGCCTTGTCAGGACCTTGGCTCTCTTCCCCATTGACAGGTATGCCAACTGCCATGCCCCCTCCCCAGCCTTGGAATCCCTTCCCCAGTGGCTTCCCAGGGCTGGTCTCTCAGGCACCAGAAGTCCAGGTCCCTCCCACTGTCCCAGCCCGGCCACGAAACAAACCTGGAGAGGCACCTGTGACCCGCCCGGCCAGGAAGGCCATAGGGCCATAGAAGGTGAGATGAAAGATGGAGTCTAAAGGGGATGGCTGCACCAGGGCAGCTGCTCAGAGGTGAGGTGAACAGTAGCAGCCCTGCCTCAGATATCTACAAGAACCAGGGCCATGTGGGCTCCCCACACCTGGAGCTCCAGTTCTTCCTGGTCTGTGTTGAGGGGAGTGTGTGGATGAGGCCCGGGCTCCACTAATCCCTGCTGTGTCTGCACCCCGGTTGTGGGGTTGCCAGGTGGAACGTTGAACAAGGCTGGTCCACCAACCCCAAAGTTGGACTGGATGATGGACATCCAGTGTACATGCACGTGTGTACACACACACCCCTACACCCCAACACCCAGATGTCCCAGGCAGTGGCGTTGGGCTCAAAGTTGACCAGAGTAGTCCCGGACAAGGTGCCACAGCCTGGACGTGGAGCTCTGTGTAGCAGATTTGAAGGCCACCTTCCTGGGCTCCAGAGACTGAACTACTTCTTCTGTCATTTACACATCGGCAGTCTGAGGCTGAAGCACACACCTTTGTGGTTGCTTATTTATTTGTTTAGAGGTGGTTTTTAAGGGAAGGTCCCGGGAAGGGAGGACCTTCTGGAACTGTGTGTATCAATCTGTGTATGTGTGTGTCTCTAAGGATACAAATTTATTATAGTAAAAATTCTGTTTTACTAAATGTATCCTGGATTGGATCCTAGAACAGGGGGAAGAAAAGGACATTAGTGGAAAAACTGGTGAAATCAGAATAAAGTCTAGAGTTTAGTAAATAACCATGTACCAATGTTAATCTCTTCGTTTTAACAAATGTACCACAGTTATGTAAGATGTCAACGTCAGGGGAAACTGGGTGTGGAGTATACAGGAACGTTCTGTACTATCTTTGCAACTTCTATGTAAATCTAAAATTGTTCTGAAATAAAGCATTTATTTAAAAATTCAGTTTCAGCAGGGCATGGTGGCTCATACCTGTAATTGCAGCACTTTGGGAGGCTGAGGGAGGAGAATGACTTGAGCTCGGGAGTTTGAGGCTAGCCTGGGCTGCATAGTAAGACCCCATCTCTACAATTTTTTTTTTTAAATTAGTGAGGCATGGTGGTACGTGCTTGTAGTCCCAGCTACTTGGGAGGCTGAGGCGAGATCGTTTGAGCCCAGTAGGGGGAGGCTTCAGTGAGCTGTGATTGTGCCACTGCACTCCAACCTAGGCAACAGAGCAAGACCTGGTCTCCAAAAAAAAAAAAAAAAAAAAAAAAAAAGGCCAGGCGCAGTGGCTCATGCCTATAATCCCAGCACTTTGGGAGGTCAAGGCGAGTGGGTCACCTGAGGTCAGGAGTTCGAGACCAGCCTGGCCAACATGGTGAAACCCCGTCTCCACTAAAAATACAAAAATTAGTCAGGTGGTGCACAACTGTAATCCTAGCTACTTGGGAGACTCAGGTAGCAGAATTGCTAGAACTGCCTCCAGGAGGCGGAGGTTACAGTGAGACGAGATCGTGCCAGAGTCAGACTCCATCTCAAAAAAAAAAAAAAATCAATTTTAAACCCAATATTGAAATTCAGTTGAAACCCAATTTCAGTTTTAAAACCCAACATACAATATTGCTTTGGGAGTTAATCTAGCAAATCTGCTCTTTTGTTCAATTTTTATTTTTTATTGAGGTGTAACATATATGCAGTAGGGCACACAAATCTTTTGTTTTGTTTTGTTTTGCTTTGTTTTTGTTTTTAGACAGAGTCTCGCTCTGTTGCCCAGGCTGGAGTGCAATGGCGCGATCTCGGCTCACTGCAATCTCTGCCTGCTGGGTTCAAGTGATTCTCCTGCCTCAGCCTCCTGACTAGCTGGGATTACAGGCGCACGCTACCAGGCCTGGCTAATTTTTGTATTTTTAGTAGAGACAGGGTTTCACCATGTTGGTCAGGCTGGTCTCAAACTCCTGACCTCGTGATCCACCTACCTCGGCCTCCCAAAGTGCTGGGATTACAGGTGTAAGCCACCGAGCCCGGCGGCACACAAATCTTTTGTGTATAGCACATCAAATTTTTACACACGAAATCATCCACATAACCAGCCCCAGATCAAGCAATAGAACACCCAGCAGCCTCCCTCTTGCTGTGTCCCAGTCAACAGCTCCCCTCCACCAGGAGCAGCCACTATCCTGACTGATAGACCATAGTTTAGTTTTGTCTGTCCTTGAACTTCATATAAATAGAATAATAAGGTGTGTACTCATTCGAGTCTGATATCCTTCACTCGTCATGATGTCTGAAAACCATCCATGCTAGTGTGGAGAGCAGTAGTCCACTCTTTCACTGTTGTGTATTATAATATTCCACTTCATGAATATGCCCTTCTTTTTTTTCCTTTTTTTTTTTTTTTTTTTTTTTTTGAGACGGAATTTCACTCTTGTTGCCCAGGCTGGAGTGCAATGGCGCAATCTCAGCTCACTGCAAACTCCACCTCCCAGGTTCAAGCAATTCTCCTGCCTCAGCCTCCCTAGTGGCTGGGATTACAGGCACCTGCCACCACGCCTGGCTAATTTTTTGTATTTTTTAGTAGAGGTGGGGTTTCACCATGTTGGCCAGGCTGGTCTCGAACTCCTGACCTCAGGTGATCCACCGGCCTCAGCCTCCCAAATTGCTGGGATTACAGGCGTGAGCCACCAAGCCCAGCCCCTAATTTACTTATTTATTTTACTTTCTATTGACATTTGGGTTGTTTCCAGTTTAGGACTCTTGTGAATGAAGCTGCTGTAAACAATCTTCTATGTGTCTTCGGCAGCTATGAACATTCATTTCTCTTGGATATGTGCTCCAGAGTAGAACTGCTGGGTCATGGAGTATTTACATGTTTTGTTTTGGTGGATTCCACCAAATCGCTTGCCAAAGTGGTTGTGTCAGTTACTTTCTGCCAGAAAGATACTAGAGTTCCAGTGGCTCCACATCCTTGTTGATATTTGCTGTTGTTAATCTTTTAAATGTGGGCATTCTAGGAGATAAGTCTCTCACAGTTTTATTTTGCATTCCTCTGATGACTAATGATGTTGAGCAATTTAGGAGCCTTTAGAATATTCTCCTTTGTGAAGTGCAAGAGGATATATCCACATCCCAGAATCTGTGAATGGGACTTTATTTGGAAGAAGTGTCTTTGCAAATGTAATTAAGTTCAGGATCTTGGGAAATAAGATCCTCCTGGGCCGGGTGCAGTGGTTCATGCTTGTAATCCCTGCACTTTGGGAGGCCGAGGCCAGTGGATCACTTGAGGCCAGAAGTTCGACACCAGCCTGGCCAACATGGTGAAACCCTGTCTCTACTAAAAACACAAAAATTAGCTGGGCATCATGGTGCATGCCTGTAATCCCAGCTACTTGGGAGGCTGAAGCGGGAAAATCGCTTGAACCCGAGAGGCAAAGGTTGCAGTGAGTTGAGATGGTGACACTGCACTCTAGTCTGGGCAACAGAGCAAGACTCTGTCTCAAAAAAAAAAAATCACCCCGAATTATGTGAGTGGGCCCTAAATCCAGTCAGTGACAAGTGTCCTTATAAACATAGAAGAGAAGACACAGGAGGAGGAGGAGATGTGGCCACGTGAGGATCGAGGCAGGGACTGGAGTGATGCGATCACAAGGCAAGGACCAGCGAGCGTTGCTGGGAGCCGGCAGAAGCTGGAAGAAGCAGGGAAGGCCCCCCTCACCAGGGTCTCCAGAGGGCACAGAGCCTCTCAGACATGTTGATTTCAGGCTTCTGGCCTCCAGAAAGAACGGTGAGAGAACAAATTTCTGCTGCTTTAAGCCACCAAGATTAAGGTACTTTGTTCTAGCAGCCTTAAGACGCTAATACAATGACTTAAGCTCGCTTAATTTTCCCAGACCATGCCTTACTTCCTGCAAAGCTATTCTCCATGCTGTCTGCCCCAAAGCATTGGCAAGGACACATACACAAATACACACACATGAACAAACATGCACACAGACACACAGACACACGAACACACAGGCACACACAGACGCACATGGACACACACAAACATATGCACATGCAGACACACATGGACACACATGAACACACATGCACACACAGACACACACATAAAAACACGCCCATGCAGACACACATGGACACACAAGCACACACAGACACACACACAAAAATACATGCACATGCAGACACACATGGACACACATGCACACACATCCACACACAGTCACACATAGACACACGAACACACATGCACACACAGACACAAACACATACACACACAGACTCACACTGACATACATGAACACACATGCACGCAGACACATGGGCACACACAAACACATGGACGCACATGAACACACATGCACATGCATATACGCACTCGAACACAGATGAACACACATGCGCACACAAGCACACATGGACACACTTGAACATGCATGCATATTTATGCACACACTAGCACACATGAACGCACATGCACGTGCAGACACACGTGGACATGAACGAACACACATGAACACACATGCGAACACACAGGCACACATGGACACACACGAACACACATGCACACGCAGGCTCACACGAACACACATAAACACACATGCAAACACACATGCACACATGGCACACCCGAACACACATGAACACACATGCACACGCAGACACACGGACACACATGAACACGCACAAACACGTATGCATGGACACACACGAACACACATGCACACAGAGACACATATAGACACACACGAACACACGTGCACATGCAGACACACACAGATACACACACATCTCTGCTAATTTACACCATGGTCTTCCATCTCAGTTCTTCCCCAGGAACATAAGGAATGGTTCCCAAGAAGGAAGGAGTTGAACTAGAAATTTGTCAAGACCTACACAAAGCTGGGGGTAGGGGACAGGCAGACAAGGTGACAGCTGCGCTGCAGGACCCTCCACGCCTTCCCTATGGAGGGGCTATGGGAAGCCAGACACTTTTGGTTTCTGGGCTGAAAATAGAACCTTTTGGGAAGACTGGAACCACGCAGGAGGAAAAGAGCAAGAGGTGCACCTCTCTCCACACACGGGCGCCGAAGGGAGCCCAGAGTGGCCCCCACGTCCAGGGGCCACGGGAAGGAGAGGCAGCCGCAGAGCCTCCGAGCTGGGTGTGCAGGTGAAAGGCAGGCCCTTGAGGTGGGCACCACAGGCTCACTGAGGCAGGTACTCAGCTGGGAAGGCTTGCTTCAGGGTGAACATGAGAAAGACAATCTCCTCGTAATCATTGGCTTCGTACAGACACCCAAACAAGGGGGACCCATCAGGGCCGGTGCCCATGCTCTGGAGGTCTGAGTAGGCACAGCTGCCCTTGGCCAGCAGTACCGGCTCTGACCAGGCCTCAGGGGCTGGAGGTCGCGGGTTGAGGTAGGCACCCAGGTCGGCCCTCTGCCAGGAGTGTGTGGGGTGAGTGTAGAGCAGCCACTGGGCTGGGGAGCCAGGCCCCGAGCGGGGGCTGGGGAAGCTGATGACGCTCCCCTGGCAGCCCTGGGGCGGCGGCTCCACCAGCTTCTTCACCAGCTGAGACTCCTGGAAATCAAGCCCGTCATTGGTGCTCTGGGCCTGGACCCTGGCTCGGAGGTGGCTTCTCGCGTTGAGGGTCACCACCCTCTGCTCCCCAGTCTCGACTTCGGCCACCTGGCACTCCAGGGTGTCCTGGGCCACAAAGTGCCCTCGCGCCCACGTGCGCCCATGGTCATGGCTGAGGAAGCAGAAGGCAGAGGGGATCGGCCTTTGGATGGGGTGAAGTTTCCGGTAGGCGTAGGCGGGCACCACCAGGCTCCGGGCCCTGTCGTGAAGCTGCAAACAATGCCCCGGGCCCACTGCAAAGGTGGACCACTCCCGGTAGGCTGGGCCGATGGCCGCATCAGTGAGGTCTCTGGGGGAGCTCCAGGTCCTCCCGTGGTCAGTGCTGGTGACTTGGCACAGCCGCGTCACATTGGCCCTGGTCTGCAGCTGCTGTTGCTCCGTGACTTGCCCAGGGATGGCAATGAAGAAGAGGAAGAGGGTCCCCGTCTGCGCGTCATACAAGGGGCATGGGTTCATGGACCGGTGGCCATCCAGCCGGGCCTGGGCCACCACCTCCTGAGCTTGCCACTGAGTAGGGAGAGAGAAAGAAGAAGGCAGCCTTGAAACAGCTGGGGATGGTGCCAGGAGCTGCATGAGTGGGAGGGGTGGGCACGGGTGTGTCTCCCGGGTTAGAGTCAAAAGTCATCGAGAAGAACTCTTCACCCAACACTCATATCCTCCTTGCAACGTTTCCCCAGAGCTGCGGGGCCCAGGGTGCCACCTCACCCCTCCAAGGCAGCCACACTCGGCTGAGTGATTCTGTTCCTTCCATTGCCATCAATATGCATTTACAGAACACCCACCTGCCAGACCACAAGATATGAAGATGACTCGTGCATGAGCCATTCCCAACTTCATCCTGGTTCCTCCACTTCCCACCCCAGTCCAGCTCACCATCCTTGAATAGCAAAGCCCTGGCGGAAGGTGCAATAACCTGACCAGTACAAGACAGAATGTGACGGTCACCTCTCACCTTCTACACTCCATATCCTACTCATGTAGCCAAGGAGGAGTCACATTGAGCTTCCAGAATCCCCAAGTCTATGTCACATGTGCTGTCTGTCCCCATTTATTAACAGCTACCCCCATTGGGCAATTCTAAGCACAGACACAGCACCAAAAGTCTAACATCCATGGTCTCATCTAATGCCTCAATCCCCAGGGAACAGGTGTTAGTAGCTCCATTATTACAGTGAGCAAGAGACCGCGACAGGGAGGAGGAGTTGCCTAGGCCACATCTGTGGTCAGTGGCGGAACCAGGACTTGAACCCAGGTCCATCTGCTTCAAATCCCATGCTTTGAACAGCTGTGTAGTAATGACCACAAAGGAATGATAATAATATTAAACTCTTCAAATATGATCAGCCAGCCTTGGGTGCTGTCATCAGGATTAATTATTTAATCTATAAAATGGGACTTTAGGACACAAGCCATCACCCCACCCCAAGTCCCCAAGTTAATTTTACTCAAAGGACACAACCCTCCATTATGCAACACTGAACTATTCCTCCGTGAGGTCATCACGGATGCTGGGCAACTCATTCAATCTTTCATGAAAACAGATGGAGGCCAGCTGGACTAATTCACAGTGAACCCAGAGGTCCAGGGAACCATTAGGGGCACTTTCTCTGCTCTATCTCTCCTCCGGAGTACAGCCATTGAGGGATAAAGTTGTCCCTGTATTTCTTGAGATCCAGGACTGGCCCCTGATCACAGCAGCAAAGGGTGTGGCAGAGCCCTGGGGAGCCAGTGCAGACACCTCCTGCCTCACCTGAACCTGGTGGGTGGGTGCGTCGTAGTCTCCTCTGCGCAGGACAATCAGCTCTGCGTGCTCATCCTTCTTGCTTGCCCGCTGTTCCGCGAAGGCCAGCAGGGACTGCTGCCCAGGCAGGTAGAGCAGGGCAGGGATTCTGTAGGCATGGGCTCCCGACTGGAACACGCTCTCCTTCTGCAGGACAGGAAGGGACGCCATGGGGCTGGGGGGTGGACAGGAAGAGAAGATGTGTCACCTGCAGCCACACCTGAGATGGGCTCAGAGTCATTCACCAAGACAGGTGGTGCTCACCCCCTGGCTGAGTGGACCAAAGTCAGGGCGGCCTGTCCTCTTCCCGCGTGGGGTTCATTCTCCTTTCCTACATCTCAAGACCCTGCTTCTTAATTCTGCCTTTGCCTCGGTGGATATCGGGAGGGGGTATTGCAAAAGCGTGTTTTGGATTCGATTTTTATTCTAAGTTAACAATGCTCCTTACAACAGATTTTCGATAACCTCCAGCTGCTTTTGCCAAACCCAGCCCATCAATCCAGGGGCAAACCTCGGGAGGACAGCAGTGCAGGCCGGGTGGCATTCGGCAGCTGCCCAAATGCCAGAAAGTGACACATGGGAGCTTTTTATAACTCCAGAGCCCTAGAAAGTTGTTTCAAAGAAAAGGAAAA
Organism: Homo sapiens; assembly: GCF_000001405.40. NCBI lineage: Eukaryota > Metazoa > Chordata > Mammalia > Primates > Hominidae > Homo > Homo sapiens. Next base: position 233,032,210 of record NC_000002.12, on the reverse strand, counting down.
AGAAAAAGCATGGCTTCTAAGGCTCTGCTCCCCAGGCTGCCTGAGGCTGAGGCCCGTCTGCCCCCGCTGCTGCGTGGGCTCCCCCTGAGGCAGCGAGGGGGCGGCGCTGCAGTGGGAAAGGAAGAGACAGGGGCTCCTGACAGCTAACCCAGGCTGGGGGCGTGGGGTGCTCCAGAGGTCTAAGAAAATAACAATTAAAAATAAGTCTTCAGCTAAAAAGGGTAGGGAGGGGACAGAGGTAACTTGGGGACAGTGGGTGACAGTGATTTTCGGGCTAAGCTGCCTAGGTCCCTTTAGGAGGATGCATCCCGCAGCTCTGGGGAGTGTTGGCTGCAGGGCCCTGGCCTGGGGAGGATGGGCCAGTTGTTCCCAGATGAAGAATCTGCCCCAGGTCATACCCAAGAAGGGCTGCTTGATGATTGGTCCACTCAGAGCCTGAAGACCCTCTTCCTGAACTCCTGACCAGGAACAGTGCGGCTCCGGAGCTCCCTCCGGGCGGCTGGGCCTTCCCTGAGACTGCATTACAGCCGCCTCTTTCTCTGCTGCTCCTCCCTTTCCCCCAGAGGCTCTTGCCTGCCGTGGGTCTCCGTGTCAGAGCCGGCGTCCTGGGCACCCCGTCTGAGACACAGCCTTTGCAGAGGGCAAGTGGGCAAGAGGCCAGCAAGAGGGGCAAGGTTTGCCTTTGTGCACCCTTTTGTACTGCTCTCATTTTTCTACCACATGCATGCGTTATCTATTTAAAACTTAGCTTCTTTGAGAAATAAATGTAATCTATCAGTCTTTCATTCAACCACAGTGAACGTTAATATTAGGACGATGTGAGAAAATAAAACTGAGAAGGGCAAAAGCTGCACAAGGAAAAAATGTGCTATTCCCTGAACTTCGGTGGGAGATTCATGGCTTGGTGATAGAATCACCAAATTATAATCCAAGGACACAGGCCTTGATAGGTATCGGGAGGCCTATGCTGAAACGCTGTTAGAAAATGTCAGCAGGAAAGAATCAAATATGATAACAAGTAAAAATGAAAATGGAGAACTGTGCAGTTTCACAGTGTTCTCTGGAAAATTGATCAAGGATTTATTTAAGCTCCATAGAGTGGGCTCTGGAAAGTGTCCTTGATGGAAATTCAGCAGAGTTGGTATAATTCAGTTTAAAATGTTTGTATTTAAAATGTCCTCAGGGCCAAAATTTCTGTATGGATTACAATGGCTGGCCTTCTCTACACAATGTGGGAGGAAAGGAGAGAAGAAGTTTAGCTGAGGAAATCTTTTTTTTTTTTTCTTTTTTTTTAGATGGAGTTTCGCTCTTGTTGCCCAGGCTGGAGTGCAATGGCGAGATCTCGGCTCACTGCAACCTCCGCCTCCCAGGTTCAAGTGCTTCTCCTGCCTCAAGCTCCCGATTACAGGCATGCACCACCATGCCCAGCTACTTTTGTATTTTTAGTAGAGACGGGGTTTTTCCATGTTAGTCAGGCAGGTCTCGAACTCCTGACCTCAGGTGATCCTCCCGCCTCAGCCTCCCAAAGTGCTGGGATTACAGGCATGAGCCACCACGCCCGGCCAGCTGAGGACATCTATAAAGACATTCTAGAGGGAAAACAAGACAGAGACGTCTTCGGGAGGAATCACAAGGCAAGACACACACCAGGCCTTTGGGGTTGAGTAGGGGTCCAGCCTAAGGCCTAGGAAACCGGGCTGATGGGCTCCATGAGGTGAGTGTGACCAGAACTGGTGGCTCATGCCTTAGAGAGAAGATGGGGCAAGGGAGAGAACAGAGGCTTCAGGCTAGAACTAGGGAGCAAAGCCACTGGCTGGCCCACCCTCAAGAAGAGAACCACTCTCAATGCTTACAATTGAGATATGTGACCAGGCACAGTGGCTCACGCCTGTAATCCCAGCAGTGGGAGAGGCAGAGGCAGGTGGATTGCTAGAGTCCAGAAGTTCCAGACCAGCCTGGGCAACATGGCAAAACCCCATCTCTACAAAAAATACAAACATTAGCCAGTCATGGTGACACATGTCTGTAGTTCCAGCTACTCGGGAGGCTGAGGTGGAAGGATTGCTTGAGCCTGAGAGGTGAAGGTTGCAGTCAGCTGAGATAGCACAACTGCACTCCAGCCTGGGCAACAGAGTGAGACCCTGTCTCGAAACAAAAAATAAAATAAAATAGAGATATAATTCACATATTATAAAATGTACCTTTTAGAAGTGTATGATTCAGGCTGGGTGCAGCGGCTCACGCCTGGAATCCCAGCACTTTGGGAGGCCGAGGCGGGTGGATCACCTAAGCTCAGGAGTTTGAGAAGTGTATGATTCAGTGGTTTTTTTAGTATTTTCATAAAGTTATACAGCCATCACCACTATCCAATTCCAGAATATTTTCACCACCCCAAAAGAAATCCCATACCTGTGAGCAATCACTCCCCTGTCAATGAAAACAGTCAAACTCTGTAAAATATTTGAAGAGATTTATACTATACTATACTATACTATTTATATATTTGGCTATAAAAGAGATTTATAGCCAAGTATGAGTAACAAATGGCTCGTGACACAGCCCCAGGAGATCCTATGTGCCCAACGTGGTCAGAGTACAGCTTGGTTTTATACATTTTAGGGAGACTTAAGACATAAATCAATACATGTAGGATGTACATTGGTTCCGTCTGGAAAGGCGGGACAACTTGAGGTGGGAGTAGGGAAGGCAGTTTCCAGATCATAGGTAGATTCCAAAAATTTTCTGATTGGCAGTTGGTCAAAAGAGTTTATCTAAAGACCTGGAATCAGTAGAAAGGAATGTCGGGTTAAGATGAGCGGTTAGCTGGGCGCAGTGGCTCATGCCTGTAATCCCAGCACTATGGGAGGCTGAGATAGGCGGATCACGAGGTCAGGAGATCGAGACCATCCTGGCTAAAACGGTGAAACCCCGTCTCTACTAAAAATACAAAAATTAGGTGGGTGTGGTGGTGGGCGCCTGTAGTCCCAGCTACTCGGGAGGCTGAGGCAGGAGAATGGCATGAACCCGGGAGGCGGAGCTTGCAGTGAGCCGAGATTGCGCCACTGCACTCCAGCCTGGGCGACCGAGGGAGACTCCGTCTCAAAAAAAAAAGATGAGCTGTTGTGGAGACCAAGGTCTCATCACGCAGAGGCCGCCAGGTGGCAGGCTTCAGAGCTCTTCGCAGACCTAAAAAGATGCCAGAGTCTTAGTTAATTCTCTCCTGGATCAGGAAAAGGCCTGGAAAGGGAAGGGGATTCTCTACAGAATGCAGATGTTTCCTCACAAGAGACAGCTTTGCAGGGCCATTTCAAAATAAGTCAAAGAAATACATTTGGGGGTAAAATACTTTAATTTCATTCAGGACCTGCTATCTGTCCTGATGCTATACTAGAGTTAGTTTGGAATTTGGTGTCTTATTGCTACAAAAAGTCTGTTTCATCAGCCTTAAGATCTGTTTTAGTCAGGTGCGGTGGCTCACGCCTGTAATCCCAACACTTTGGGAGGCCGAGGCAGGTGGATCATCTGAGGTCAGGAGTTCAAGACCAGACTGGACAACATGAAAGAATCCCTGTCTCTACTAAAAATACAAAAATTACTCAGGCATGGTGGCACATGCCTGTAATCCCAGCTACTTGGGAGGCTGAGGCAGGAGAATTGCTTGAACCTGGGAGGCGGAGGTTGCAGTGAGCACTCCAGCCTGGGTGATAGAGCGAGACTCCGCCTCAAAAAAAAAAAAAAAGATTTGTTTTAATGTTAATGCTGGTCAGCTGTATCTGAATTCCAAAAGGAGGAAGGTGGGAGACACGTCTGACCTCTGACCCCCACTCCCCATCATGGTCTGAACTAGTTTTTCAGGTTAACTTGGGAATGCCCTTAGCTGAGGAAGGGTCCACTCAGTTGGCTGAGGGGGCTTAGCATTTTACTTCTGATTTACACTCCATTACCCAGTCCCCTCAGCGCCTGGCAACCACTCATCTATGTCCTGTCTCTCTGGATTTGCCTATTCTGGCCATTTCATGTAAATGCAGTCATATGCTATGCGGCCCGTGGACTGGCATCTTCCACCAAGCACCATGTTTCCAAGATTCGTGCAGGTTGTAGCATGGGTCAGTACCTCATTCCTTTTCATGGCTCAGTAATATTTGATTGTATGGCTACACCACAGCTATGGTTTGAATGCTTGTATCCTCTTCAAAATTCATGTCAAAACTTAATTCCCAAAGCAATAGTATTAAGAGGTAGGACCAGGCCGTGAGGATGGAAGAGACTAGAACCTTTATGAAAGAATTTGGGGAAGTGGTTTGTCCCCCTCCACCATGTGAGGACACAGTGTTCATCCCCTCCAGGGGATGCAGCAACAAGGCACTGTTAGATATGAGTTCTAAATTTCTTTTCAAAGAATTAATATGTCAGTATGTTCAATTCTTTGCCTTCTACTTTTAAACTTAACTTCCTCATAAAGCAACCTTTTTCGATTACCTTTCCACCCTGACTCATTCCGATTATTCCGATTACCTGCTACCTGCTCTGCCCTGATTCCCGCCAAATCACTTATCCCATCATTCCCTTTAAATTGGCCAATAGGAATTAGTTTAGCCTGTGCGGTCCAACCCTACCCAATAGGGGAACGACACAGCAGTAGGGGCCACGTGAGTCAGGGATAAGAACCCCTTCCCCTCCCTTGTCCAAGTGAGTGCTCACCATTGCTCCATCTGTAAGAGCACACCCTTCTATAGAAGTAACTTGTCTTGCTGAGAATTAAAAAGAAAATTTTATATTTGAGTGCTATTCCTTTTGTGGCACCAAAACTTTATATATAACAGCACCATCTTGGAAGCAGAGACCGAGCCTTCACCAGATATTGAACCTGCTGGTGTCTTGATCTTGGACTTTCCAGCCTCCAGAGAAATAAACTTCTATTATTTATAAATTACTCAGTCTGTGGTATTTTGTTACAGCAACACAAATAGACTAAGTCACTTTTTTTTTTTTTTTTTTTGAGACAGAGTCTTGCTCTGTCTCCCAGGCTGGAGTGAAATGGTGCGATCTTGGCTCACTGCAACCTCCACCTCCCAGGTTCAAGTGGTTCTCCTGCCTCAGCCTCCTGAGTAGCTGGGATTACATATGCACACCACCAGGCCTGGCTAATAAGTCACATTTTATTTATGAATTCATCAACGGATGGGCATTTGGGCTGTTTCTGGTGTTTTGGGCTATTTTGCCTAATGCTGTTATGAACACTAGTGTACAAGTTTTTGTGCAGATATATGCCTCCAGTTTTCTGGGGTATCTGCCTAGGAGTGGAATTGCTGGGTCATACAGTCATTTTGTATTTACCTTTTTGAGGATCTGCCAAATTATCTTCCACAGCAGCTATACCACTCCACATTTTCACAGGAAATGTGCGAAGGTTCCAATTGCTCCACATCCTCATCAACACTTGGTATTATGTCCTTTTAGTTATTTTGATTCCAGCCTTCCTAGTGGGTGTGAAGTGGCATCTCACTGTGGCTTTTGATTTGCATTTCCCTGATGACTAAGGAGGCTAAGCATCTTTGCATGTGCTTCTTGGCCATAGGAGTTGGATTTTAGCCTGGAGGCAATGGGAAGATTTCAAACATTTTTAGACAAGGGAGCGACCCAAGCTGATTTATTTTTAGTAAGTGCCCCTTTTGGTTTCGGGGGGAATAGCACAGAAGGTGAGTATGTTGCAGTTTTCCAGGTGAGATCAAACAAAAACCTGGATGAAGCAGAGACAGTGGTGACTGGGAGGGGCCTGGTTCTTAGAGAGCAGAGGAATCAACATGATCAGGAAAGCAAACCGGGGGAGGCTTTGGGAACACATGAGGTTAAAGTATTTGGAACTGATTTCCATAGTGTCTGTGACTGTGTTCCAGATTCCTCCTTTAGATTCTAATCTCTCTTTTTTTTTTGAGATGGAGTTTTGCTCTTGTTGCCCAGGCTGGAGTGCAGTGGCACCATCTTGGCTCACTGCAACATCTGCCTCCAGGGTCCAAGCCATCCTCCTGCCTCAGCCTCCCAAGTAGCTGAGATTACAGGCTCCTGCCACCATGCCTGGCTAATTTTGTATTTTTAGTAGAGACAAAGTTTCACCATGTTGGTGGGGCAGATCTCGAACTCCTGACCTCAGGTGGCCTGCCACCTCAGCATCCCAAAGTGTTGGGATTACAGGCGTGAGCCACCATACCCGGCCTAGATTCTAATCTCTTTGAGGGTGGGGACAAAGTTATTATTTCTTGCAGCAAGTATTTACTGTGTTCCTACCATGTTCCTGGCATGGATCTAGGAACTTGGGTTACATCATCAGTAAACCAGACCAAGATCCTTGCTCTCGTGGAATTTGCATTCTTCGGGGGATGGAAGGGTTACGATTGTTGCCAAACACCTAGCTAGGGTTTGCAAGGACCAGAACCTGTACAAGCACTTTACAGGGATCACCTCTTTTGCCCTCACTAATCCCGGACTCTGTAAGACCTGGAAGGTGTGGAGTGATGCTCCTTATGGAAGAGATGACAGCGTGGAGGCAGAAAGCTGGGGACTCCTCCTCGCCCCAACCTCTATGCAATCTGCTGGTCTTTCAAGTGTTTGTCTTATGTGTATGTCGAGACAAAGCTGGGCACTGGAGGTTGGAAAGAAAAACAGGACCCCAGGGTCAGCTTGAGGGCTCTTATCTCTCATCCTCAGCAATGCCTCAGCCCTGGCCCCAACTCACACCCACCCACATCAATCCCCAAGTGTCCTCATAAGAATAATACCAGGCCGGGCGCAATGGCTCACACCTGTAATCCCAGCACTTTGGGAGGCTGAGGCTAGCAGATCACCGGAGGTCAGAAGTTCAAGACCAGCCTGGCCAACATGGTGAAACCTCTTCTGTATTAAAAATACGAAAATTAGCTGGGCATGGTGGCAGGCACCTGTAATTCCACCTGCTCGGGAGGCTGAGGCAGGAGAATCACTTGAACCCAGGAGACGGAGGTTGCAATGAGCCAAGATCGTGCCACTGCACTCCAGCCTGGGTGACAGAGCGAGACTCTGCCTCAAATAATAATAATAATAATAATAATACCAAACACTTATAAGACTTATATGGCCTTACAAAGTGCTGGACACTCTTTCGGTGCTCTCCAATATTTTCTTAAAATGTTTATAAATTGTATTTACAAATTTTATTATTGACAATACAATTGACAAATATTGATTCCTCTAACCCTTGCAACACCCTACCAAGTAGCTGTTGTAATTATCCCATTGTACAAATGAGGAAACCGAGCTCACCTAACCTTCAAGTGGCAGAGCTGGGACTAAAGACGCTTCTAAGCCCACACAGCACTCCCTCCGAGAGAAGTCCTGAAAACGCCGGCACCTCATTAAATTCCATGCCAGGCTTTAGCACGTCTTATAAACGGCTGGCTCACCTTGACCCAGCCCCCTGGCTCCAAACATTGGCAGCTGCTCTAGGCTGATATAGTGGGAAGAGAACTGAATTAGGAGTCCAGAAATTTGGATTCTGGTCCTAGGTCCACTCCTAATAGTTTGTGCACCTTTGGCAAGAATCTACCTTCCTGGGTTCAGCTGCCCCATCTGGTGGGAAGGGAGCTGTGTGAGGTGCCCGCCCAGGCCCCTTCCATTGCTAGGGGCTGAGCCTAAATGAGGATCAAGGGGGTGTGGGTGGGGAAGGAGCTGGAAGCTGAATCCCCCTGGGTGGGGTGGACAAGGGTCTCAGCAAAACCCAGCCTCACACTCGAGTAGCCAGACAATGTCAGAGGTGACACTATCAGGTTGAATTCTGAGAAATTGCCATTTTGTAGGTTAAAATAGCCAAACAGGAGCAATTTCATAGGATCCCACTAAGGCTACCAGTGGCTGGTGCTGCTCTGGCCTTGCCGGTACCAAACCCAGAGCCAAGCGTCTCACACGTGAAATCTCACTTCTCCCACGCAGCCCCTTCACATCCTATCACAGATGCGGGGAAACAGAGAAGTGGGTCAGAGAGGCTTCTCCAGGAGCGCACAGCCAGTTGGTGGTGGATGAGTGGATCTGAGCCTGGATCTGCCAGATTCCAGAACCCAACCACTGGGGTTTCCTGCCATGAGCCTCACAGCTGGGATTCTGATGTCTGAACATTCTGTGAAGTCCCTGACAAAAGACAACATCGGGGGACCCCTGTCCGGCTTCTCTCCATGTCTTGTTGGGAACACAACCTTGTGAGCACCTTGCAACGCCTGGGGCCTCCCCGCTGGCATTCACCTTGCCCGCTGCAGGGAGATGCTTGGCATTTCACAGATCTGTATGGAGCACCTTCCAGTGCGGGAAACAGATAAATAGAGAAGCCCTGGTCCCTGCCTCCGGGATTCCACAACAACCAAAGGGAGTCAACAGTTGTGGGGAGTGGGGAAGTGGTGGCCTGGGCGGCTTTTCCCAGAGGAAAAGCCTTTGTTCTTGGCTGAGTTTGGGGTGGGACTTGACCTGCTGGTTCCCACATCAGAATAATGCCATCTCTCCCAACAGCAGGCAGCTCTGCCTCCGGTCAGCTCACCGCACTGGCAGAGCAACCCTGGAGGTAGCAAGCCCCACGCATGGTCAGCCTCTCTCCCCAAGAAAAACCCATTTCCAGTGGGTTCCACAAGTCCGCTTGGCCCCATGCTTTGCGGGAATTCCCAGGCCAAACTGAGAGCTGCGGTTTTGACCCCAAGCTGGTCCAGGACTGTGGGGCCTCCTCTTGGGAATTCAAACCAGCGGTGACTTTAGGACAGAATCAGGGAGTGTTTCTGAGCTGGCTGAACTTACTGAACTGAGCCTTCTGCACACGGTCCCATCCAACATGACCGCTGGACAGCCCAAGAACCAAGCGGGGTGCAATCCCAGTGGGTGTGGAGGGGCCGTGACTGTCATGCTCTTTAAAATGGCCCTTGTCAAGGCATTTCCAAACATCACACCCCGCTTCAGAATTATCCAGCAGGAACAACAACTCTTGTTTATATCAACAAAGGAACTGTGTGAGTCAATTTAGAGATAAGCCGTACCTCCAGGAGTGTCTCAAGCCAGATCGAGATCAGGGCCCAGTTGTGAAGTCGGGGTGTGTGTCCAGAAGTGGTGGGAGCCCAACTTCTAGAAGCGCCGTGACTCCTGCATTGCCCTGGACTCTCCTCAAGTCTCAGCGCCTCCTCTATCAGGTCCATGCCCTATATACACCTAAGGGAGTCCCCAGTATCTGCCTCCCACTCATCTGACCAAGCACGTTCCAGGAACGATGGCAGCATGTAGGCCCAGCCCTGGCCCAATTAGGATGCGAGGGCTCATTAGTCAGGAGGAAGTCTGTCCAGCTCTCCACGCAGGCAGGCCTGAATCAAAGGATGAGCCATGAGCCATTTCAGTTAATGTCGCTCTTCAAGTGGATGCACTGAGCAAAATGTGTGCTCAGCAGGATGGACTTCCCAGGGCCCGGGAGAGTCTGGAAAGCTCAGGGGTGAGGAGCCAGGCAGGACTTGGCTGCTCTTCTGGTTTGGCCACATACTACATGGGTGAGTGGGGCCACTTTTCTGGCCTTTTGGGATCTCAGTTTCCTCCTCTGAAAAATGAAGGTAAAAATATCATAATAGGGCCTGGCGCAGTGGCTCACGCCTGTAATCCCAGCACTTTGTGGGGCAGAGGAAGGCAGATCATGAGGTCAGGAGTTCGAGACCAGCCTGGCCAATATGGTGAAACCCTATCTCTACTAAAAATATAAAAAATAAGCCCAGTGTGGTGGCGGGCGCCTGTAGTCCCAGCTACTCAGGAGACTGAGGCAGGAGAATCGCTTGAACCCCGGAGACGGAGCTTGCAGTGAGCCGAGATCGCACCACTGCACTCCAGCCTGGGCAACAGAATGAGACTCCATCTCAAAAAAAAAAAAAAAAAATCATAATAGATCCTAAGCTGCATGAGAGCAGAGATTCTGAATGCTTTGTTTACTACTGCAACCCAGTATCTAGAACAGTTTCTGATACATCACTGTGGCCTGATAAACACTCATTAGTGAAAGGATGAATGTTACCTTTCCAGGCAGGGCATATGTGAATCTCTCTACCCAGCATCTGGCCCATGGTAGGGACCCATCAGATTTAGCACCGGGCAGCGAATCCTTTTCTTCTCTATGCACCACAACCATGCCCAAGGCTCCCTGGGCCACGAGCTTATCCCCAGAAGGACGGGTCATTTGCTGGCATGCAGCCAGAAGATATCCACCACGTCACTGCAAGTCACCACCAGACAGTGTGGGTGAGGCTGCAGAAGCTGGAAAGATGGAAAGGCGGTCATATTTAGCTCAGGGTAGGCTTTTTGTCTTAGTCTTGAGCCACAGATGCGGGAGGCCCTGTCCTTTGTTCCCCTCCCCTCCACTGGATGAAGTCCTTTCACGGGGTCTGTGGTTGGCTGTTCAGCTCCCAATGGTTCCCATGGCTCAGAGCCAACTGTGTCCACCACACCTCAGCCCCTCTTTTCCTGGAAGGTCAGCTCTCCCTGACTGCCCCCAGGTCGGAGGAACCTCCTAGATGGCCTTTTCTGGGTCCTCTTGCTCCTGTTCTGGTCTACCCTCTCCCCAGTTCTGAGACAGATGGTCATGTAAGTCTGACCTTGGAATTTTCAAAAGTCCCTCCCAAAGGCCAGTCCCTATCGGGGGTCCTCAGCAAATCCAGACTGCCCAGCCAGACTCATACCCCACAGGAGGTCAGGGAATCACCTTAACATTGATGCCTTTAGATACAGCCACAGAAGAGGTATTCTAAAGATGGGTAAAGTGTAAGGGACTAGGCGGGCGTGGTGGCTCACACCTGTAATCTCAGAACTTTGGAAGGCCGAGGCGGGTGGATCACTTGAGATCAGGAGTTTGAGACCAGCCTGGCCAACATGGTGAAACCCCACCTCTACTAAAAACACAAATATTAGCCAGATGTGGCAGCACACACCTGTAGTCCCAGCTACTCAGGAGGCTGAGGCATGATAATCGCTTGAACCAAGGAGGCAGAGGTTGCAGTGAGTGGAGATCGTGCCACTGCACTCAGCCTGGGCGACAGGGTAAGACCCTGTCTCAAAAATCAAAAATAATAAATAAATAAATAAATAAATAGTCATTATTTAAAAAATACCAGTGAGTAATATAATGAAAGCCTTTAAAATGTGGTTTAAGGGAGCCCAGGAACTCTAACCTGGCCTGGTCACTTAGTACAAACATATGATTTCAAAAGGACCTGAAAAGCTTGTACAAAGAAGCTTGATTCGGCATGCAAATTTATTGTATATTTGACTCCCAAGGATCAACTGATTGAGTGTTCAAACACAGTCACTGAACACACCCTGTGTAGCCAGCACCATGCTGACTGGAGAGGAGCAGGAGAGAAAGATCCTGGGCCAAGTCCCAGAGCTCCAAGTGCTTCCTATTTACATGGCAGGAAAGACCAACACGCAAGAAACAGAGGCCAGTGAAGGCAGGTTTAGAATGGACTGTGACAGTGACAGTGGGAAGTGGAGAGAACAGGTGCAGTCAGGAAGACTTCCTGGAGGAAGAGGTAAGACCTGGGCTAGACCAGGAAGAAAAGTGAAATGTAAGAAGCAGAGGAGAACATTTCAGTGGAGAGCACAGGGCCCAGCACACAGTGGGTGCTCTGTTGGATTCTGAGGAAGGGAGGGGAGAGGTGTGGAGAAAAATCCCTGTGGTCAGGGGATGGTGCCTGGCTTTCCAGGATCGTCATTACTTTAATCTGTTTTCTTTTTGATGGCTTTTATGATTTTTTCTTTCTCCTTGATGTTCTGCAGTTCCATTATGGGCTGTTCAGGTGTGAATTCACTTTCATTCACCCAGCCTAGGACTCAGCACAGTTTTTCAACCCAGAATTCAGGTCTTTCTCCAAACCTAGAAAAATCCTCAGTCATTATTTCTTTGAATGTAACCTCTCCTCCTTGAGTTTTTAAAATTTATTCTGTAGATTTTGTTTTTGCTTCTTTCATATTTTCCATGTCTTTACCTGCTGGTGCTTCATTCTGGGTAATTTTCTCAGATATCTCTTCCAAATCACTAAATCTCACTAAATCTTTTTTATTATTATTATTATACTTTAAGTTCTAGGGTACATGTGCACAACCTGCAGGTTTGTTACATATGTATACATGTGCCATGTTGGTGTGCTGCACCCATTAACTTGTCATTTACATTAAGTGTATCTCCTAATGCTATCCCTCCCCACTCCCCCTACCCCACGACAGGCCCCGGTGTGTGATGTTCCTCTTCCTGTGTCCAAGTGTTCTCATTGTTCAATTCCCACCTATGAGTGAGAACATGCAGTGTTTGGTTTTTTGCCCTTGTGATAGTTTGCTGAGAATGATGGTTTCCAGCTTTATCCATGTCCCTACAAAGGACATGAACTCATCCTTTTTTATGGCTGCATAGTATTCCATGGTGTATATGTGCCACATTTTCTTAATCCAGTCTATCATTGATGGACATTTGGGTTGGTTCCAAGTCTTTGCTATTGTGAATAGTGCCACAATAAACATACGTGTGCATGATGGGACGTATCTCAAAATAATAAGAGCTATTTATGACAAACCCACAGCCAGTATCACACTGAATGGGCAAAAACTGGAAGCATTCCCTTTAAATCTCACTAAATCTAAAGTCATCTCTATTTAATATTTTATATGTATATTTGAGATGGAGTCTCACTCTGTCACCCAGGCTGGAGTGCAGTGGCACAATCTTGGCTCACTGCAACCTCCGCCTCCTGGGTTCAAGCGATTCTCCTGCCTCAGCCTCCCAAGTAGCTGGGATTACAGGCACCCGCCACCAGGCCCAGCTAATTTTTTTATATATTTAGTAGAGACAGGGTTTCACCATGTTGGCCAGGCTGGTTTTAAACTCCTGACCTCAAGTGATCCACCTGCCTTGGCCTCCAAAAGTGCTAGGATTGCAGGCATGAGCCACTGTGCCCGGCCTACATCAATATTTTTTATTTCTACAACTTCTACCTTAAAAAATAATAATTTTCTTTTCTTATTTGATAGATTGTATTCCTTTATCTCATTAAGCACTTTAAGTGTATTTATTTCTAACAGTTTTACATACATTAATTTATTTAATTCTAACAGCAACTCTATGAAACAGGTGCTGTTTATCACCCCAATTTTGCAAAGCAGAAAATGAGGCAAAATGTGATTATGTGACTATTCCAAGGTCACACAATTAGTGATTTGTTGATTGAGATTTAAAAGCAGAAACAAAGGCATTTGAGCTGTTATGGGCTAAATTGTGTAATCTCAAAATTCATACGTTGAAATCTTCACCCCCAGTACTTCAGAATGTGACTATATTTGAAGATAGAGCCTTATTTATTTATTTATTTATTTAGAGATGGAGTCTCACTCTGTTGCATAGGCTGGAGTGCAATGATGCAATCTTGGCTCACTGCAACCTCCACCTCCCAGTTTCAAGCAATTGCCCCAGCCTCAGCCTCCTGAGTAGCTGGGATTACAGATGTGTGCCACCACATCCAGCTAATTTTGTATTTTTAGTAGAGACGGGGTTTCATCATGTTGGTAAGGCTGGTCTCGAACTCCTGACCTCAGGTGATCCACCTGCCTCAGCCTCCCAAAGTTCTGGGATTACAAGCGTGAGGCACTGTGCCTGGCCAATGGGGCCTTTAAAGAGGTAATTAAAGTAAAATGTGGTCATACGGGTGGGCCCTAATCCAATAAGATTGGTGTCCTTATAAGAAGAGAAAATTAGGACACAAAAGCGTGTGCACACACAGAGGAAAGACAGAACACAGAGAGAAAGCCACCACGTGCAAGCCAAGGAGAGAGGTCTCTGAAAAACAAATCTGCTGATACCTTGATCTTGAACTTTCAGCCTCCAGAACTGTAAGAAGTTTCTGTTGCTTAAGACTCCCAGTCTGTGGTAATTAGTTATAGCAGCCCTAGCAAACTAATACACTTACCTTCTTCACACACAAACATTTCTAACCTTTTCCTCCATCCAAGGTCAAGTACTTATGAATGCCAAGTTTGCTAAAACTTGTTATCATCTGACTGAGGCCAGGAGAGTCTTAATGGTTGTACTTTGAAATCCCAAGAAGGTAATTATGTCACACACCCACTTCTGAAATGAAACGCATACTTAGTTTTTAAGGTCTTTTTAAATATTGTTCTATTGTTTCTATTTTCTCATGTGTCAACTCTCCCATTTTTGTGGGATGTATTTCTTTATGTTGGACTTTCTCAAATGTTTTACAATTTGGTATTATCATGTTTAATAAATTATATTCTTCATATTGGTCTTCCTTAAGACCAATATGTTTTATAATTTCTGCCTATGAGCTCATCTTCAATGGGAATTATCCTTTCAGTGTGGTGGTGGAATTGTTCCTACCAGTGACCTAGATTGTGGCGACCTCCCCCTAGTTGCCTCTGCATAAGTCTTAAGGGGTCACAAATTCTCAAATTTTTTTCTCCATTTCCATCTTGGGATTTTTGTACATCATGAGTACATGTGTGGATCCAGCTTGTTCTCCACATTCTTGTGGGTAATTCTATTTCTATCCATGGCCTGGGACATTTTTTTACTTCTGATCTATAATCAACCTCGTCAAGCTTCCTGCTGTGTTCAAGTTCAGAGGCTTTGATTCTTGTTTCCCCATAACCATTAATTTATAACAAACACCATAAGGAATGTATGCTACAGTCCCTAAAGTACTCAGCTTACCGAGGTAAATATAGAATTATCTCTTCATTTGTGGCACCTGAACATGTACTTTTCTTGTTTTGAATTGAATTACATATTTACATTACAAAAAATATATATGCAGCATTTCTGTATGTTCCAGAAAATTTATGGGATCTCGGGAAAGCTTTAACCCCTTTAGATCTGGCTTCCTCATCCTAAGACTGTAGGGAAGATTAAACATGTTAATCCTTGTAAAGCACTTAGAACAGTGCCTGGTTCACAAGTACTCAGTAGGTGTTTTGATAAGTATTCCTGCTTCTGTTCAGTTCTTTTTCTTAACCAGGCCTGGTCCATCATCTTTATATATTTAAATTTTACTTTTCAAATAACCAAAACAATAACAATTAAAACATTTAGATTCTTCTCCTCTTCCCACCCCTTAAAGCAAACTTAACATGAGAAGGTATTTTATCATCTTAAAAAAAAAGTCTTATAATGAATTAAACTCATTATATTAATTATTCAATTCCTACAAATGCAAAATTATGAAAATTCCTTTGAAACAATTGGCTTATGACTACTAAGCTCATTAATGATCTATCAAAATTATCACTCAGAAAAGCATCACAAAAGCTTCGGGTCAAGGACACCCCAGGCCCTGAAAGGGATTTCTCAGTACCATCCCAGAATATTTCTATAGCACAACAGCCGACAGCCATTAAAAACAGTGAAGAACTTCAAAGTGTGCTAAATTGGAAAACCACCAAAACAGTAATACAGAACAGAACATACATGTTGAGATCCTGCCTAAGTAAAACAAAGGATATAGGTGTGTGTGTGTGTGTGTGTGTGTGTGTGTGTGTGTGTATGCACACAGACATGCAAGGGAGAGAGAGAGAGAGGGAGAGAGAGGCAGGGAGGTAGAGATTATGTATATATAGAACATTTCTGGAAGAACACTCATAAAACTGTTAACGTAGGTTATATAAAATGTTTTTGAGCAAGAAAGTGACAAGATCAGATCTGTGTCAGCAGATTCACATGGCTACTGAGTGGGATGGGGTGCTGAGGGCTGGAAGCAATTGGGAGAGACTGAAGCCAAGAGACCCATTTAAAGGACATTGCAATTGTCAGGTAGGAGTTGATGGGGGCCTGTTCTGAGGCAGTGAGATAGAGCAAAGGACAAAAAAGGAAATTAGATTCACTTTAGAAAGCCACCCAATTGCAGCCCCAGGGCCTAGCACAGTACCTACTGGTACTAGGTGCTCAATAGGAAAGAAATGGTCTCCTGCGTGAAAGACTTATAATTTTAATTTTCAAAGTCATCCCACTGGGCACCTGAACATGACAACCCCACTGGCCCCTTCACCCTCTTCTCACGAGTTCATTCCCTCAGCCCTGGGCCTGGGGAGCTGGGTTGTGGGGACAGGTCCACAGGCAGGTGAGTCCAGGGCTCAGGCCTCTACCTGTGCCCCTTGCTGGCCCTGCCCACCCAGGAGGTCCCTGCTGCATCCCCATGGTCCCACTCAGATCTATTCCTACACGCACACACACACACACACACACACACACACACACACACACACCCGCTACAAACACTTACATTTAGGAATTGCTTAAAATATATATTTTTAATGAGTGAAACAATGGAAGAGAGTGAGCAGAAGGATGAGGGTCTCATAAGTGTGGCATCTGATGATAGGTTGCAGGAAACAGCCAAAATTCCCAGAAGACAGAGCACTCAGCGGACACCTCTTCAACCTCGGCATGCAGGAAGGCTCTGTTGGAAGGCTTTGGTGGCAAGGGACAGAGAGGGGAAAGAGGGAGTTAATGCACTTATTTTAATATCTCTTGAGCCTAATGCGGGATCTGGTTTATAGTGCCCTGCTCAAATGTTTGTTGAATGAATGAAGGAAAGGTTGGATAAATGGGTGGATGGCTGGGTGGATGGCTGGATGGATATATGGGTAAATGGATGAGTGGATGGATGGATGGTGGATGGATAGATGGATGGGTGGATGGGTGGATGGATGGCTGGATGGATATATGGGTAAGTGGATGAGTGGATGGATGGATGGTGGATGGATAGATGGATGGGTGGATGGGTGGATGGATGGGTGGATGACTGGATGGGTGGATGGGTGGATGGATGAATGGGTGGGTGGATGGGTGGATGAGTAGATGGATGGGTAGATGGATGTGTGGATAAGTGGGTGGATGTGTGGATGAGTGGGTGGATGAATGGATGAGTAGGTGGGTGGGTGGATTGGTGGGTGGATGGGTGGGTGGATGGATGGATAGATGGTGGGTGGATGGATGGATGGGTGAAGGGATGGATGGTGGATGGATGGATGGTGGATGGATGGGTGGATAGATGGATGGGTGGATGGGTGGATAGATGGATGGGTGGATGGGTGGATAGATGGATGGGTGGATGGATGAATGGGTGGGTGGATGGGTAGTTGAGTAGATGGATGGGTAGATGAATGGGTGGATGAGTGGGTGGATGAATGGATGAGTAGATGGTTGGGTAGATGAATGGGTGGATGAGTGGGTGGATGAATGGATGAGTAGATGGTTGGGTGGATGGATGGATGGATGGATGGATGGATGGATGGATGGATGGATGGTTGGATGGATAGATGGTGGGTGGATGGATGGATGGAAGGGTGGGTGGATGGATGGGTGGGTGGATGGAAGTGTGGATGGGTGGATGGATGGGTGGATGGGTGGATAATGGATGGATGGATGGGTGGATGGATGGGTGGATGGGTGGATGATGGATGGATGGGTGGATGGATGGTGGATGGATGGATGGACGGATGGATGGGTGGATGGGTGGATGGATGGGTGGATGGGTGGATGGATGGGTGAGAGAATAGATGAGAGACTACTTCAATCTGGCTTTCAGGGACAAAACTGAAACCCATGTTTTGTGGCAATCAGATGGCTGTGGGAACTTTCAAAGATGGCCCTCAGGGACCCCCACCCCTGGTATTGTGCCCTGTGTAATCCCCTACCTTTGAGTGTAGGCTGTGCCTGATGACTTCCTTCTAACGAGTAGAATATGCCAGAAGTGATGGAATATCACATCCTTGAGTATATTACAAAAGACTGACCTACCTCTTCCCAGACTCTCTCCATAGCCCTCTCTGATGCAACGAGCTGCCAGGGCGGAGAGGCCCACATGGCAAAGGACTGATAGTGGCCACAGCTGACAGCTGAGAGGGGCTGAGGCCTTCATCCTACAGCCCTAAGAAACTGAATCCTGCCAACACCAGCAGCTTGGAAGTGGATCCCCCCTAGTGGAGCCATGAGATGAGACCTCAGCCCCTCCAACACTTGGATGGCAACTTATGAGAAACCCTGAGCAGAGAACCCAGCCAAGCAGTGCCCAGACTTCTAGCCACAGAAACTGAGATGACAAATGAGTGTTATTTCAAGCCACACACTTTGAGTTAATTTGTTTCCAGAACAGATAGCTAAAACAAACGCTGATTTGAGTTTTATATAAAGATGGATGATGTAGCAATTAAACTTGGCAAATGATGGTAGTGGTTTTGATACTAGTTGGCTTGGGTTTGAATCCTGGATCCCCAACTTACTAGCTGTGGGGCTTTGAGCAAGATGATCAATTTCTTGAGCCTCTGTTTCTGCATCTTTAAAATGGGCATGATTCTCTGGTCATAGTGACAACACAAGGATTACATAGATTATGTAATGTACTTAGCCCAGTGCCTGTCATGTAGTAAGCACTGGATTAAAGGAAGCTATTAGAGGGAATAATAATAATAATAATAATAATAATAATAATAATAATAATGGAGCAAGATGCCTTACAAAGCAGTGAGTGTTCCATGCCTGGAAGTGATTGAGTTAAGGCCAGATGGCCATGGCAGGAAGTGACTAGAACCCTGGAGGACCCCAAAGCCTCTCCCAAATCTCAGATTTGAGGGCCGTGCAGCTGGCTTGGCCAATGCTTGGGGTTGGTGGGCCAGCTGAGCCACGGGCCCCTCTTGGTGTGACCATCAGCATTATCTTGCACTGGGCGGGCGGCGGGTATTCCAGCCATGCCCAGCCTTCCCCTCAGATAGCCCTTCCCTCCTGCACCACTTTTGTGTCAGGTATGTGGCTGCCACCCTGGCTCAACCCATGGGGCCCAGGAAGGTAAACACCCAGCCGGGAAGTGATCGTTATGGGCTCGTGGCCAGCTATGGGCCAAGGCAGGTCTAAAGGTCGGGAATGCTTACCAGTGAAGCTTTTCCAGGACAGGACGAAGTTTTTGGCTGTGGGCTCTCTGGGACAGAGTGGAGCGCCTGTGGATTTAGCCGGGGACACACCATCCTGCTCGCAGGTGCCTGGACAGGACAGGGGACGAGGGAGGAACACTCTCTGAGGAAGCCCAACTCCTATGAGCTCCTCTCTGGCAGGTGAGAGAATGGTTTTGGTATTTTTTAAAAAAATAAAATGAGATAAAACAAGAGAAGGAACAGAGGCTACCGCTAGGACAGGTAGGAAAGGAGATTACCACCCATCCATTCACTGAGGAGGAGCCCCCAAGAGAAACAGCAGCCCTGGATTCCACCCGAGGGATCCTGTCTGGTCTCGGCTTCAGCACTGCCCCTCCTGGCACTCAGTTTCACCATCTGGGAATCAGGATAAGGACTCCTTCCAGGCGCTCTTCCATTATGGCTGTGGGGTAAGTGAGATCAAAAGCAGGAATGGCTGCATAATTGCAGGGCCCTGTGCAATATAAAAATGCAGGGCCCCTTGTTAAAATAGTAAGGCTTTCAAAAGGACAACAACACAGCATTAAAGCAAGCCGGGGCACCTTCTAAGAACAGGGCCCTGTGACTGCCCAGGCCCCACACCCACGACGCCAGTCCTGATAATGAGCGTATATGTAAACGGAAGTGCCCTGATTCCTGTGTGCCATGGCACAAATCTCAGGGTCAGGAAGTGCACTTGGGAAACAGAAGTCATAGTCGTGAAGTGACAGCCCACTGCGCTTTAGCTCCCCCAGCACTGCCCCCTCCGCTCAGGGGCCCCTTTCAGAAAGACAGAAGGCCCTACCCCTCAGAACCTTCCTGATTTTTGCATCTGGCTGGCCTCAAGCCACAGCACGGTGTGACTGAAATGTGTAGGGACACAGTTTTCTTGGATGTGAAAGTGGTAGGTTCTTATTGTCTATCTTGATTTAAAATTTGGGACAGTCACACAGTCTCTGGCTGTGTAGAGGTGGGACTTGTGTTTCCTGGGCTCGTGACAGCTCTGCTATGTTCCATTGACTATCAGTGTATTTCTGCTTTTTGGGAAAATCCTTAATGCAATAAGGCCACTGGTGGGAATGTTCCAGCTTGGACACTTGCCATGTGTCTTTGTCCTCCCTGCCCCTTCTCTCTTTCTCTCTCTCTCTCTCTCTTTTTCCATTTAGGCTTCCCCTTTGCCCATGTCTCAGGCTGCCCCTTGGCACTGCTTAGCTCTGAGGAAGTAGAAGCCAGGGTCCCCTTGGGGGTCAAGCTTTCTGGTCCATGAAGGGAGACCACAGACCACCTCCCTCCACCGCACTCTCCTCCCACATCCCTTTCTGGAGCCCAAATTGTCATGGGAACCCCTCCCAGGGAGGGGATCCCCACAGGAAAGCCAGGGGTTGATCCAATGACAGTGTGAGTAACATTCCACAGCTTTCTGCCCCAGTGGGGCTGGGGACACAGATGAGGCTAGACATGGGGGAAGATGAATTGCTTTAAGAAGAGCTGATGCATGCCTGTAGTCTCAGCCACTCAGGAGGCAGAGGCAGGAGGGCTGCTTGAGCCCAGAAGTCATGCGGTGGGCTATGATCATATCACTGCATTCCAACCTGGGCAACCTGGCAAGACTCTGTCTCTGTTCCTTTTTTTTTTTTTTTTTCATTGCTTTAAGAACTTCCCTTGGCCTGTGGGAGACCGGAAGCTTGTACCAGTAACAAAATAGCCCAGATGTTGTGGGGCCACCCAGAGCCTCTCAGAGGAGACCAAACCTAACCACCCAAGCCTGCTGGCTCTACCAGGGGCGCAGGAGCTGCTGTTTGTCCCAAGAAGCTGGTGAGCCACCAGCACCAAGTCGGACATCCCGTCTCCCAAGATGACGTCCCTTCCCCATCTACATGGGCCCATTGCTTCCCGAGTAAGGAGTCAGCTCTGATGCTCTGAAGTCACCCCCCAGCACAACCCCAATGGCAAAAATTCCTTTACTCCTTCATAGATAATTGCTGTGCACAGTGTATGTGTGAGGCTTTGAAGTGGGGCTGGGGACACAGATGGGACAATGGTGGCCCTCAGGCTAGTGGAGATGAAGCGATGCTGTGTCCCACACCCCCGAGGCCAGGCCAGAAACCCCGCTTGGTGAAAAGAGCACACCAGCCCTCTCACCCCAACAACGGTGATAGGATCCTGAGGCTGAGAGGCACCGTGGCCCAGCGGAGCAGGGGGTTCCATCTCTGAGCCTGGATGGGCTGCCTCTTTTCAGACCCCCCTTCTCCCCGCACCTAAGCCCCCTCTGCTACCATGATGGTGTCTTCAGGAGGCTGCTGGGCCTCAGGAAAAATTCCTTCCCTTGGCCTGGGACCACCTCTCCCCACCTTGGGAGAGGTCAGACCAGGGGGTGGAATTCTGCCTCCAGACTGGAGGACCCACCCCAGAAGGCTGAGGACTTCAGCCTTACTCCTCCTCCCTTTGTTTGGCAGCCATCCTGGAGGCCAGGGCCGTGGGAGACCACATGGGGTCTGAGCACTGAGGAGGGGCCATTTGCTGGAGCACCCTCTGTGGGCTGCTTTTGGGAAACTAGCTCAGGTGGTTGATTAAGGACCTGGGAGCCTGGGTGAGGCCATCTCACAATCTTCCTGCCTCAACTCACTTTGCCTGTGGACAAGGAAAAAAAAAAATCACACGTTCAAATGAGGAGGATGGGCACCATCAAAGGGATGGATGATCAGCAAGGCCTGCATGGAGGAGGTGGCCTCTGAGCTGGCCATCATTCAACAATCTTCCATCACTTATTAATGATTTTCCAGGAGGAGGAGAAGAACTGGGGGTGTGGTTTGATGTATTATAAAGCAAGCATTACTACCTTGAAAATAAGGTAGTAATTCTTTTCACACTCACTCAGAATGAATGCTCCAGGTTCTCTAAATAGCATACGTTCACAGATAGCACATTCCAGGTGAAGGGACAGCAGGGTTTTAGCAAAAGGGAGGGAGCCCTGCAGTAAGGGTTGGGCCAGTGGAGGCAGAGACAGGGGAGGCATGAGGTCTGTTTAAAAGATGCCAGCTGGGCGTGCTGGCTCACACCTGTAATCCCAGCACTTTGGGAGGCTGAGGCGCATGGATTACCAGAGGTCAGAAGTTCAAGACCAGTCTGGTCAACATAGTGAAACCCCATCTCTACTAAAAATACAAAAATTGGCATGGTGGTGGACCCCTGTAATCGCAGCTACTCAGGAGGCTGAGGCAGGAGAATGGCTTGAACCCAGGAGGCAGAGGTTGCAGTGAGCCAAGTTCACGCCATTGCACTACAGGCAAGGTGACAAGAGGAAGACTCCAATTCAAAAAAAGAGAGACAGGACAGGTGGAGTGGAGGGAAGGTGGAGGGGATGGCCCAACCCAAGATGCCAGGACCCCAGAGGTCCACAGAGATGAGAGTGGGGGTCTGGATGGCCAGCGTGTCCCATGGGAAATTCATCCCTCACTTCTGCACCCTGCACCTGGTGGCTGTGCCTCAGTTGCCTTCACTTTGGGCTGGAGCTTCATGCACCAGCACCATGTCTCCCAAAGCTAGAAGCTCTGACCTCCAATCATCCAGGAGTTTTACTTTTTTTTTTTTTCTGTAGAGATGGGTTCTCACCATCTTGCCCAGGCTCATCCCAAACTCTTACACTCCAGCAATCCTCCCACCTTGGCCTCCCAAAGTGCTGGGATTAGAAGAGTGAGCCACTGCACCTGGCCCCAAGTTGCTGATGAGTTTAAAAATGGGTATATGAACCGGGTGCAGTGGGGTGTCCTGTAGTCCCAGCTACTCTGGAGGCTGAGGTGGGAGGATCGCAAATTCAGATCCAGCCTGGGCAAAATAGCAAGACCCCCATCTCTAAAAATAAATAGATCAATAAAAAGGAGTTTTGGGCAGCAACATGGATAGAAGTGGAGGCCATTATGTCAAATGAGATAAACCAAGCATAGAAAGACATATATCTCGTGTTCTCACTCATATGTGGGAGCTAAAACTGTGAAGTGGGTCTCATGATGACAGACAGTAGACTGCTGGTTACTGGAGGCCAGGAAGTGGAGCAGGGACGCAGGGATGAAGGAGTGAAAAAGAATAAAGATACTTATTGTCACTGAACTGCACACTTAAAAATTATGAAGATGGGCCGGGTGTGGTGGCTCACACCTGTAATCTCAGCATTTTTGGAGGCCAAGGTGGGCAGATCACTTGAGGCCAGGAGTTCAAGACCAGCCTGGCCAACATGGCAAAACCCTGTCTCTACTAAATATACAAAAATTAACTGGGCGTAGTGGCACCTGTAATCCCAGCTACTCGGGAGGCTGAGGCAGGAGAATCACTTGAACCAGGGAGGTGGAGGTTGCAGTGAGCCAAGATCAAACCACTGCACTAAGCCTGGGCCACAGAGCAAGACTCCGTCTCAAAAAAGAAAAAAAAAAAAAGATGCAGATGGTAAAGTTTTTTAAAAAAAGGAAAAAGAAATATCTATTGAAAAACTGAAAAGAAACAGAGGTGCCAATTCACTATTAGTTAATGAGTATGTTTCCTACCAGAGACAAATCCTTCAAAATATAGGCTCTGCAGAAGGGCAAGCAACTTGGACAGTGCCCTTCAAGGGATGAGAGAAGCTTGGGAACCACAGAGGCAGTGACAGGGGATATGGAAGGCAAGCTGGGCCTAAGGCCCTTGACCCCCAGGTCCCGCCCCAAAGTGGCCAGGGTCAGTCCCAAGGTGCTGACTTTTGGAGTGTTGCTCTATCTTATGTACAAGTTAGTGCAACCTGCTTGTATCAGTCTTTCAGGCTACATGACAGTGAACTCCATGAAGGCCAAATCCCTGGAGAGTACCTCATGCAGCCCATCAACAAGCAATTGCTGGATGCAATTGCTCTCTGGGCCCAAAGTGAAAAGATGGCAAAACTGCCTGCTCCTCTCCCAAGCTCTCCACCATCATTTCAGACCCCCACAACTGCCTCCATACCCTTTACCGCAATCCACATAAGCAGATCAAGAAAACTCAATTTCCTACTCTCAGCTGATACACTCAGTGTTGCTGAGCGAAAATAGATTCCTATTAAATCCCACCAATGGGGTGAAAAATTTCCAAGTATTTGAAGTTTTTAGAACCCTCACATATGGGTTTTATTTTTCAGGATGCTCCCAAGTCATAAATCCACTCATGAGAGTGAGGACAAAGATCAAGACAGTTTTGCTCTCATCTGAGTGAGAAAAACATTCCTTGGTGGATTCTTGAGCGTTGGAGGAAAGCCTTCCTTTCTGCCAAGTTCCTTTTTAGGAAATTAGCTTTGGACTTTAAAATGATTTTAAAGTTGTTTCTGGATTGAAAAGGGCATCTGGCGCCTGGACAACTTTTCCTGGTGCCTGAGATATCAGAGCAGTCACTTGCAACTTTCTACAGATTTCTGGCCTCTTTGGAAGCATTCCTAAATCAAGAGCAAAGTCATTCGCCATTGGCCACCTTGGGTTCCAAGTCAAGGGTAAGAAATGGAGCTCAGGGTCATAATGAAGTCGTTTGGATGCTCAATCTAAAATCAACAGGCTCATCTAGGCTGTGTTTGGGAAAACATTATTATAGCTAATTTGTGTATTCATTGGAGAAATATCACAGAAAATGCCAAAATTAAGTAGCATGCATAGACAGCCAGCATCTTCTCATGTGAGCAGTGCTAGGGTCCTGCCAGGTTAAAAGCCCCCGGTGTGCATCCTCCTCCCTTTCTCAGCCTTCACTAGGCACCAGTTTGCGCTGCTCTTCTCTGTGAGTTGTCCCCACTGGAGACCCACGATCAGCCTGAGCAGGGCTCAGACACAGAGCTACCTGGCGGCTACCTGGCGGGCCAAAGGGTTCTTCCTAGAAACCTAGGCTGGGCCATTATCTACCTTTGTTCCCCCTCCAAATACTCTGTGATCGTTAAAGCTGTTTTCTTGAGAAACGCTATTTGCTTTAAAAGTTAGAATTGTATTTATTTATTTATTTATTTGAGACAGGGTCTTGCTCTGTTGCTCAGGCTGGAGTGCAGTGGTGGGATCATGGCTCATTGCACCCTTGACCTCTCAGGCTCAAGCGATCCTCCCATCTCAGCCTCCCAAGTAGCTGAGACCACAGATGTGTGCCATCACATCTGGCTAATTTTTGTATTTTTTGTAGAAATGGGGTTTCTCCATGTTGACCAGGCTGGTCTCGAACTCCTGGACTCAAGTGATCAGCCCGCCTCAGGCCCCAAAGGGCTGGGATTGTATACAAGCATGACCTACCATGCCTGGCCCAACATGTTTTAAATTAAAGGTGGTGAGAAACAGTTTAGAAATCATGTTTTTAAGCACTTTGCTGGAGCTGGGCTGCCTGGGTTTGAATCCCGCCTCCACCACCTGCTAGCTGTGTGACCTCGGATGAGTCGGTTAACCTCTCTGACCCACCATGCTCCATGTCCTCCTCTCTAAAAGTGAAAGAAATAGGACAAGTACAGTAAAGATCATACAGGATCGCCATGAGTGTTCAATGAGATGGTGCACAGAAAGCTCTTGGCCCTTGCAAAATTTTAGCTATTATTTTCCTGATATGCCATGAGAAAGAAAAAGGATCACTTTTTCCAATACAACAGTTAACTTTCAGCAGCATTTATTAGTGAATTTATGAGTGCACATAGTTAGAGGATTGAGCACTAAACAGGAATGTGTACACAAGAACCCTCAAATATCAAGAGAATCAGCTGTCTGGGAAGATTTCACCAAACCAGCTCCTCATACTCTGTGCTTGGCTAAGTTGGAGGTGCCCCCTTCTTTTGATGATGCCATTCAAGCTTACCTGTCATCAGCCCAGAAGCCTCTACAACCCCCAAATCTCCCTTGAGGCACCTGCACATTAGACCCAATGATGACTTCCCTCCAGTGAATAATATTGCTTGAGAAGTGAAGGCATTTTTCCCAGCAAAACCCTGATGCTCCAATTTTTTCAAAAAATGGCTTGGTAAATGCTGGTGTGGAAAGAGTTTTGGGGAACTCAATAATGGTGAACCCAATAGAGCTAGAGCTCCATCACTAAGAAGAGTGTGTTAGCTTTCAATTGCTGCTGTCAAAAATTACCACAAACTGTGGCTTAAAACAATGCAGGCCAGGCGCAGTGGCTCACGCCTGTAATCCCAGATTTTGGGAGGCCAAGGTGGGCGGATCACTTGAGGTCAAGAGTTCGAGACCAGCTTGACAAACACTACAAAACCCCGTCTCTACAAAAAATACAAAAATTAGCCAGATGTGGTGGCAGGTGCCTGTAATTCCAGCTACTTGGGAGGCTGAGGCAGGAGAATCGCTTGAACCCAGGAGGCAGAGGTTGCGGTGGGCTGAGATCATGCCACTGAACTCCAGCCTGGGTGGCAGAGCAAGACTCTGTCTCAAAAAACCAAAACAAAACAAATCAAAAAACAATGCAAATCTTACAATTCTAGAAGACAAGAAGCCCAACATGGCTCTCACTGGGCTAAATCCATGCTGCTGGCAGGACTGTTTCCTTCTGATGGCTCTGGGAGAGGATGTTTCCTGCCTTTTCCAGCCTCCAGAGGCTGCCCGAACTACTTTGCTTGTGGTCTCTTCCTCCATCCTCAAATCCAGCAGCATAGCATCTTCAAACCTCTCTCTGACTCTTCTGCCTTCCTCTTATAAGGAGCCTTGTGAATATACTGCATCCACCTGAGTAATCTGGGATAATCTCCCCATCTCAAGATGCTGAACTTTTTGCCACAGAAGGTGGCCTTGTAAGCACATGGGCATCCACGCTGGAAGGAGTGGTCCTGTGGGTCAGGAAAGCCTCACCTTCCCAGCTGAGAATCTGGGCAGAAGTGTTTGGTAGGGTGGCTGCTTCCTGCTGGTGCTCAGGGCCTGTGTTTTGGGGGTGTAGAGACAGCCCCAAGGGCACTGCTCCCCCACTGCACTCTCCATGTGGGAACACATCTGCGGAGCGACCTGCCAGCTCCAGCCCTCCTGATTGTAACCATGGGGCACTCAGAGCCCCATAGCTGCTCAGACTGGGAACTTACCAGTCAGTATCCCAGAAATGGCACATTGGGGGCATCCATGTGTTGGTGCTGATCCATGCTAATGGTTGCCCGCAGAATCCATCGAGGACAACGAGACCCAATCTAGGTTGGAAGGGAAAGTGTGCTGTGATAGGTTAGCAATGTCTGTCCTGACGAAGGAGTAGAGAAAGGTGGTCCGTGTGTATCTGATCTGCCATTCACACTAGGAAGAAAGTCTTTTTTTTGTTTTTGGTTTAAATTTAGGGGGCACGAGTGCAGTTTTGTTACATGGATATATTGCACAGTGGCAAAGTCTGGGCTTTTGGTGTAACCATCACCCAAATTTTGTACATTCTATCCATTAAGCAATTTGCCTCAACCAAATGTCCACACAGCCCCGAAGAAAGGCCCCCAGCAGGATGAGGAAGGGAAATTGAGGCAAAGCCGAGCCTGATTCTCAGCGATGGGGGGTGAGGGGAGAGGGAGCAGGGGGAAGGGGAGGGAAGGTAGGGGCCAGTAAGGGCAGGTAAGGCATTTGGGCTGCTTCCTAAACGCCTTCAGGAGTGTTGTGAGCATGGGTGTGACGTGATGCACTATGTGTTTTTCCACAAAGGACCAGGTTTGGGTGTTTTCTGGGGTTCCCAGCAGTTACCTCATCTTTCTGCCCTGATGGCCTTGACAAGCACTCCACACTAGAATCTAGACAGGAAGAGGACCCTGGAGGGCAGAGCAGATTCCAGGGGGCTGAAGGGCAGCTCCTAGCCCAGATCAGCCTGGAGTCAAGGCCAAGAAGTGCTGCTGCTGCGACCAGGGGATGGGGAAGGGCTGGAGGAGGCCATGAGAGGGCTGCAGCTGTCCCAATGACATGCTCAGGTGTGTGGGTGCAGGTGGAAAGCAGGGAGCATGGGAGGGGTCATTGGGAAGCAGAGCAGAGGGAGGAGTCCCCAGAAGAAGGGAAGGGGTGGGAGAAGCCGGACAGGTGCCTGCAGGGCTGCAGGGTCAGGGGCTGCTGGAGAGTTCCTCTCTCCAGCCTCCAGCTTTCTCAAGGACCTTGGGTACAAGGACAGAGGGGCAGGTGAGGTGGGAGGCTGGGGGAACTAGAGAAGTTATGACATGATCGTGACAGAGATCAAGGGGGTGCTTGCTGCAGAAATGAAGTCGGCTTGCTGGCCTGTCTTGCAGAGTGACTGAATCACTGTGACATCTGTCTGCCCTCACCCAGGCAAGGAGGTCAGAAAACTCCAACATGCATTAAATGCTGGGTCTGTTGGTTAAAAAGGCAATTCAGGGGCCACACAACAAGGGCCAAGTTGGAGCAACAAGCTCGGGCCAGGGGCACAACCACCAATATCGGGTACATGTGATTTGAACACCTGCAGTGTGTGCCAAGTTCTGGAACATCCGAGATCCCCATGGCTGGGACTCAGGGCGCCTCCTGGATGGCCTCAGCTTGGCACTTTTATGTTGTATTGTGACCATCTGGCCTGCTGGGCTGGGCCTTTGCGTCTTTGTTTCTCCAGGGCCTGGCCCTGGGCAGGTGGATTTTCAGTGAACATTTGCTAGAAGAGAAAGGAGCCGATGGATGAACAGACGTCTCCATGGACTTCAGTGGGGGTGGTAGGGCAGGGTGGTATGTGTGTGGAGTGGCTTCTCAGGCCAGCCCAGGAACAAATGGGACTGAGTCCTCCAGGAAAGAGCCTTAGAGGATATTAGCAAGGAAGGGGAAGGTGCAGGCAGGGCTGCTCCAGGCGGATACCCGAGGGTCCATCTAAGCTGCGAACCATTGCCAGAACCTAGTCAGGAGACGTTTGAAGAGAAAAGCCAAGAGAGGGAGAAGGAGAATTCAGGAAGGATCAGAAATAGGCTGGGATCGACATCAGAGGGAAAGAGCACCCCGCGCTGCTGTGGGTCTGGGAGCAGAGGCCAGTGGCCTGGAGACTGGGCAGCCCCACCTGGGGCAGCCACCAGGTAGTCCCAGAGGCCTTCCTTGGGGTGGGGAGGCCCCAAACACTCGCCAGAGCTGTCTTGTATGCACCAGGAATGCTCCGCCACCTCCCGGGAGGGTTTGGGTTATTCACGATTAACTCACATGGATTCCTGGGCATGGGCAATCACGTGTCAGCTAAAAAGGACTGCAGGAAGCTTAGGGGGCCGAGACCCACTTGGGATTTGGTGAAAGGCGTGCACCCTCCCCCTAGACCTGAACAAACACACACTCTGCACCCCCTTTCCGGAGATGTGCAGACTCGCTGAGGTCAGTGTAAGAAGGGCCCAGGCTCCTCAGAGTCCCCCAGGGGGCTTGTCACAGTGACGCCTGGGCCCCACCCTCCAGGCCTCCAGGTAAACCCAAGAATCTGTATTTCATTAAAGTTCACAAATGCTGTTGCTGCCACTCACAGTGGACCAGGCTGACATGAAGAGAGGAGGGAAGGCTTAGCTCCGAACAGAAACATGCTCTGGTGTCTGGCTTACCGAGGTCATTTCAATCTAGTGTTTCCTGAACGTCAATCAATTGCTTTCTACATTTACAATATTCTGTGTGTGTGTGACAGGGTCTCTCTCTATTGCCCAAGCTGGAGTGCAGTGGTGTGATCATAACTCACTGCAACCTCCTGGGCTCCAGGAATTCTCCCACGTCAGCCTTCCAAGTAGCTGGGACTACAAGCGTGCACCACCACCCCTGGCTAATTTTTTATTTTTTGTAGAGACAGGGTCTTGCTATGTTGCCCAGGCTGGTCTCGAACTCCTGGCCTGAAGTGACCCTCCTGCCTCGGCCTCCCAAAGTGCTGGGATTACAGGCATGAGCCACCACGTCTGGCCACATTTACAATTTTTAACATGTCCATGTACTGCCTGTCTTATTAATATTTTCTACAGATTGCCTTTAAATTAAATTTCTTACTTCATTTATTTTCATCCTAAGCTTTAATATCTGTGAAATCACAGGTTTGATGTGCTAACTGGGTTTTTTTCTAGAATAAGTAAAATATTAAACTACTGATTTTTTGAACGTTTGACTCGTGTCCCTCCTAAAATTACCTCACAGTTACCGGTTCAACTCCCATGCAGCTGGAAGGAGGACAGGAGGATCTAGGGTTTACCCAAATCCTGTGACTATTTTAGATGAGAGACGAATGGAAAAAACCACAGCCCCCAATGTCCCTGCCATTACTGCTCACTTTCTTTTTTTTATTTTATTATTATTATTTTTTAAGACAGAGTCTCTCTCTGTTGCCCAGGCTGGAGTGCAATGGTTCAGGGCAACCTCCGTCTCCCGGGTTCAAGCAATTCTCCTGCCTCAGCCTCCCAAGTAGCTGCAATTACAGGTGCACGCCACCACAACTGGCTGATTTTTGTATTTTTAGTAGAGACAGGGTTTCACCATGTTGGCCAGGCTGGTCTCAAACTCCTGACCTCAGGTGATCCACCCGCCTCGGCCTCCCAAAGTAGCTGGGATTACAGGCGCACGCCACCACACCTGGCTAACTTTTGTATTTTTAATAGAGTTGGGGTTTCGCACGTTGGCCAGGCTACTGCTCGTTTTTAAAAACACATCTGCCTCTTGAAAAACTCACTCACCCAAGCCAGCATAGAAATCCTGGCCTTTCTGCCCCATGGCCCGCACGACCTCATCACCCTCTGCCTCCCTCTCGCCTTCCGTTCTCGCTGGCTATTCCCACTCTCCTCTCTGCCCCCCACCAAGGCCCCAGCACCCTCTACATGCCTGAATCCCTCCAGCCCACTCCTGGGCTCACATCCTCAGGAAACCTTCCTCAGGTCTGAGTCACCTCCCCCTACCTATGGGCCCGTGGGGAGACTCACAGGCTCACATGAGGATGTGCAAAGGTGCTTTCGATGCTTCTAGCACTGCACACTTGAGAGAAGCTTCCAGAAGGGAGAGGCTTATATTGGGGGTGATGAGAGATGTTAGGAGTTGCCTCCTGCCTGCTCTGCTGGGCCTGAGCGAGAGGTCTGTCTCATGCCTAGGAACCTGCCACGGTTGCACTCAATGCCACTCCAATCCTCATCTCCGGAAGGGGGAATCTGGTTGGTTCAGCCCAGCCTCTGGGTTGATTCCTCCTGGGCCAAAGCTCCACCCTGCTCTGGTCAGCTGTGGCCAGTGGGATGGGGGGAAGTGGCACTCAGGATGGGGGGAAGCCCCCTCCAGGGCTGAGGACAAGGCAGCTCCCAAGGAAGGGGCTCGGGAACAGGAAGGTGAGATGGCTGCCTCTGGTACAACACTGGTTCACGGCGCCGTTTCGAGAAATCGGGTTAAACTGAGACTTTCCCAACCAGAAATCCAAGTGTTCCCTTCATTCCTTCTCCAGTTGTTATGGGCTAAATGTTTGTCTCCCCCTAGAATTCAGCCGTTGATGCCCTAACCCCCCGTGTGATGATGGTATTGGAGATGGGACCTCTGGGAGGCATTTAGGTTTTTTCGTTTTTTTTTTTTTTTGAGACAGAGTCTCGCTCTGTCGCCCGAGCTGGAGTGCAGTGGCGCGATCTCGGCTCACTGCAAGCTCCGCCTCCCAGGTTCACGCCATTCTCCTGCCTCAGCCTCCTGAGTAGCTGGGACTACAGGCGCCCGCCACCACGCCCGGCTAATTTTTTGTATTTTTTTTACTAGAGACGGGGTTTCACCGTGTTAGCCAGGATGGTCTCAATCTCCTGACCTCGTGATCCACCCGCCTCGGCCTCCCAAAGTGCTGGGATTGGCATTACAGGCGTGAGCCACCTCGCCTGGCGGCATTTAGGTTTAAACCAGGCCATGAGGGTGGGGCCCCATGATGGAATCAGTACCCTCATAAAAAGAGGAAGAGGCTGGGCACGGTGGCTCACACCTGCAATCCCAGCACTTTGGGAGGCCAAAGCAGGAGGATCGCTTGAGCCCAGGAGTTCAAGATCAGCCTGGCAACATGGCAAAACCCCATCTCTACAAAAAATACAAAAAAATTAGCCAAGCATGGCAGTGTATGCCTATAGTCCCAGCTACTCAGGAGACTGAGGCGGGAAGATCGCTTGAGTCCGGGTGGTGGAGGTTGCAGTGAGCTATGATGGCACCACTGCCCTCCAGCGTGGGTGAAAGGCCCAGTGAGGACATAGAGAGAAGGCAGCCTCTGCAAGCCAGGATGGGGCCCTCACCAGAGCCTGGCCATGCTGGACCCCTGGTCTTGGACTTACAGTTCCAAAACTGTTGTAAAATACATTTCTGTTCTTTACACCACCTAGTCTACAGTATTTTTTATGGCAGTGTTAGCAGACTAAGACACCAATATTAGTGTTGTCATTTTTAGCCGACCTTTTTATAAATCTCCCTGACTATGGGTTAATAAAGGAGTTCACAGCAACCCCGACATGCAAATGACCCAATGACTAGAATTCAACAAAGACCCAGTGTGTCATGCCAGCCCCTGCACATAAACATCCCCACTGGGCTTTGGAAATGATGTTCACCACTTTTACGTAGCGTCTGCCTTGCGCTGGGCCTGGGAGCTCAGCAGCCCTGGCCCTCCTCCCTCTGGCTGGGGTGGCAGAACTTGCCCACAGGCGGGAGCTTGCCAAGGGCGGAGGCTCGCTGAGCCACTCATCCTAGAAGGTGCAATCCTTGTCCCCAGCTCTCTCCCTCTGGCTCATGCCCTGTCTGATGGCAGGGAAATGTGAGAGACACAGTCACACATGGCAGCAGCTGCTGGACTTCACTTGAATAAAATAGGCACCCCTCTCCTCTCCCACCTGGCTTAGAGTGGCTGCTGTCACCAGCATGTCCAGAGGGGGCAGGACTCAACAGTTCCACCCACCAGTCCCCGACACAATGCAGCATAGATGTCATTTACTGGGTCAGAGACAAGGGGAGGGCTCTGACAGACACTCGATTTTTTTTTTAACTCTATATCCAATTTTTATATTGAACATTATATACATTTTACAACCGTTGATTCTTTATACACCAAAAAGTAAAAACTATTTTAAAAAGCAGATCATTCACTTAGTTGCAAATAATAAAAAGGGCAGCCTGGGAGGATTGCCATGGTGAGTGTCTGCCATGCCCATCATCATAATCTCATTTAATCCCTGCAGTATCACTGCTCAGATGTGGGAAGCTTCCAGAAGGGAAAGAGGCCAGAGGAGAGGCAAGTTCAGGTTTGGAAAGATGGGGGATGTTAGAAAATTCCCTTCTGCCTGCTGTTCCGGGGTCCCAAACCAGGAGACCCTGTCTGTCTCATGACCAGAGGCCTAGCACAGTGTGGCACGCAGTTATGCTCATTGTATGAGCGGGCAGAACCCACCCACTGAGGACCCCATATTGAACCTCATACCATGAACTAGATATGCAACATCACCCTACAGATAGGACCAGAGGCTCCTGGGGTGTGTCGAGTGCCCAGGGAGACCTGGCCCGGAGTCCTGCTAGGACATGCTGGGAGGGAACACCTTCCTAGGGGTGTTAGACATCAGAAGAAGAGAGACGACTGGCCTGGCACCTACAGGGCTGCACAAGAAACAGGAGACACCCACCCATCCACCACCACAGCCACTGTGGGAAAGACACCTGCCACTGCTTTGAGCCCCTGCCCCCAAACTGCCCAGGGCCCCCTGTGTAGAAGGCTTCACCCAGCATGGAGGGAGAGCTTTACTGAGCGGACTGTAGCCCCCCTATGGCATGAGCCGGCTGGTGAGTGCCAGGGCTTAGTTCCCCAGAGAGAGCCAGGCTTGCCTTGTCCTGGCCTCTGGCTCTGTCTCTGGCTGCGCTGTCCCTGGTCTTTGCTCTTTGACTGGGGCAGCCATGCTTCCTAAGCACATGCGCCATGCTCCACCTCGCAGGCAGTCTCTCCACCTCCCCTGTGCTGATACCAGCCATACCTTTCTTCTGGGACCTGGAAGAGCCTGGTTTGAATCCCACCTCAGCCACTTACCAGCTGTGTGATCCTGGACAATTTACTGAGTGTCTCTGAGCCTCAGATTCAATAGTAGCCACCCTACTCCCACCCCATCCCCTGGGGTTGTTGTGAAGATCAAATGAGCTCAATGGAAAGGGCCTATCTCAGCGCTGAAACTCCCACTGCGGTTTCCTCTGGGAAGAGGGGGAAGAGCATCGCTGCCCAGGGCAGTTCCTCTCCAGGAGGGTTTGTCTCCACCACCACCTTCTGGCCTGGGTCCCTGCTGCTCTTCTCGGCCCTGTGACCTCCTGCTCAGAAACCATGGGGCAGAGAGGGGCTGCAGGTGGCAGAAGCCACCCCCTGTCCTATCGGGGCACGTTTCCCAAATATGGCTGAGGACTTGTAGCGAAGCTTGCCAGGATCACCCACGGCCACCTGTGGGTGGACCTGCTGGTAACGCTCGGTGACGCCAGGCAGAGGCGTGGGCTATTCAACATACAGAGCACAGGGAAGGTGCAGCCATCTAAACAGAGCCATCAGCTAACACCCCCGAGCAGGAGAGATTCCAACAGAGGAAAAGGACAGAGGGTGGGCCCTGGAGAGCAGAGGGCACGAACAGCAGCAGGGTGGCTGGAAGCAGTGGGGAGGCCAGGTCGCCAGAGCCTTGCCTGAAGCCCTAGGGGATGGCAGGCATCAGAGAGAAGAGGGAGAATGTGGGATGCTTCGC
The DNA here is from genome assembly GCF_000001405.40 of Homo sapiens. Lineage (NCBI taxonomy): Eukaryota > Metazoa > Chordata > Mammalia > Primates > Hominidae > Homo > Homo sapiens. Next base: position 232,997,610 of record NC_000002.12, on the reverse strand, counting down.
CAGAGCCCTTTCTGAGGGAGAATAGGGAGTCGACTGGTGCCGTGAGCAGAAATCTACGGTGGATATTTCTGTGTTCTAGAAATCTCCACTGTAGGCCCAAGGAGGGTGCATATTCCCAAAGGTGCCCGGGGGTTCTGGCTTGGATGCCAGCTTCACTTCACTTTGACAGTTTCACTGCAGAGGCCTGTGTCACCTCAGGACCCCGCCCTGGTCTCCACACCACCCTGTCCCTCCAACCCCTGTGAGGCGTGCTGCCCCTTAGCGATTCCTAAAAGCAACAACAACGACAAGGGCAGGCTCCTTTTCCAGAGAAAAGAGAATTCTCACGGTGTGTACCCCAGTCTCAGCCCCAGCAGCAGCATCTGAGAATGTGTTAGAAAAGCAGGTTCCCAGGGCCCGGGTGAGACTTCCTGAATCAGAAGCTCTGGGCCCAGCAATCTGTGCATGAACCCTCCTGGTGATCCCCAGGCCAGTGCCGGAGTGAGAACCACTGCCACACGGCACTGAGAGCAAACCACCTACAAGGACCCAGTGCTCAACTATGAGGGTGCACTGAGGAAGGACGCCAGGCACAAGAGAGAACGTTCAGAATGATTCTAGTTCCATAAACTGTTAGAAGTCAGAGGTCACCCTTGGGGGCAGGGAGCAGTGACTTCGAGTGGGCGTTAGGACACTTTCTGAAGTGGCAATAAAGTTCTCCTTCTGCATCTGGGTTGAGTCTGTAAACATCCAGCAATCTGTACACTTAACATGGGCTCTTTATGTATCCTGCTAAAATTTTAAAAAAATCTTTTAACCATAAGAAAGGGTAAACGATGCCAGGCGCTGTGGCTCACACCTGTAATCCCAGCACTTTGGGAGGCTGAGGCAGACAGATCACCTGAGGTTAGGAGTTCGAGCCCAGCCTGGCCAATATGGTGAAACCCCGCCTCTACTAAAAACACAAAAATGAGCCAGGCGTGGTGGTGCGCTTGGCTGTCTTTTTGTGTGAAACCATCAAGTTATACTTTGTAGGTTATATGCAAATGCTACACTATTTTACAAAGGGACTTGGACATTCATGGATTTCAGTATCTATGGGGGTCCTGGAACCAATCCCCCCACGGATACCAAGGGAAGACTATATTTAACAAGCTCTTAAACATGTGAGAATCACTGCGCTCAGCGGCCTCTCTCATAACAGCCCTCGGTAGAAATCCCTGCAGCCTTAGCACTAACACATTTCCCAGCAATTGGTCGGTTGCTGTTGTTGTTGTTGTTTGTGTTGTTGTTGTTGTTGTCTTGAGACAAAGCCTCACTCTGTCACCCAGGCTGGAGTGCAGCGGCACAATCTCAGCTCATTGCAACCTCTGCCTCCTGGGTTCAAGCGATTCTCGTGCCTCAGCCTCCCGAGTAGCTGGAATTACAGATGTGTGCTACCACACCCGGCTAATTTTTGTATTTTTAGTAAAGATGGGGTTTTGCCACGTTGGCCAGGCTGGAATTGGTCAGTTTTTATACCTGAATGGAGTAGAATGAGTCACTGACACATTTCTCCTTTTCATGTTGACTGCCAGGAAGCTTAGGGAAGTTTGAGCCCATCCACACTAGAGTCTTTGTAATACAAATTTCTTAACCTTATCCCCCATTCAGTTTTACGCTCACACCCTTTTATTCTTTCTTTTGTCCTCTTTTGGATTTATGCTGTGTTGGATAAGTGATATATACACATATCCATATATGTATTATAGTGTATGTATTATATGTGTATATACATACAATATATTATACATATACATATACACAATATGCATGTGTATTATATGTATACATATATTATACATATACATATATGTATATGAATACATATAATACATATACATATTGTGCATATGTATATGTATAATATATTATATGTATATACACATATAATACATACACTATAATATATATAATACATATATACACTATAATACATATATACACTATAATACATATATACAGTATACATACGTATACATACTGTATATATATACAGTATACATACTGTATATATATATACAGTATACATACTGTATATAGTATACATACTGTATATGTATACATACTGTATATATATACAGTATGTATACTGTCAGTATACATACTGTGTATATATACAGTATGTATACTGTCAGTATACATACTGTGTATATATATACAGTATACAGTATACATACTGTGTATATATATACAGTATACAGTATACATACTGTGTATATATATACAGTATACAGTATACATACTGTATATAGTATACATACTGTACACATATACAGTATACATACTGTACACATATACAGTATACATACTGTACACAGCATACATACTGTACACATATACAGTATACATACTGTACACAGCATACATACTGTACACATATACAGTATACATACTGTACACAGCATACATACTGTACACATATACAGTATACATACTGTACATATATACATACTGTACATATATACATACTGTACACATATACATACTGTACACATATACATACTGTACACATATACAGTATACATACTGTACATATATACAGTATACATACTGTACATATATACAGTATACATATATGTATTATACATATATGTGTAGTTATACATATATGTATATGTACATATAATACATATGTATGTATTATATGTGTGTATATATCCATGTATGTATATAATACATGTGTATGTATGTATTATATGCATGTATATATCCATATATGTATATGTGTATGTATTATATTTGTGGATGGAATAGTATCTTCTATGTTAATTTGTATAATAATGCATAAATAAAGCAGCTCCCACATACTGAGTGCCAGCAGTGTGCAACCTCACATCAGTCCCAGGAGTTGGATAACATTTGTCCTCCCTGCAAGACATTGGAGCAACAGGAGGCCCCAAGGGGAACCCACATGCCCAATGCATTCAGCCAGCGAAGGGCCGAACGGGGATGACAAGCCATGCCTGGCTGGCTCCACTCCCCGCTCCCAACACCCACAGCTTCCCCGGTGTCATATGGCAAGCTGTGGGAACCACCAAATTCTTTCTCAAAATATTCTGTGATTTGAAGAAAATATTTAATGCTTTAATTCCTTTGGAGTTTACTTAGGAAATTTATTATGAAGGCTTAAGTTGACATTTTTCCCCAACTGTTAACCAGTGTTCAAAACTTCTATTGATATCCCTCTATTTTTTTAATATCTTTTTTTTTTTTTTTTTTTGAGACAAAGTCTCGCTCCGTTACCCAGGCTGAAGTGGGGTGGTGCAAACTCGGCTCACTGCAACCTCCGCCTCCCGGGTTCAAGTGATTCTCCTGTCTCAGCCCCCTGAGTAGCTGAGATTACAGGCAGCCACTACCACGCCCAGCTACTTTTTGTATTTTTAGTAGAGATGGGGTTTCACCATGTTGGCCAGTCTGGTCTTGAACTCCGTACCTCAAGTGATCCACCCAATTCGGCCTCCCAAAGTGCTGGGATTACAGGCATGAGCCACCGGACCCAGCCTAATATCAATTTTATTGGGATAAATTTACATTTCACACAGTTTACCCATTTATGGTGTACAACTCAATGTTTTTAGTATATTCACAAAACTGTGCCATTTTAGAACATTTTCTCACCTTCCCAAAAGAAATCCCATCCCCATTTGCAGTCACTCACTCTGCGTCTCCCACAACCCACCCAGTCCTGGGCAACCATTCATCTGCTTTCAGTCTCTGTGGAGTCTCCGGTTCTGGACGTTTCATATAAATGCAATCATACAATATGTGGTCCTCCCTGACTGGCTTCTTTCACTTAGCAAAATGTCTTCAAGCCTCCTTCATGTTGTAGCGTGTATGAACAATTTCTTCTATAGCTTAATAATCTTTCACTGTAAGGATAGATCACCTTTTAATTACCCATTCATCGGCTGACAGACGTTCTTGGTGTTTTCACTTTTTGCCAGTTATGACTCATGCTGCTATAAACACGTGTGTACATCTTTGTGTGTGGATGTATGTTTTCATGTCTCTTGGGAACAGGCTTAGGAAGAGAATTGTTGAGTCATATGGTAACTCTATGTTTGATCTTTTGAGAAACTATCAGACAATTTTCCAAAGTGCCCCAACCATTTTACATTCCCATCTGCAGTGCATGAGGATTCCAATTTCCCCACATCCTCATCAGCACTTATTATCATCCATCTTTCTTTTAACAGCCACCCTAGTGAGTGCAAAGTGATATCTCATTGTGGCTTTTATTTGCATTTCTGATGGCTAATGATGTTGAGCATCTTTTCATGTATTTATTGGCCATTTGTATGTCTTTTGGAGACATGCCAATTCATATATATGGGCAAAGGATCTGAAAATATACATATATATGTGTGTATCTATACGGGCAAATATATATATAAATAAATATATATATTTATTTATATATATAATATATATATATTTGCCCATATATATATAAATAAATATATATTTATTTATATATATATATTTATTTATTTATATATATATTTGCCCGTATAGATACACACATATATATGTATATTTTTGAATATATATATTTATATATTTATGTGCGTGTGTGTGTGTGTGTATATATATATATATACTTCAGGCAGGGTCTCGCTCTATCACCCAGGCTGGAGTGCAATAGCATAATCTGGGCTCACCGCAACCTCTGCCTCCTGGGTTGAAGCCATCCTCCCACCTCAGCCTCCTGAATAGCTGCAACTACAGGTGTGTGCCACCACATCCAGCTAATTTTTGTATTTTTTGTAGAGAGGGGGTTTTGCCATGTTGCCCAGGCTAGTCTCAAAGTCCTGGGCTCAAGTGATCCTCCTGCCTCAGCCTCCCAAAGTGCTGGGATTACAGATGTGAGCCACTGTTCCCAGCCCCGTATTTTAATTGGGTTATTTTTTATTATTGAGTTGTATGAGTTCTTTATATACTCTAGGTACAAGATTCTTATCAGGTGTATGATTTGCAAATATTTTCTCCTATTCTGTGAGAATTTTCTTTTCTTCTTCTTTTTTTTAAATTTTGTTTTGTTTCGGACAGTCTCATCCAGGCTGGAGTGCAGTGGCACAATCTCAGGTCACTGTAACCTCTGTCTCCCAGGCTTGAGTGATCCTCCCACTTCAGTCTCCCAAGTAGCTGGTATTACAGGTGTGCACCACCACGCTTAGCTAATTTTTGTATTTGCAGTGGAGACGGCGTTTCACCATGTCGACCAGGCTAGTCTTGAACTCCTGACTTCAAGTGATACATCAGCCTCGGCCCCCCAAAGTGCTGAGATTACAGGCATGAGCTACCACCATGCCCAGCCAAGAATTTTCTTGGTGGTGCACTTGGAAGCATAAAAGTTTTAAATTTTGATGACGTCCAATTTATTTTCTTTTGTTGCTTGTGCAGCTGGTGTCATATGTAGGAAACCATTACCTATGCCAATGTCAAGAAGATTTAGTTTTCTTCTAAGAGTTTTATGGTTTTACCCCTTACAACTAGGTTTTTTATTTATTTTGAGTTAATCTTTGTATATGATGTGAGGTAGGAATCCAAATTCATTCTTTGGCCTGTGTCTACCCAGTTGTCCCAGCACTATTTGTTGAAGGCAACTATCCTTTTCTCATTGAATGGTCTTACCACCTGTCAAAACTCATTTGACCATAGATGTATGAGTTTATTTATGGATACCCAATTCTATTCTCTTGACCTAAATGCCTATCCTGTGCCAGTACCACACTGTCTTGATTACTGTTGCTTTGTAGTAGGTTTTTAAATCAGGAAGTGTGAGTCCAACTCTGTTCTTTGATTGTTTTGGCATGAGTCTCTTGAATTCCCAGATTAATTTTATGATCAGCTTATCAAGTTCTGCAAACAAGCCACCTGGGATTTTAATCAAGTCGTGTTGAATATGGAGATCAATTTGGAGAGTATTGCCATCTTAACAATATTAATTTTTCTGATCCATGAAAATAGGATATCTTTCTACTTATTTAGGTCTTCTTTAATTTTTTTCAATAATATTTTGTAGTTTCAGCATCTAAATGTTGCCCTTCTTTTGTTAAATGTATTCCTAAGTACTTTATTCTTTTTGATGATATTGTGTATTGGTTTTTTTAAATTTTAATTTATGGTTTATTCCTTCCTGCTATACAAAAATACAATTAATTTGTGTATATTGATCTTGTATTCTGAAACTTTGCTGAACTTGTTTATTAGTTCCAATAGTTTTCTGGGGTTTTTTGTTTTTTTTTACTGGATTCCTTAGAATTTTCTATATACAAGATTATGTTATCTGCAAATAGAGATCATTTTATGTCTTCCTTTCCAATCTGAATGACATTTTTTTCTCTTGGCTAAGGGTCTTATAACCTCCATTATAATTTTGAACAGTAGTGGTGAGAGTGGGCATTCTTATCTTCTTCCTGATCTTAAGAGAAAGTATGCAGTCTTTCACAATTAAATATGGCATTTGCTGTGTAGTTTTCATAGATGCCCTTCATCAGGTTTGAGAAAATTTTCTTCTATACCTGGTTTGTTGAATGTTTTTATTATGAAGGGTTGTTGAATTTTGTCAAATACTATTTGATGTCATATGCCTAATAAGATGATCATGTTTTTGTCCCTTGTTTCATTCGTATGGTATATTACACTAATTGATTTTTGCATGTTAAACCAATCTTGCATTCCTGGGATAAATTCTACTTGGTCATAGTATATAATTCTTTTCATATATTGCTGGGTTCAGTTTGGTAGTATTTTGTTGAGGACATTTTCTTCTCTATTAATAAGAGATGTTGGACTATAATTTTCGTTTCTTGTGACTTTTATCTGGTTTAGTAGCCCTTCCATTTTTTATGTTTGTGAGGCCTCTTCTATAAAATAACATTTTTAGAGATAAGAATTTATTTTTGGGCTGGCCATTCTGTTTCACTGATCAACTACTTTGTACCAATACCACATTCCTTTTATTATTGTAACATTTAATGATATTTGGGAGAAGAAGGCTCTCTTTATTATCTATATTGCTCAAAAAGTTTGAGCTAATTTTGGCTGTTTATCCTGCAGATGAATTTCATAATCATTTTGTCAAAACAGTCTGATCAGTTTTTTCATTGGAATGGCACTAAAACTATAAATATTAACTTGTATTAAATATTAACTGATATATTTTTAATATTCCATTTTCCCATCCAAGAAAAACTCATGCTTCTCTAAATATGCAAGCTTCCTTTCATCTCTCAAGTTGTTCCTTTATATAGGTTGTTTGTATTTATTAATACAATTATCCTGAGTTTTCTGGCTTTGTTACTATAATACTATAGTTAGAATCTCTCCACTTTCTAACTTGTTTTTGTTGACATACAGTGAGTCTATCTTATTCAGGACCTAGGCTGAATTACTTGTAATTCTGGGAGTTTCAGTTGGTTCTTTGGAGTTTTCTAGGTATACAAGTCATGTCACCTACAAATTATGATTACTTTAGCTTTCTTCCTGATAACTTATTTGTTTTATGTCTCATTATGCTGATCAAAACTTCTGGAAACATGTTAATAATGATGACAGCAAGAACCATACTCTTATTGGGAGCATCTCTGATTTTTCACCATTACCATGTTTAAATGTACACAGTCTCTTCTTTACCATGGTGAATTTTCCTTCTAGTCTCATCTTTAAAGCTTTTTGCTGGGGATTGGTATTTAACTTTGTCAACTGACCTACAAATGTGCTATATTGTATTAAGACTTTCTAATGATTATGAAATTGCCTCAATTTTTTTAAGTTAAATCACTCTGAAAACACTTTGATAAAGAAATTAAAACATCTCATTTAACTGTTCATCCTTATTCCATACCTAATTCTTTGGGAAACCACAGTTTTTGAAAGTATACATATAAAACAGCTTTACTTTTCCCCATCATGGCCTCTAACTTCTCTCTGTCTAGACTCATTTCTCTGCTGCATAGCAGGGGTCTTGGAGGTTTGTTGTCCAGATCCCATAACTTCCCTGTCTCCTTTAGTTTTTAGAATAGACTCATTTCTGTATTTAAGGTTCTGTGCTAGTCATTTTTTCTCAAAAGACATATTTAATTTTTGAATACATAATACTCTGGCATAGTTTTGTTTGTTTGTTTGTTTGTTTTGTTTTGAGGCAGAGTCTCACTCTGTTGCTCAGGCTAGAGTGCAGTGGCACGATCTCAGCTCACTGCAACTCTGCCTCCCGGGTTCAAGCAATTCTCCTGCCTCAGCCTCCTGAGTAGCTGGGATTACAGGTGTGCACCACCATGCCTGGCTAATTTTTGTATTTTTAGTAGAGACAGGGTTTCACCATGTTGGCCAGGTTGGTCTTGAACTCCTGACCTCAAGTGATCCACCCACCTCGGGCTCCCAAAGTGCTGGGATTACAGACATGAGCCACCGCACCTGGCCGACATAGCTTTAAGAACCAAAAATGTATTAAAAGGTACATACCTTAAATTCTTCCTCCCAGCCCTACTCCCCAACTATCCAGGCTCCCTCATCTAATTTAACCTTATTTCAGATATATGTGTGTTTGTGTGTGTGTAACCATTGATAATAATTTTGATACTAATTTCTTGTAACTCCTTCCAGAAGTTTTTAGGCAGATTTGAATAAATTTGAATACATTTCTCTCTTTATGCTGATAGAAACATACAAAATATACTCTTCTATTCTTGCTTTTTTTCTGGATTTTTCCCAGCATCCTTTCCTGATCAGTACTGTACATGGAACTTCCTCTTTTTTGCTTTTACAACTGCATCATCTCCCATTTGTGAAAATGTTTAGAATTTTCTCATCTGTGGGGCCAGTTTCTGATCAAAAGACACCCCGGTTGCTTCCAATTGCTTGCCCTTGAACAATGCTGCCATGAGTCACTGGCTCCAGGATGATGCTGGAGTGAGTCACCTGCACCCAGGACACTCCCTACAGTGCAGGCAGATCCAGTGGCCAAATTCCTGCAGCGGAGATGGCTGGGTCAAAGCGTATTTGCTATTTTATTTTGATAGGCATTGCCAAACTGTCCCGTAGGGCTGGAATCCATGTAAACTCCCACCAGCAGGGATGGCGGCTGCCTGCTGCCCTTGGCTGCACCAATCACTCTTCAAACTTTTGAGTTTTTGCCAATATAGCAAGTGAAAAAAGACATCTCAGTGTGGTTTGAATTTTCTTTCCTCTTAAGAGGCACAGGGTTGAAAATCCTTTCACAAGATTTTAAGGGTGATTTGTATCAACTTTCTGTGTGCTGTTTATAGCCTTTGCACATTTCAGCCACGTTACAATTTTCCAAAGTTCAATCTCATAGTGTTCAAAGCTCTTCTTGCAGACAGTTTGGGGAGTGGCAAGGAGCTGGCCTGGAGCCACTCTCCCCACCTCCCCTCCTCCCCCAGTGGTGGGGGAGGGAGCAGGGATCAGCCAGCTAAGGCACCTCTACTCCACCAGCTGCGCACAGCGGTAGGAGGCATCCCTCTGGGGTCTTTGAGATTGTCACTCACACACACACACACACACACACACACACACACACACACACACACACGAGACCATCCCTTCCAGAAGGGTGACCACATCTCCCTCTGGCCCTGGGGGCACATGCCTGCTTGCAATCCCTTCTCCAGCTTGGGTCTCCTATTGCTTGGCCCAGTGGCCATGTGGGCAGTCCCCAACCCCTACCACTTGCTGACATTTGGGTTCCAAGGACCCTCAGGGAACTCTAGGGTCTTCTTGTAAAGGGCTGCTCCAAAGGCCATGGAGAACAAAGATAAGGCTGAGGGGGTTCATTTTCTTCAAGGACACACAGGCCACAATCCCTTTGAGCCCCATGGAACAAAGTCTTCCAGCAGGTCCCTACCTTCAGAAATCCCCCAGCTCAAAGCCAGCTCCATTCCCATGGGCAGCGTATTCCCATATCTCAGCACCATAACCCTAGGCTCTCAGAACCCTTTCCCAGGAGACTCTGGAATGGGCCCATGGGTTCCACAGCCCTATGAGCTTCCATCTGGGAGCCTCTCCTTCCTGCAGGGAGCCCTGGGCCTTTCCAGGGCTTCTTTGGAGCCAGCTTCCTCTTTGCATGGGCTACAGCACCCCCAGAGGGCCAAGCTCCTCCCTTCTTCTTCCTCTTCTTTTATCTGAGAGTGGGGACTACCATAGGAGGCACACCTCCCTCACCGATCCCTCAGGTTGCCAGCAGACCCAAGCTACAGCAGAAATTTGTTTGGCCTTAGCAGCAATTCCAGAACATCAAAAAAGTCCTGCTCTGGCCAGGCACGGTGTCTAATGCCTGTAATCTCAGCACTTTGGGAGGCTGAGGCAGGTGGATCACTTGAGGTCAGGAGTTCAAGACCAACCTGGACAACATGGTGAAACCTCATCTCTACCAAAAATATAAAAAATTAGCCAGGCGTGGCGGCACGTGCCTGTAATCCCAGCTACTTGGGAGGCTGAGGCAGGAAAATCACTTGAACCTGGTAGGCAGACATTGCAGTGAGCCGAGGTCATGCCACTGCACTCCAGCCTGGGCAACAGAGTGAGACTCTGTCTCAAAAAAAAAGAAAGAAAGAGTCCTGCTCTGTGTCTTACAATGCCTCCAACACTTGATTTATGCTTCCTGCTGTATATGTTTCCCCTCTAATTTTGTCTTTTGACTTATAAACTGTGTATATAATTTTTAAAGATATTTAATTGACAAATGTGGAATATGTTCAAGGTATACAATGTGATGATGTGATAGATATATACATCGTGTAGTGATTATCACAGTCAAATTAACACATCCATCACCACCTGTGCTATATGTTAGATCCCCAGAACTTGTTCATCTTATAATTGAAAGGTTTTACCCTTTGACCCACATCTCCCCTTTGCCAAGGACCCCCAGCCCTTGGCAAACATTGCTTTACTCTCTGCTTCTAAGAGTTTGACTTTTTAGATTCCACATATAAGATCATGCAGTATTTTTCCTTCTGTGTGTGGTTTATTTCACTTAACCATATACAGAAAGCTCAACCAAGCTCATCCATGCTGTTGCAAATGGCAGGATTTTCTCCTTTTTTATGGCTGAATGATATTCCACCACATATATGTACCACAATTTCTTTATCCATTTATCTGTAGATGGACATATGGGTTGATTCCACATCTTGGCTATCATGAATAATGAACATGGTTGTGTAGATATCTCTTCAAGATGCTCATTTTATTTCCTTTGGATTTATTTCCAGAAGTGGGGTTGCTGGGTCACATGGTAGTTCTATTTTTAACCTCTTGAGGAACCTCCATACTGTTTTCCATAATAGCTGTTCCAATTTACGTTCCTACCACCAGCACACAAGGGTGCCCTTTTCCCACATCTTCGTTCACCAACACTTGCTCTGTCTTATCTTTCTTATAACTGCCATGCTGACAGGTGTGAGATGGTATCTCATTGTTTTGTCTTTTTCTATTGATCAGTGATCTTGAGCATTTTTTCATGTATCTGTTTTCCATTTGTATGTCTTCTTTTTTTAAGAATTTTAAAGCAAAAGTCAATCTTCAGCAATGCTTCAACATTTTACTTTTTATTAGCATATTTAGTGGAAGAGCCTGCTGGTCCTGCCATAAACTGAATTCTTTTTTTTTCTTTTTTCTTTTTTTTTTTTGGACGGAGTCTCACTCTTGTTGCCCAGGCTGGGGGGCAATGGCGTGATCTGGGCTCACTGCAACCTCTGCTTCCCAGATTCAAGTGATTCTCCTGCCTCAGCCTCCCAAGTAGCTGGAATTACAGGTGCCCGCCACCACACCTGGCTAATTTTTGGGTTTTTGTTTTGTTTTTGTTTTTGTTTTGAGACGGACAGAGTGTCTCTGTCGCCTAGGCTGGAGTGCAGTGACACAATCTCTGCTCACTGCAAGCTCCACCTCCTGGGTTCACGCCATTCTCCGGCCTTAGCCTCTCGAGTAGCTGGGACTACAGGTACCCGCCGCCAAGCCCAGCTAATTTTTTTGTATTTTTATTAGAGACAGGGTTTCACCATGTTAGCCAGGATGGTCTCGATCTGCTGACCTCGTGATCCGCCCGCCTCAGCCTCCCAAAGTGCTGGAATTACAGGTGTGAGCCACTGCGCCTGGCCTAATTTTTGTATTTTTAGTAGAGATGGGGTTTTGCCTTTTTGGCCAGGCTGGTCTTGAACTCCTGACCTCAGGTGATCTGCCCGCCTCGGCCTCCCAAAGGGCTGAGATTACAGGTGTGAACCATGGCACCCAGCCCATAAACTGAATTCTTAATGTTGCCTTCTAGTGCAGAGGTAGCATCTTCCTGTGGTATGATTGCATTGGGATTTTAATGGGAAGTTGGGAACTGGGATTAACTCAAGCTGTTATCTCATCTAACAGTTTGCTCAGGTCTTCCGACAATATAAAACAAATTCCAGAACTCCCTATACATGGCAGAAGGAGAAAGGGAAGGAGAACACGGCCAGGTATCAGGTGATGGGGGAAGATTCTAGTCCTGGCTGTTGAAGCTCTGTGACCCCAGAAAGCCCCTCCCCTTCAGCAAATGGCACTGTGGCTGGAGAGATGGCTGGGGGATCCTGAGAGCTGTCCCCAATCTCCCCGTCCACTCTCAATTCCTTATTTCATTTCCTAATTTGCCTGCTTTTCGTTCATTCAACCTCTTACACTGAGAACCCACTATGTGCAGATAGGCAGATCTCCAAATCATTAACTTCTCAATCTTACGCTCCGAGCCCTTTGGTTCCTTGAAGAGCTGGCTTTAGAATTCCATCATCCGCAGCTTTTTTGTAAATATAAAATAAAACGTTTAACTTTTTAGAAGTTCCATTGTCTGAAATTTCCCTGCCCTGCCTAATGCCTGCCAAGCCTGCAGGCTTCTTCCCCAGAGTCCTCCCGGCTTCTCCTTCCTCCATCACCCACACCGATGGCTCATTTGTGCTTCGCTTGCTGCAGTTCATGCAGCTCACGGTTCCTCTTCTCCATCACGCTGTCATTGGCCTTTTTTGCTGGCCGGAATGTCTAGCTTGTTCTTTCCCCTCTGGCTCTGCCCCTTCCCTGGAAGGCTGTCTTCACATCACAGGTTATAGATACAAATCCATAACCTACAACTCTCTGGCATCGGACTTCCATCCTGTAAAAAACAAATTGTCTCAAACTCTATGCCACTCTCTTCTTCCTAGGTTTAAAGTTAATTTCAGGCTGGGCATAATGGTTTACACCAGTAATTCCAGCACTTTGGGAGGCTGAGGAAGGATGATTGCTTAAGGCCAGGAGTTCCAGACCAGCCTGGTAACATAACAAGACATCCACCCCTACAAAAAAAAAAAAAATTGAAAATTAACCAGGCATGGTGGTATGTGCCTGTAGTCCTCGCTACTGGGGAGGCTGAGGAAGGAGGATTGCTCGAGTCTAGGAATTCAAGGCTGCAGTGAGCAATGATGGAGCTACTGCACTCCAGCCTGGGTGACAGAGTGAGACCTTGTCTGAAAAAATTAATTTCAGTGATTTCTGTCCCAGCATCAGGAAAGCGCATGCTCTTCACATTTGACATACCACTTCTCTTGCACATGATGTTTGTCAGAGTTTCTAATCCACTTCCCACTTTTGCATGAACATTCCAGCCTGGAGGATGTAAAACTGAGCAGCAAGGAGTGAGAAGAGGTAGCCCTGGGGTGGAGAGGCCCGGACTCGGGGCCCAGCTGGACTGTGGCAGCCACGTGGGCTTAAGAACGTTCCTTAATCTCACCGGGTTTCAGCATTCTCGTCTCTAAAAGAGATGTTGTTTGTATTAGAAATTACGATTGTTAAACTGGTATTCAATGAGTTGTTCCTGTAATTCATACTTAACCTTCCAGGTTAGTCCCAACCCTACACGAGACCGAGACCGGGGCACAGTGGGCCATTTCCAAGTCCAACTTCTCTCCCTCTGAGCTCAGACTGGCTTCCCCCGCACATTCTTGCTTCCTCTCCTAGCGTGTTAATGAGTTCTGCAGCCTTAAGGAAAGCCAGGGGCCATCCTTACTTTTCTCCTTCTTGAGCCAAGGCTCCCTGGCTTCCCTCCTGCAGGCCTCTGCTCAGATAGGCACCCCTGACCTCTCAGCTAACCCTGCACCCCCACCCCGACCTGCTTCAGGTATTTCCATCCTCAGGAGGGTCTCCATTCACCCCTCAGGCACCAAACTGCTGCTTTCTGCCTTCTGCCCTGGTCTTGGTCCTAAAAGGTCCCCTCCTCCTTCCCTCACCGCTCGGGGACCCTCCTCTCTACCTCCCGAAGCCGACGCCCCCAAGTGGCCACGGCGTAGTAGGGGCTCCCCCCACCCCCAGGTACAGAACTTTCTAGGCTTCCCGGCCTTGCTCCAAGTTTCCCTTCTCCAGCCCCTTTCCTGTTACTGCCCCTCCCCACTGCTGGCTCCCCAATTTCTGAATTTCCACTTAAGATTTTTCCAGGATCTTTCTCTCGCCCTCACCTTTGTTCACGCTCAGAACACCAAAATGCCCCAGTGGGCAGCCATCCCCAGGGCAGGGTGACAGCTGTCTCCCTGTGTGATTGATTGGCTTCTCCACCTTTTCCACAACTGTCAAGGGTTCCATTAGAGATCCATGCCATGCAGGTCTTCCTCGGACACAGAGCGTCTTCTGGGGCCACTGTCCCAGCTCCTTCCCTTGCAGGGACTTTTCTGCCAAGCCAGAAACTTCATCTGTGTCTCCTTCCTCTGTCTAAATCCTCCTGTCTCACTCTCCCCACTTTGATCCAGGGAGAAAAAAGGCCCAAGGCTGCCGGGCGCAGTGGCTCAAGCCTGTAATCCCAGCACTTTGGGAGGCTGAGGCGGGCGGATCACCTGAGGTCAGGAGTTCGAGACCAGCCTGACTAACATGGTGAAACACTGTCTCTACTAAAAATACAAAAATTAGCCAGATGTGGTAGCGGGCACCTATAATCCCAGCTATGCAGGTGGCAGAGGCAGGAGAATCGCTTGAACCCGGGAGGTGGAGGTTGCAGTTAGCTGAGATCGTGCCACTGCACTCCAGCTTGGGTGACAAGAGCAAAATTCTGTCTCAAAAAAAAGGCCCAAGACAAACCTGTGCTTCCTACCTGGGAAGAGGCTAACGTACCAATTCAAGGACCAGGAAGGAATGTGGAAATGATGTAGGTGATCTGGGATCAGCCAGTCCCTCTCTTAGGGGTGCTGGGGGCACCTTTTGCCTCAATAAGCCCCATCTTCCTGCCCCCTTGATGGTAGGTTCAAGCCCTTCTTGTCACAGGAAAGGTGCCACCATGCTGTCCCCCTGTCTCAGGCCACACTTCCTGGCCACCTGCCCCACCTGGACCCTAACACACCCCACAATCTCCACGGATGCCCTGTGTCCCCTCCTTGGAGAGATTGATGATGTTTCAGTGTCACCTGCTGGGCAGCAGCTGCCCTTGTGCTCCAGGCATGGGGCTGCCCATGCCTCCTGCTGGGCTGAAGCTGAAATCCAAGGTCCCAGCTCCAAGGACCAGTGAAGCTCCCCCAGTCCCAGTCACCCAGGGCTGTGGCCTCCCCTGTGACCTGCTCCTCACCAGTACCTCCCCTGCAATGGGCTCTGCCACTTCCCTCTCCCTTGTAGTCCTTTTTTCCCTCTGGTGGCCCCTGCGAGCTCCAAGGAGGCCAGGCCTGTCTCACTGAGCTGTCCCCAGCACCTAGAGGGGCCTGTTCCCGAGCAGGTGTATAAACACCCAGTGGGTTCACCTTGCCTACTGCCTAGACAGAGCCAATTTATTAAGACAGGGGAATTGCAATGGAGAAATAGTAATTCACGCAGAGCCAGCTGTGCGGGAGATGGGAGTTTTATTATTACTCAAATCAGTCTCCCCAAGCATTCGGGGATTGGAGTTTTTAAGGATAATTTGGCAGGTAGGGTCTCGGGAAGTGGGGAGTACTGATTGATCAGGTTGGAGATGGAATCATAGGGATTGAAGTGAGGTTTGCTTGCTGTCTTCTGTTCCTGGGTGGGGTGGCAGAACTGGTTGAGCCAGATTACCACGGTCTGGGTGGTGTCAGCTGATCCATCCAGTGCAGGGCCTGCAAAACATCTCAAGCGCTGATCTTAGGTTTTACAATAGTGATGTTATCCCCAGGAGCAACGTGGGGAGGGTCAGACTCTTGGAGTCAGAGGCTGCAGGACCCCTAAACCGTAATTTCTACTCGTGTAGCTAATTTGTTAGTCCTGCAAAGGCAGACTGGTCCCCAGGCAAGAAAGGGGTCTTTTCGGGAAAGGGCTATTAGCAATTTTGTTTCAGAGTCAAACCGTGAACTGAATTCCTTCCTATAGTTTGGCCTATGCCCAGGAATGAACAAGGACAGCTTAAAGGTTAGAAGCAAGGTGGAGTTGGTTAGGTCTGATTTCTTTCACTGTCACAATTTCCTCAGTTATACTTTTTGCAAAGGCAATTCCAGGTGCTTGGGAGGCCCTCGGCCCTGGGGAGGAGACATCCTCCTTTCTCTTGTTTTCCACCTTCTCCTACCCTTACCCCTCCATTCCCCTAGTTGAGAGGCAGAAGACGATAGCGAGAGATGGCAGGGCTCCAGCTGCCCCTTCCCTACTGGTGCCAGTCCTTCTCCAGATCAGGACTCCTGCTTGCCTCTGACCTGCGCAGGCACTCCATGTGCCCTAGACCTGGCCAAAGCAAGGGCCGCTGCTCTCGCCCAGGCAGCTTCTCCCTCATGCACCTGCTGAGGATGCCCTGGTGGCGGTGTTCCCCTAGGACTTTGCCTGAGGGGGCTCTAGGGACTAGCAAATGAGAATGCTCTGCGAGCTGTCTGACTCATGCCTGTAATCCCAACACTCTGGGAGGCTGAGGTGGGTGGATCACTTGAGGTCAGGAGTTTGAGACCAGCTTGGCCAACATGGTGAAACCCTGCCTCTATTTAAAAAGAAAAACGTAGCCAGGCACGGTGATAGGCACCTATAATCCCAGCTACTTGGGAAACTGAGGCAGAAGAATCATTTGAACCCAGGAGGCAGAGGTTGCAGTGAGCTGAGATCGCGCCACTGCACGCCAGCCTAGGCGACAGAGCAAGACTCTGTCAAAAAAAAAAGAAAAGAAAAAAGAAATGCAGTCTCAGCCCCCACCCAGGACCTCCTGAGTCAGAATCTGTGATTTAACGAGAGCCCCGGATGATGTCTGCACTTGGATGAGATCCAGTCTAGAAACTTCACCTCTCCACACCCACCTTGCTCCTCCCCACATGCCCTGTGCCTTCCTCCCCTGCAGTAGCTGGTGATTGCTACAGCTGAGCCTGCAGCCAGCTCCCCACAACTCCCCACCTCCTTGTCCCCTTGTGTCCTGACCTCCCAGGACACTGATTCACACACTGATTCATGCAGCCCAGTGCTGGGAGGTGTAACAGCCACCTCAGCTCCTGGGCCTGAAGCTGCACAACTAACACAGAGACAGCCAAATAGAGCCCCCTCCTGGCTCTGATCCTTCCAGGCCTGACTTCAGCCCACAGTTACAACAGCATCTTTTGACCACATCACAGGTCCCCCCAACAAATGAGTCAGATAGCTGTAGTGTGACCCCTGCCGCACCATTTGCCAGCCATGCGACCTTGGCCAGATTATCACAGCTCTGAGAGTGGCAGCTGCCTCATCTATAAAGTGGAGTAATTATCACATTGACTCATGCGGAAGTTGCGAGGCTTGGCTAAGGTAACTCATCCGTTCATCTATTGCTGTAAAAAAAAAAAAAAGATGTTTACAGAGTGTTGTTGTGTGGCCGGCATCAGGAACAACAGAGACCCAAACAGACCAAGTCCTGTCCTGAGGAAGCTTATTAAGGAGGGAATGTGGACAGACATAGAATGAAGACGTGAGTCCCATGCCAGCAGGTGCTCAGGGGGTGTGAATGAATGAATGAATGCAAGTGCACCATGAGCTGCACCCTCCCTCAATCACAAAGCTATCCCCAGGCTCCCCCACCCTGAAGTTACCATGGAATAGAAAGACATGGGTCTAAAGCCACAGAGGAACTTAAGGGAACATCAGAAGATTGGGGTGGGGGAAGCTTCTGGGTTTTCTGGCAGTTAATCGTTATAGACGAATCAAAGCAATTATAAAAAGATTCCAGACGCAGAGCACATTTGCTTAAAATAGTCTATAATTGCAGCAGAATTAGAATAGTTTTACAGATAGTTTTACAATCTCTTCCTGTGTGTGTGTGTGTGTGTGTGTGTGTGTGTGTGTGTGTAAAATCATCTCAAAGGTGGTAAGATCTGGGAATACTTCTTCTCAGGGTTTCAGAGCCTCCTCATTTCAGGGAGGACAATCCCCCTGACTCTTAATGTACCATGAACATCCCTCTAAGGACCCTCTGAGCCTCCCTGGATCACCAAATTTGAGAGCTAGAAGTCAAGAATACCCACCCACCCCATGTTTTCTGGACAGGAAACTGAGGCCCTGACTTGCCTGATGTTAAGCCTGTGATTACAAGCAGCTGGAAATGGAGATTCGAACCCAGGTCCCCTGACTCCTGGCCCAGTGCCCTTGGTGGTATATGGTGTGGGCGTCGTTGCATCCCTGGCACCGCACAGTAAATGCTGGTGATCAGCACTGACACAGGCAACGTCGACAGAGCAGCGAACACAGCACAATAGGCTACAGAAGCCAGACACCCAGCCTGGGCAGCATGGCAAAACCCATCCCTACAAAAAATACAAGTATTAGGCGGGCGCCTGTGCTCCCAGCTATTCAAGGGGCTGAGGTGGGAAGATGGCTTGAGCCCATGAGGTCGAGGCTGCAGTGAGCCACGGATGAGCCTCTACTGCACCACTGCTCTCCAGCAAGGGCGACAGACTGCCAGCTCCACCTACACAACAGAAAAGGGCAAACCAAGACTCTAATTGGTGGTTGCCGGGGCTGGGGGCGGGGCAGTTACTGACCTCCGCAGGCACAAGGGGACTTTTCCCTGTTGAGGGAGCTGTTCTGTATCTTGGTGGTGGTGGTGGTTACATGCACTGAATGTGTTTGTCAAAACTAATAAAAAGAGTAAATTATACCGCAAGTTATTTTTGTTTCGTTTTGTCTTGTTTTTGAGATGGAGTCTCGCTCTGTCGCCCAGGCTGGAATGCAGTGGCGCAATCTCGGCTCACTGCAACCTATGCCTTCCCGTTTCAAGCGATTCTCCTGCCTCAGCATCCGGAGTAGCTGGGATTACAGGCGCCCACCACCACGCCCAGCTAATATTTTTTTTCTTTTAGTAGAGACTGGTTTTCACCATGTTGGCCAGGCTGGTCTTGAACTCCTGACCTCAAATGATCCCCCCCCTCAGCCTGTGCTGGGATTACAGACGTGAGCCACCATGCCCAGCCCCTCAAGTTTTTAAGATACAGCCTAAAATAATGACGATACTGATAGTAATAATAACCTTGAAAGCCAAAAAAAAAAAAAGTTCATGTTAGGATCACAACACAGAGGCCCCGGGGGTCCCCTTGTCAGAGCCGGAAGATGCCTGTTAGCAACTCAGTCCAGTGTCGGTTAGGGATTTCTGTCCACAAACTTTTCTCCTGGGAGATTCCTCAACCCAACACCGCAAAACCAGTGTGCTCTGACCCCAACCTGGCTTCACTCCTGCTTCCCAGACCAGGAGTGGCATTCCGCCAGGCACCCAGGCCCACAACAAACAGGGGGCCAGCTCCCTTGTCCGCTGCTCTCAAAACCACCACAAGTCACTGACCTGCAATTCCTCCCATTCCTCCCTGCAGCTCTGACCTGTCCAGGTACTCACCTGTGTGCCATCCCCCTCAGGACGTGCTCTATGTCCCCCACCACCCCGCCTGTGCCTCCTGCTCGGGGCCTGCCAGGCCCTCTGGCCACCAGCAGGGTTTGCTGGGTGAGCTCCTCGGTCCAGCAGTCAGAGGCCTCCACAGACTGGCACCAAAACACAATGAATGCCTACATCATCCACCCCCACTCCCACCCCACGGGACCCCTGCCTATCACTGTCCACAGGTCCAGCTCTTCACTGAAAGCAGCCTCAATGCAAGGGTTTGGGTGAGGTGGTAGGCACAGGGGCCGGGGAAAGAAGAGAGAAGGCAATGCCAGCGGCAGGCAGGCCTCACTGAACTCTAAAACCTCAACAGCGCCTCCAGCCTCCATCTGGACAGCTCCAGTGACAGGGACGTCAGCCCCCAAAGCAGCACCCCCATCTCTGGGGAGCTCGGACACTCATGGTCTCCGCCTTACACTGAGCTCAAGGCCATCATTGTCTCTGGGTCTCATTCTGCCCCCAGGCTCCCAGAGGTCAGATGGGTGACAATGGTGACCTCGTCCCTCCCGAGTCTCTGCCCGTCCTTGCAGCCACTTTTCTGGTGGATCAGGTTCCCAAGTGGAGCAAGTGCAGGGGTCCCCGTTCATCTGGCCAGGTTGGAAGCCTCTCTCTCTCTCTGTCCTCTTGCTGGCTCAAGAACGGTTTCGCTCTTATTGCAACCTCATCCCCTCAGTGACCCAGGTTAAACTTGCTGTGAATGAAAATCACCCCATCTCGCTGGAGCTGTGGGTTCTTTGCCACACATAAGACAAGCATCTTCCTCCCAGGCACTCCCGGGAAGGGTGCGTATTAATGGTCCATCCTAAGTGTGTCCTCCCAGCCACCGCACAATCCTCTCTGGCCACCTGAAATAGCAGCGTTGCTTTCTAGTTGGAAGGGGCTTCACCGACCCCATAGTGCACACTCCAACTTCATGGATCAGGAAACTGAGGCCGGGACCAGAAGGGTCAGGTATTGCTGGGTCCCCCAGACGACCGTGGTGGGGAAGGCACTCCCCAGGTCCCCATGAGCTCAGGTTGTGCCCCTGCACGTGGCCCAGCTGCTCTGAGGCAACCTCTGAGTACGTTAATGCTCATTTCTGCCTGGCTGACAATTTACAGGGAAGGTGGTTAATAGAACAGGATCAGCCCTGCAAGCAGGTGGGAAGGAGGTGCCATCCTAGGGCAAACCTTCTGATACAAACCTGTGTCGGAAGTAGCTGGTTCTAGGAACCAGAGTGGCCTTCAGTCTTCAAATCCCCCTACCCAGAAAGTCCTAATTCCTATCTTAGGTAAACGAAGGCATTCTCGGCCTGGGGTAGGGGAAACCCAACCTCCTGACTATTCTGCCAGACCACCTGCCCTGAGATCAGTAGTGTGGGGCTGGCTGGTGGGTGTAGAAGAAGGTGTTTGGGAACTCAGAGGGACTGTGGAGGAAGAGGAGTGGTGCGGTGGGAAAGGAGGCATCTGAAACCCAGCCCTCCATGCTCCCCATTTCACAAAGGAAGACACAGACAAACACTCCTGATGAATCGTAGAACACTGGTTGAGCTGGATGTTTGTGGAAGGGAGCAACAGAAGAGGACTGGAAGGGTTTTTTTGAGATGGAGTCTGGCTCTGTTGCCCAGGCTGGAGTGCAGTGGCAAGATCTCTGCTTATGGCAACCTCCACCTCCCAGATTCAAGCGATTCTCCTGCCTCAGCCTCCCGAGAAGCTGGGACTACAGGCATGTGCCACCAAACCCAGCTAATTTTTATATTTTTAGTAGAGACAGGGTTTCTCCATGTTGGCCAGGCTGATCTTGAACTCCTGGCCTCAGGTGATCTGCTCGCCTCGGCCTCCCAAAGTGCTAGGATTATAGGCCGGTGCCTGGCCAAGTCTCTGACCATTTTGAAGGTATGATGGAATCTCTGGACCGATAGGCCAGAAAAATGTATATGCTCATACACAGCCTTGTACCCTGAAAACCTCCATAGAATCCATGTGACCCCAGGTTTCAAGCCCTCAGATGAGTGGAGAGCTGAGAAGAATTCCTAGCTCGGCCTCTCTGTCTAACACGCTGTCCCACCAGCTTAGACCCACTAAGAGGGTCCACATAGTCTCTCGCCCTGAGCACCCCTACCCTAGGAGGTCTTTGTGGGGAGGGAGGTGGGGTTTGTTCCTGTTGTATCCCCCTTTTCCTATGAAAAGTGTCCTCGTTCAGATGATATGCTATATGGTCACCCCAGAGGGAGGTAACCATTCTGTTTCTCCAGCCCATGGTGGGGTGGCCATGGGATGGGGGGACCTTATTCTTCCACCACGGCCATACATCATTCCATCAGAAAGGCCACTAATGCACCCACTAGACTTGGTTGCCAGCTGATGGCAAGGTTTGTCGCCTTGGGGATCAACCTTGCCCATGTCTAAACTTACCATTGTGAGACCTTGCACCAGCCCACAACCCTTTCTCATCTTCTGAGACTTTCTTTTCCTGTCTAGACATTTACGGTCCCTCTCAATGCTTTCCTGGAATTCCCTCACTATTTCTGCCACCCTTTTTCTCTGGAATTATTTAAGAAGTATTTATTTGAATGTAGTTTTGCAAGCCACTTTAAACATTTCCCCCTAAAAGTGCCTCTTAGGAATAATGTAAACAAACGGCAATTATAAAATGATACGTGAATGCCTCCAAATTGCAGAGATTAAGCTGTAATTTTCAGTGGCGAAGACGTGGATACCAGGATGTGCAGATTATCCCACGTTTCATCAAATTCGAATGGGAGTGGAGTTCCACAGTCTGAATAGAATACTTAGCCTGATGACTAACTGAAAATTGTTTTCTATCTATTCTAAAGCACTCAAACCAGTGAAGCTTGGGAAAGTCATTGACCTCCAGTCGTTCTGCTGAGAAACATCTGGCTCTATTTCCATGGAGACCAGGGAATCTGAAGATTTGGAAAAGACCCGGAGGAAATCAGCAAGTGATCAATGGAACACTGATAATGAACCAGCCAAGGTGAAACCTGAGTTACTCCCAGAAAAAGAGGAGACTTCTCAAGCTGACCAGGATATCCAAGACAAAGAGCCTCATTGCCACATCCCAATTAAGAGAAATTCCATCTTCAATCGCTCCATAAGACGCAAAAGCAAAGCCAAGGCCAGAGACAACCCCGAACGGAACGCCAGCTGCCTGGCAGGTCAGTATCAGGGACAGCTGTCACGGCTGTTCCCTTACATCCAACTGGAGTCATCAGTGCTGAAAGGTCCTCATTAAATGAGAAAGGATAAGTGGCATTGAAAAGTACCAAGGACAGTTTCAACAGGGTAGTGCATTTTAAAACCATTATCTAAAGAACCCAAATTCCTCCACTATGATGACGTGTGTACTTAGGAGAAAGGGTTGACCCAAATTAGACAATTAGACTGGCTTCTACTGAAAAGAGATTTCTTGTTCTAGAACTCAGCAAAACACCCCTCGCTGTACATGCATTCTAGGAGGGAGACTTAGAGCCATCCACATTACGGGTCATCTGAGAACATGAATTGTCTCGGTGATGAGGTTCTGTCCTGTTCTCTCACTGTGACTGCCATAGCCAAAGCTTCTGCTGCTCTGAAAATAAATGAGATTAAAACCTTGGGAATAGATTTGCAGCAAGACTTCTTAATCTTTTAGACCAGTGCCTAGCACATTTTATCTGCTCAAAATATATGCATTGAGCAGAATAAAGTTCAGAAAACTTTACAAATGGGGTGTTGGTGCTACAGACTCTTTTCCTTGTGACGTGCTCCTGTGGTTGACAGGCAGCCTGCTGGGGGTGAAGAATGTGTGACAGTTTCCCAGCCCGGGAGGCACAGCAGCTGCCACCAGACTATATATGCTACCCTGAGTGTGCCAGAGTGGCAACCCCTGCTAAATCCAGAGACTTCATCAGTGCATTCAAAAACATTCATTAAACCCTGTATTGGGTAGCTGTTTGCCACACGTTAAACTCCCCTCAAAATATAGAGACTTAAAACAACAATATTTATTATTTCTCATGATTCTGGGGGTTGGTTTAGTGGTTGCTGTGTCTGGGCCAGTTTACCTAACCTCTGCAGTCAGCTGGTGGCTCTTCTGGGTTTGGAAGGTGGAGGACAGCCTCACTCATCTCTCTGGTGGTCTGTGAACTGGGACTGCCTGCCTCTGCTCCACGTGGTCTCTCATCCCCCAGCAGGCTGGCCCAGGCTTATGCATATGGCAGTCGGGTTCTGAGAGAGCAAGAGCAGAAGCTGCCTGGCATCTTGAGGCCTAGACGGAGACTCAGACCTTGCATAGTCCCTTGCACCATGTTCTGTCAGTCAAACCAGCCCACAGGGCCAGCCCAGACCAAAGGGGTTGGGGAAATTGACTTCACCACTCCACGGTGGTAGAATCTGTGGCTGTTGCCATCCACCACAAACACTAACAAAATCATGTATCAAGCACTGAGTTAAGCAAGAAAAATACAATGATTGAAATACTATCGTCGTGGAAGCTCAACTTTTCCATATGTTTGAAATTTCCCGTATACTAAAAGTTAAAAGCACATTCTCACACACGAGGAAGCTGGGGTCTCTGCCTTTGAGGAACCCACAATATTGTAATGATGTCATTTTAATGCAAGCCATGTGTGAAAGTTTACAGGAGAGATAAAGGCAAAGCATTAGACCCTTCTGCTGGGGTTAGGAAAGGGCTTCCCAAAGAAGATGATATTTCAGATGAGTCTTGACAAATGGGTAAGGACGGCCGGGTGCAGTGGCTCACACCTATAATCCCAGCACTTTGGGAGGCCGAGGTGGGTAGATCATCTGAGGTCAGGGGTTCGAGACCAGCCTGGCCAACATGGTGAAACTCCATCTCTACTAAAAATACAAAAATTAGCCGGGCATGGTGGTGCATGCTTGTAATGCCAGCTACCCAGGAAGCTGAGGCAGGAAAATCACTTGAACCCAGGAGGCAGAGGTTGCAGTGAACCAAAACCATGCCACTGCACTCCAGCCTGGGCAAAAGAGTAAGACTCCATCTCAAAAAAAAAAAAAAAAAAAAAAAAAAAAAAGGATAAGGACATGGCTGGGGAGAAAGTGGGAGCAGGCTTGGTTGATTTCATGCAGGTACCCGGTGGCTGTGCTAGTTTGCTAGGCAGGCATTTCAAGGGTATTCTTACCATACCCATTTTACAGATCAAAAAATAAACAACTGAGGCCCACAGAGATTGAGCCACTTACCCAGAATCACACAGCTATTGTGTGGTACAGACTGAGCTAGAGTTCAGATCCTTCTGGCTCCAAAGCCTGTGTAGATGGAGAAGGGGGTTACAGTAGCGCCATCCAACAGAAATATGCTGCAAGCCACATACATCATTTTAAATTTTCCAGTGGCCACATTTAAAAAGTACAAATAAATGGGTGAAATTAATTTTAACAATGCATTTTATTAACCCAGCAGATGCAAAAGCTACCATTTTATCCTGTAGTTAATAATCAACATAAAAAATATCGATGAAATAGTTTACATTCCTTTTTTTTGCATGAAGTCTTTGAAATCTGTTGAGTATTTTATATTTGCAGCCCCTCTCAATTCGCATGCCAAATTTTCATTGGAAATACTTGATCTGGAATTAGATTGCATAAAATGTACAGTCAGAAAAGTGGATTTACATACCCAAATTGATCCAAATACCCTTAAAAGTTTCCCAACAACTGAATCAATATGAGTTTGTACTTTTAAATGTAAATTACATTAAATAAAATGAGAAATTCCCCTCCTCAGCCACATTTCAAGTGCATAATAGTCACACGTGGCTAGCGGCCACCCTGTTGGACAGGGCAGGGGTAGGGCACTGTAAGCAGACAGAAAAGCAGCTGCAGCTGCCAAGGTTGGGGGTCGGGGAAGTCTTTCAGGGTTGCAAGAAAAGGAAGGTGTAGGGCTGTGTCTGGGATGAAGCTGGGGAGGGCAAGAGGGCCGCTGGGGAAAGAGCCTCGAGTTTGTGACCTCCCCAAGCTGAGCCAAGGATGCTGACACCAGATAGACAGAACAGTGCCATCCCCAAAGGTGGCCTTTATGTCCAGCCATAAATGTTTTCATCAGATTTGCAGGGGTTGTTTGTTTGTTTGAGATGGAGTCTCGCTCTGTCACCCAGGCTGGAGTGCAGTGGTGCAAGCTCACTCAGCTCACTGCAGCCTCCACTTCCTGGGTTCAAGCGATTCTCCTGCCTCAGCCTCCCAAGTAACCGGGACCACAGGTGTCTGCCACCATGCCCGGCTAATTTTTGTATTTTTAGTAGAGACAGGGTTTCACCATGTTGGCCAGGCTGGTTTCGAACTCCTGACCTCAAGTGATCCGCCCACCTCAGCCTCCCAAAGTGCTGGGATTACAGGCGTGAGCCACCGCGCCTAGCCTTACAGTTTTATTTTTACAGTGACTCCTTCATGTCACCTCCTTGGAGCGAATTCTTTTGACTGCTCAGTACTTCCTGATCCAAGAATCCAAGGAGAAAATGTCGTGCTTGACCTACATGGTGAGAAAGAGCACGGGGTGGGGGCTGGGGAAGAGAAGGAGCAGACAAAATGGGCTACTGGGTCACTCCACAGCCACCAAAGAAGCTCATGATCTGGAGTCACGATGTGTGATTTGGGTCTGGAAGGTGTGGGACATTCTCTGTTTCATCTGCAAAATGAGTACCCCTTCAAAATCACAGCAGATCATTGCCTAAAAATCCCACCCCCGGGTGAGCAGACTTTCTGGGGGAGGCTAACTGGACTTATTATTTCATATTGATTAGGACTTGGGAATTGTTAGATGCTAAAAAAATTGGCAAGTTGCCAGTGATTTTTGACCAGTAGAAATAACACCAATCGTTATGGTTTTATTGCCCTGTAAATATTAGCCAGGTTTGTATTCTTATTTCCAATATCTTTTTTTCCACTGACTACGTATGTATGTTTATGTATATGTAAATGTATATGAAGTTGCTTAAATCATCATTATAATTTTCTTTTTTTTTTTTCACCCAGGCTGGAGTGCAGTGGCACGATCTCAGCTCACTGCAACCTCCGCCTGCCAGGTTCAAGCAATTCATCTGCCTCAGCCTCCCAGGTAGCTTGGATCACAGGCATCCGCTACCACACCCGGCTAATTTTTGTATTTTTAGTAGAGACGGGGTTTCACCATGTTGGCTATCCTGACCTCAGGTGATCTGCCCACCTTGGCCTCCCAAAGCGATGGGATTACAGGTGTGAGCCACCGCACTCGGCCCATAATTATAATTTTCATAGGGATGGCATCCCAGGCCATCTGACACAGCATGAGGTGTGACAAACTCCCCTTCAGGGAGTGAGGGGAGGGACACCCCTTCCCACTCTGCTTCCTCCACCTTCCAGCATGACTGCTGCTACTGTCCTAGGCTTACAGAGAATTGCCTGAAAAGGGTTGATCTGTATCTTCTAACTTGCTCCATTTCTGAATTGTCACAGATTCACAGGACAATGGAAAATCTGTAAATGAGCCCCTGACCTTGAATATCCCCTGGAGCAGAATGCCTCCTTGCAGAACAGCAATGCAGACAGACCCAGGAGCCCAGGAAATGAGGTAAGAGATGGCAGATCATGAGGAATGCTGGTCTGGGAAAGATGCATCAGAGGTCATTGCTGCAAAGACTTGACAGGGTTACGAGGGTGTCATGTTAAAAAAAATAATAATAACTTTTGGTTGCCCGTGCTAAAAAAATAAATAAATAAAAACTCCATAATTTAAAAAAAACTTTTGTTTTGTACAGTAATTTTTTAAAAAAATATTTGTGGGCAGTGATGTGGTCTTGCTATGTTACCCAGGCTGGCCTCAAACTCCTGGGCTCTAACGATTCTCCAGCCTCAGCCTCCCAAAGAGCTGGGATTACAGGCACAAGTAACAAAAAAACTATTGTTACTCCTCTGACAAAACTAGGAAATTTTGAATACTACATATATTAAGAAATAGAATAGAAAAATCACAGCCGGCGTGGTGGCTCACACCTGTAATCTCAGCACTTTGGGAGGCCGAGGCAGGCAGATCACTTGAGGGCAGGAGTTTGAGACAAGCCTGGCCAACATGGCAAAACCCTGTCTCTACTAAAAATACAAAAAACAAATTAGCCAGGTGTGGTGGCACTCGCCTGTAATCCCAGCTACTCGGGAGGCTGAGGGAAGAGAATCGATTGAACCCGGGATGTGGAGGTTGCAGTGAGGTGAGATAGAGCCACTGCACTCCAATCCTGGTGATGGAGTGAGACTGTCTCAAAAAAATGAAGGAAGCAGGGGAGGGAGGGAGGGAGGGAGGAAGGAAGGAAGGAAGAAGGAAGGAAGGAAGGAAGGAAGGGGAGGGAGGGAGGGAGGGAGAGATAGTTCACTGTATCTTGGCCAGGCAGAGCAGCTTGTGCCTGTAATCCCAGCTCTTTGGGAGGCTGAGGCCAGAAGATTGTTTGAGCCCAGGATTTTGAGGCCAGCCTGGATAACATAGCAAGACCCCATTAAAAAAAAAAATCACTGTACTACCACCACCCAGAGAGGTTTTATTATGTTGCAAATGTGCTTCAAGTCTTTTTTTTCTATATGTTTATGCATCCTTCCTTTTCATAAAATGACATCTTACTATAAAATATTCTCCAGTATGACTGGATTGTGATTTATTAATTATGCTCCTATTGTTGGGTTTTGGGTATTGTATCAGTCAGTACCGAATTCAGCTGCTTATTTTAAAACATAGCACAGCTTAACACGGCAGAGATCTATTTGGCCGTTGTGTGAAAGAAGTCTAGAGGGTCGTGACCGCGGCTCCTTCACGCCTGCATGGACCCAGGCTCCTTCTAGCTTTCTACTCTGTCATCTGTCAAGGTGACTGCCAAAGCTCCAGCCATCACAGCCACAGTTCAGGTGGAGGGAAAGAGAAAAGCCAGCCAGGGAAGGGCGTGGCACCAGCCAGGTCTGCCCTGATCTTAAGGAGATTCCCTGAAGCCCACCCAACCATTGCTGCTGATATCTTATTAGCCAAAACTGGGTCACATGGCCACCTCCACCAGCAAGGGAGGCTGGGAAGTGGGTGTGTCATTTAAAAGCAGGTCTGGGCCAGGCGCAGTGGCTCATGCCTATAATCCAGCACTTTGGAAGACTGAGGCGGGTGGATCACTTGAGGTCAGGAGTTCGAGACCAGCCTATCCAACATGGTGAAACCCCATCTCTACTAAAATATACAAAAATTAGCCACATGTGATGGTGCATGCCTGTAGTCCAGTGACTTGGGAGGCTGAGGCAGGAGAATCCCTTGAATCCAGAAGGCAGAGATTGCAGTAAGCCAAGATCATGCCATTGCCCTCCAGCCTGCGCAACAGAGCGAGACTCCGTCTCAAAAAATAAAATAAAATAAAATAAAAGCCAGGTCTGGGCCAGGTGCAGTGGCTCACTCCTGTAATCCCGGCACTTTGGGAAGCCGAGGTGGGCAGATCACCTGAGGTTAGGAGTTCAAGACCAGCCTGACCAACATAGAGAAACCCCATCTCTACTAAAAATACAAAATTAGCCAGGCATGGTGGCACATGCCTGTAATCCCAGCTACTCAGGAGGCTGAGGCAGGAGAATCACTTGAACCCGGAAGGCAGAGATTGCGGTAAGCAGAGATCACACCATTGCACTCCAGCCTGGGCAACAAGAGCGAAACTTTGTCTCAAAAAAAAAAAAGCCAGGTCTGTTTCTGCCCTCAGCAAATGGGTTCCATCAGTGAGGAAGAAGGGGACAGTGGATACAGGGAAGGCAACAGCAATCTCTGACCCAAGACAGTTTCAAATTTTTGCTGTTTTGTAAGCCACACTATGATAAATATCACTGTGGCAAAACCTAATGCCCAGCCCTCATTATTTCTTTAAGCTAAATTCCTAGAAGCTTCACAATCTCTACAAATCCCTGGATGGCTACAGGGAAACTGTATCCCCTGTATCTGCACTGGGGAATTGTGAACCAGGCAACAGAGCAGAATCCTAGGACAAGGTGGGGAGGCAACACTTCCTTCCTGAGGTTGCTTTGCTCATTGATCCTTGATCACACACACACACACACACACACACACACCCCTATTTTATTTGCATGTAATTAGATATTATGGGTGGATTAGGCTGTTCTTGCATTGCTATAAAAAAATACCCGAGGCTGGGTAACTTACAAGAAAAGAGGTTTGCACTTTGGGAGGAAGAGGTAGGAGGATCACATGAGGTCAGGAGTTCAAGACTAGCCTGGCCAATATGACAAAACCCTGTCTCTTCTAAAAATACAAAAATAAGTCCGGGATGGTAGTACATGCCTGTAATCCCAGCTACTTGGGAGGCTGAGGCACGAGAATTGCTTGAATCCAGGAGGCGGAGGTTGCAGTGAGCTGAGATCATGCCACTGCACACCAGCCTGGGCGACAGAGTGAGACTCTGTCTCAAAAAATAATAATAATAATGAAGAAAAGAAGTTTGATTGGCTCACAGCTCTGCAGGCTATACAGGAAATATGGCAGCATCTGCTTCTGTGGAGGCCTCAGGAAGCTTCCGATCCTGGTAGAAGGCAAAAGGAGAGCAGGTGTCTCACATGGCAGGAGCAGGAGCAAGGGAGTGGGGTGAGAGGTGCCACACACTTTTAAACATCCAGATCTCGTGAGAACTCACTATCACGAAGACAGCACAGAGACATGAGGGATCCGCCCCTATGATCCAAACACCTCCCACCAGGCCCCACCTCAGGCATTGGGGATTACATTTAACATGAGATTTGGGTGGGGACAAAAATACAAACTATAGCCATGGACAATTGTTTCCTGCTGTCTCTGATGTGGCTTAAGCCCCAAGAGCCAAGAACAACACTGTAAATATCTGACCATCTACCTGGGACACAACAGAAACAGTGAAGCCACCTTAGCTCCTCACCCGCCTCCCCCCCCACCCTCACTGGAGGGTATCAACAGAAGTGAGAGTAAAAGTAACTGACAACCCGGACCCAAAGCCAGAGCAAGAGTCCAAGGGGCCAAGGAAGGGCCCTGGTAGTAAAGAGAGAAGGAGTCTCAGGACAGTGGCTCTCTGCCAATTGGTACATAAAAATGTTTTAACACAAATATTTCTGCATTTTAACACTAGATGAAAGGGGGAGTGACGGGGCTGGCTACTGGGTTTTGTTTGGGGGAGTTGTCAGGGTGCTGTGAGTTTCCTACCCTTCCCCATGGGAGCCTTTTCCCTTAAGTTAAATGAGGAGGGCTTCAATGGATCTACTTGGAAATCTCTGGAATCTGGGGAACAGGCACCTTGTTCACACCCGGAAACATCTAGCGCTGAACTGGCTGAAGCAGCCTGCAAGGGGAGGAGGGCCAAGGCTGAGCAGGGATTGGGGAAGCATTTACACCGAAGGCAAGGCAGAGAGGCATGATTTCTCAGAGCTAAGTGTGGGTCTCCAGGAAGAGAGCCAGCTGTGAACTGATTTGAAAAGGAGTCTGCCCAAGAGCACTTCCTGCTGGAGTCGAGGCTTAAGAGCTTTGCACATGCCAAGGAATTGTGGTCAGAGACCTCCCGGGAGGCATGTCTAAGGACCCCCACAGGGCCCCACTCTGAGAGCCCAAACAGCAGCTGGGGGGTGGGGAGAATATGGAGCAAGAGGTAGGGGCTTTGGCTGTGGCAGGGTCTGCACCTGGAGAGGGAGAAGCAGACAGTCAGGAAATCGCTTTGGGCTGCTCTCTTTAATACCCAGCGAAAGAGACCATTTGCTTATAACTTCCAAGTAGCCAGCAAAGCTTTGCATGTGGCCTGCCTGAGGTTTCATACAAGACCCATGCAGGTGGTGCCAACCTACAGAGCAGGGTGAAGTGGGGAATCTGGAGGAAGAAATGAGCCCCTTCCTGTTTGTACACCAAGTCCAGCTTGCCCATGAACCTGTGCCCCCTTCTGTCTTGGTGGCTTAGTAAGCACAGTGGTTTTGGTGAGCACATTGATGTTGACTGCCTCCAAAGCAGGAACCGCCAGCTCCACTGTGCCACATGTCGCTATTACATTCTCTGAGCTGGATCTCCATGGCGAGATAAGTCATGATACACCTGCTGTGGAGACATTTTCTAGACAAAAGCCTCCGATGAGCTGTCAGGTTCAGAGGGCTTTGAGTTATTGCTTTTAAAGGTAAAGTCCAAAATATGCATTTCTCCTGGGCATGCTACATTGACCATGGGTGAGCCCTTCCATCTAATGGAAGCTTGTCT
Organism: Homo sapiens; assembly: GCF_000001405.40. Classification (NCBI taxonomy): domain Eukaryota; kingdom Metazoa; phylum Chordata; class Mammalia; order Primates; family Hominidae; genus Homo; species Homo sapiens. The sequence goes on along the minus strand of NC_000002.12, from coordinate 232,965,557 downwards.
GATGTGAGACTCCCGGGGTCCTCACCCACTCTCTGTCATTTGCTCCCGGCTTCTCTTGCTCCATAGCATTCTGAGTCAGGTCTGTCATCCACATAACTGAATCCCTGCTCTTGCCCACATCTCTGTGTCACTGTCTTCTCATACTGGGTCCCTGATGCAAAGTGTCGCGGCTGATTTTGAGCATCTCTGGTTCAGTTTCCATAGTCACCTTCCCAATTTCTTTATCCATTCCTATTGAAGTCCATTTTGCTCTCATACAGCAAAATCATTCTCTGTCTCCTTGCTTGATTTGTGCATAGAAAGGCAGGTTTCATGATCTAAATTTAGCAGAGGAAAAAATACCAACAGCAACGGCAACAACAAAAACCTCTACATGGCACAAAGACTGGTAACAATTAAAGAGAGACTACAGCATTTATCTTGGAAAAGCCCCAAATATTTCATCTCCCTGGTTTGTTTTTGGAATCGTCGCTGTCGTTAGCATATTCATAAAGGTGATTTAAATAATGCTTTATTGAAGGTCATCTTACATTACAATAAAATGTTCAGATCTTGGGTCTGTAGCTTGATGAATTTTTACACAGGTACTACACCTCCTTGACCATCAACTGGACCAAGATATAGAACATTTCCATTGCCCCAAGAGGGCCCCTCAGGGCCCGTTTTCAAGTCAATATCCAACTCTCAGACGTAACCATCTTCTAACATCTATCACCATCAGATTGGTTTTGTTGGTTCACACAACAAATGGGATCACACAGTGTGTACTCTACAGTGTCTGACTTCTGTTGCTCAACATAATATTTTTGAAATTCATCAATATATGTGTACCAGATTGTTCTTTTTGTTCTTTTATTTTATTTTATTTTTGAGACAGAGTCTCACTCTTTCACCCAGGCTGGAGTACAGTGGCAAAATCTCAGTTCACTGCAACCTCCACCTCCCAGGTTCAAGTGATTCTCCTGCCTCCCGAATATGTGGGATTACAGGCACCTGTCACTACACCCAGCTAATTTTTGTATTTTTAGTAGAGACAGGTGTTTCACCATATTGGCCAGGCTGGTCTCGAACTCCTGACCTCAAGGCATCTGCCTGCCTCAGCCTCCCAAAATGTTGGGATTACAGGTGCGAGCCACCGCGCCCGGCCCAAATTATTCTTTTTTATTGCTGAGAGGTATTGCCACAATTTGCTTATCTACCCTTCTGTTGATGGATATTTGAATTGTTTCCAGTTTTCAGCCATTATGAATAAAGTTGCTATGAACATCCTTAGACAATTCTTTTTGTGGATGTATGTACTCATTTCTCTGGGGTGTATACCCAGGAGTGGACTTGCTAGGTCTTAGAATAGGTGTACATTTAAATTTATTAAAAACAGGCAAATAATTTCTCAAAATGGTTGTACTGTTTTACACTCCCACCAGCAAGGCATCAAGGTTCCAGTTGCTCCAGATCCTTGTCAACTCTTGGAATTGTCGGTCTTTGTAATTGTATCTGTCTTACTGTATTGTGGTTTCTCACTATGGTTTTAATTTGCAGTTTCCTGATAACTAAGGATGTTGAACACCTTTTCATATGTTTATTGGCCATTCATGGTGCCTGTTTAAGATGCCTAACCATTTTTTATTTTTTATTATATTTTTAATTTGTAGGAGTTCTCTATATATCTTGAACACAAGTCTTTGCTCACATATGTGTACTGTAAATATTTTCTACTGGCCTGTGACTTACTTGTCTTTTTTTTTGAGATGGAGTCTCTCTCTGTCACCCAGGCTGGAGTGCAGTGGCACGATCTTGGCTCACTGCAACCTTGCCTCCCAGGTTCAAGCAATTCTCCTGCCTCAGCCTCCCAAGTCGCTGGAATTACAGACTCCTGCCACCACGCCCAGCTAATTTTTATATTTTTAGTACAGACAGGGTTTCACCATATTGGCCAGGCTGGTCTCGAACTCCTGACCTCAGGTGATCTGCCTGCCTCGGCCTCCCAAAGGGCTGGGATTACAGACATGAGCCACTGTGCCCAGCCAAGTTTCTTGTCTTTTAATGAGCAGAAATTTTTAATTTTGATGAAGACTAAGTTAGAAATTTTTTTATTGTTTGTCCTTTTATATCCTAAGAAATAGTAGACCACTTTGAAGTCATGAAGATACTCTGCTACGTTTTCTTATAGAAGTTTTAGACTCTTCATTTTCACATTTGGGTCTATGGTCCATATAGATCTCTAGTTGCTCTTGCACTGTTTATTGAGAAAGTTTTCTGTTCCATCAAAGAGCTGCATTGGTACTTTTTTCAAAAGTCCAATGACCGTAGACATGTGGGTCTATTTCTGAACTTTTATTCTGTTTCATTGATCTAATTTTCTATCTTTATGCCACTACCATAGTGTCTTAAATACTGTTGCTTTATGCTTAATCTTAAAATCTGGTAGTGTAAACCCTCCTACTTTGTTCTTATTAAATATAGTCTTGACTATTTTAAATCTTTTGCATTTCTGTACAAATTTTGGAATCGGTTTGTCAATTTCTACCAAAAAAAATTCAGCTAGAATTTCAGTTGAAATTGCATTGTCTCTACAGATAAATTTCAGGTTTAATGCATACGTTAACTAGCTTGACTTAGTCATTCCACAAGGTATGTATATTTCAAAACAACATATTGTATACAATATATACAATTTTTGTCAATTTTTTAAAAAAATTAAGAGATCATTGACACCTGAATATTGGCAACTTAAATTGTTCAAACTATGAACATGTCCTAATCTTTCATTGATGTAGATATTCTTTAAATTAATTCAGCAATGATTTGTAGTTTTTAATGTAAATGTTTTACACATATTTTAAATAAATTTGTTCATAGGTATTTCATCTTTTTTATCCTATTTTAAATGCCAATGTTTTCTAATTTCATTTTTCAATCATTTTTTGGTAGTATGTAAAAATAAAATTAATTTTTGCATGTTCACCTAGTATCCTGTGATCTTAATAAATTCGCTTATTAGCTCTTTTTGAGATGGAGTCTCACTCTATTACCCAGGCTAGAGTGCAGTGGTGCCATCTCGGCCCCCTTCAACCTCCATCTCCTGGGCTCAAGTGATTCTCCTGCCTCAGCTTCCCAAGTAGCTGGGATTACAGGTGCCCACCACCACACCTGGCTAATTTTTGTTGTTGTTGTTGTATTTTTAGTAGAGACAGGGTTTCACCATGTTGACCAGGCTGGTCTTGAACGCCTGATCTCAAGTGGTCCTCCCACCTCAGCCTCCCAAAGTGCTGGGATTACAGGCATGAGCCACTGCACCCAGCCATATTTCTTTCTTTTCAATAGTCACGACTTCTATTTGTTTCTCTTGCCTTATTGCATTGGCAAGGACTTCAATCATAGTGCTGAATAGAAGCAGTGAGAGTAGACACACTTGTCTTATTTCCTGGCCAAGGCTGCTTTGATGACAAAGATCAGAAGCCTACCCGAATTTGCTCAAGTAAAAGAGGGATATTGTAAGGATGCTGGATCCTGGAGACTCCAGGTAGAAGAGATGAAGCCCATCTTTCCATCTTTATAAGAATGAAGAAGCCATCAAAAACCAGAGCCGCTTTATCCTTTTCTTGGGGGCCATGAGGCCCCCTCCTCCCTGTTTCTCTCTGCGGACTGCTCTGTTGTCCTGCTTCTCTGCTTTTCAGCTTGCACTTGACATAAATGGCAGTCATTGCCACAGTGACCATTCATCTCAGCTGGCCACACAGCCACTGGGGACTCTTTTTTGTGTCTCTTAGAGAAAAGGAATTTCTAAGGAAATAATCTGGTTGGGAGCCCAAGGCGGGCAGATCACGAGGTCAGGAGATCGAGACCATCCTGGCTATCATGGTGAAACCCCGTCTTTACTAAAAAAAAATACAAAAAATTAGCTGGGCGTGGTGGCGGGCACCTGTAGTCCCAGCTACTCGGGAGGCTGAGGCAGGAGAATGGCATGAACTCAGGAGGTGGAGCTTGCAGTGAGCAGAGATCGCGCCACTGCACTCCAGCCTGGGCGACAGAGCTAGACTCCATCTCAAAAAATAAAAAATAAAAAATAAAATAATCTGGTTGACCATCCTTGGGTCAGGTGTTTATCTCTGGCTCAAACAGCTAAAAGAGCAGGCAGCAGGATTAATGGGGCCATTCCCACCTCATCAGTGGGAGCTGTGCTTGGGAGAAGTTTTAAATATGTGAAGGCGAGCCAGGCAACCCCAAACATATATAGTGTAGTTAGAGTCTGAGTCTCACACACAAGAGAATGCCGAAAGGGACTTGGGTGAGGTAAGAGCAGAGAATGGAGATAAGAACGGTGGGGGCTAGAGGCAGTAGATTAATGATTTAGAGCCTTCAGAAGCCCAGAATGGACCCAAGAATCAGTTCTTCAGTTTTCAAGATGTGGGATGGTGCTGATGTGGGACATGGGATGTTCTTGGTAGTCAGTGCCCATCCTCACAGAGTTCATCCAAGGCTGCTTTGCAAGTCCTCTTTGGTATACCAACCAGCAGTGAGTCATGGTGAGCTGGGCAGCACGGCAGGAGGAAAGCACAATCATTGCAGAAAGGTGTTCTGTAAAGAGGGGCACAGGAAGCCAACTTACATATGTCAAGCACCTTTACACTCACTGTCTCATTAAATTCTCTGGCCATTATCCCCACATGTTGTTTTTTGAGATGGAGCTTTGCTCTTGTTGTCCAGGCTGGAGTGCAGTGGCGCGATCTTGGCTCACTGCAACCTCTGCCTCCCAGGTTCAAGTGATTCTCCTGCTTCAGCCTCCTAAGTAGCAGGAATTACAGGCATGCACCACCACGTCTGGCTAATTTTGTAATTTTAGTAGAGATGGGGTTTCACCATGTTGGCCAGGCTGGTCTCAAACTTCTGACCTCAGGTGATCCACCCGCCTCAGCCTCCCAAAGTGCTGGGATTACAGGCATGAGCCACCGCTCCAGGCCTAGACTCAATACAGTTTGGTGCCTAGCCTTAAGGCTGCACAGCTACCTAGTGAGACAGCCAGACAGTGAACCCAGGGCCTCTGACTCCACACCCATGACCTCCCCTTTCCAGGCTGCCTGTGAGGTATGGCCAGGGTAATCACGGCTATGAGAAGGAGGGTGTTCCTGTGAATCTGCCCACAGGAGGCAAAGTCCAAAGCCCCCAGTACGTCACTGACTCAGTCCCTTGGGGTCCTCTCAAGTTCAGGTATTGTGTTGGGACTTTATTCCTACAGGCACAAGGTCATGAATCAGGGTTCTAGTCCCAGAAATCATTTCATATCACAAAAGTGCCACATTGCTAAATATATGTATAAGAAAAAAACCTTAATATGTGCTTTTATAAGTTGATATTTAGCATACAAAATTAAGCTACATCTAAAATATGTGGGGCCATTTTTCTGGATAAACTAAGAAAGCATCAGCCTTGTTAAAACATTAGCCCACTGGCCTTCCTCTGTTCCTGGCAATGGCCAGAGGGAATTGCAAAAGTGCATCGCTCCAAGAATGCTCAGCCTGCATTAAACGTGGGAGTCACCTCCAAGGCCAACACTCAGCAGGGACAGCCTGGGACAGCCACACTAAGTGTTAACAGCTCTGCTGTAGCTGGTTGGTGCCATACCTGGTTGTTAAACATTGTGACTATCATCCATGGATCCACCTAAAAAATGGCCATTGTTACCCAGGGCGGTGGCTCACGCCTGTAATCCCAGCACTTTGGGAGGCCGAGGCGGGCAGATTACCTGAGGTTGGGAGTTCAAGACCAGCCTGACCAACATGGAGAAACCCCTTCTCTACTAAAAATACAAAATTAGCCAGGCATGGTGGCGCGTGCCTGTAATCCCAGCTACTCGGGAGACTGAGGCAGGAGAATCACTTGAACCCAGGAGACAGAGGTTGTGGTGAGCCAAGATTGCGCCATTGCACTCCAGCCAGGGCAAAAAGAGTGAAGCTCTGTCTTAAAAAAAAAAAAAAAAAGGTCATTGCTGTGGAATCGCCCATTGCCACCAATGGCTCATGTACAGCATGGCGAGTCTTCAAGTGCTGATGCTGGGCAATGTCCCATTTCCACACTGTTCCTTGTATGTATTTCTATGAAAATGTACAAGTTGCATGTTCAGTAAGCCTGGGGCAGCTTGTCAGGTGTTTATTGAAGCTAGCTTGGGTTGTTCTGTGAGAGTGTCTAAACACAGGGACAAGCACTGGGTAAAACAGGAACTGAAGAAACGTGGCCCGACTCTAATCAAGCCTGCAGCTCTAACCAGGAATTTACAGGAAACACCGGGGAGAGAGGAACAGGTTAAACAACACCATGCAGGCACAGTCATAAAATCCAAACAGGATAAATGCCCCAATTTCTCAAGGGGAAAACTGCAAAGAGAAAAACAAGAAAGAAAGGAAGCAATTAAAAGAGACTGAAGAAATATCAATGGATTGCATTATACAGACTCTATCTGAATCTCTTTTAAAACACACTGTGGGGAGGGGGTGTTTGAGCCAATATTTGATCATGTTAAGAGATTATTGATAATCTCTTTAGGCATGCTAATGGTATTGTAGTTATTTTTAACCTATATTTAACCTCAATATCTTTTAGAAATACAGTCTGAAATATTTTGGATGAAGTGATATGACGTCTGGGATTTGCTTCAAAATAATCCAGGCCTGGGGAGGAGTGGGTGGGAGTGGAGAAGAAAGACTGGCCGTGAGATGAGAACTCTTGAAGCTGGGTGATGAATATTGGGGGAATTAATTATACTTTTCTGTCTATTTCAGTATATGTTTGAAATTTTCCATAATGAAAACTTTAATTTTTAATATGTTTATTTTTTTAAAGCTTGTTTTTTAAAATACAAAAAGACAGGAGCTTGAGTATAGAGACCCTTCAGTCTTGCCCACCCAGTTCCAGTCTCCTTTTCCGGGAGGTTGGCAGAATCATCAGCTCTTACCATTGACCATGGTGGCCCAGGTAGCATTAAGCTCCTCAAACATAGGACCATGCCAAGTTTTGTTGCTTCCTGAGCAATTGGCACAGTGCAACACACCAGAAGGCCTCAATACTTGCAAATGATTGATGAATGAGTAAATGCATGCATGCCGACTCCCGGGCAGAAGCTGAGATCTAGGAGCTCAACCACTGACCTCTTGAAGATACACCTGTGCAGACTGGTCCAGAAGTATCCTGGGACTGTGCAGACCAAGGCTCTTGCAAAGAGGTCACAATGTCACCAGGATAGATGAACACTCCGTGCAGCTCTAGCAGAAGTACAGTATCTCTACCTCAGAGGGGTTTTCCTGCCCGGCTGCCTTTTGGTGATAACCCATTTCTCCACCTCCCCTAGTAATATAGGAGACCAAGTACCCTCAGCAATAAAAATACAAATGGAGCATCATAAATTAGTTTCCTCTCTGGCATCCCTCGCTTGGGTGCTAGCTGAGGTCCCATCACTGGCCTCCTAGTTCTGCAAAACAAAGGACACTAGAGCATCGGAAGGATCTCAGGCTACTTGGACACGGTGACTGAAGAGAGGTTTGAATTTTCTATCTGTGAAACCGTTTCTATTTTTACACTGTCTCAGAACAAATATAACTGTGACTTATGTTTCACAGTTTATGCAGCTAATTTCATATACTTTTGACAGCTCTATCTTATTTTCAGCAGTTCTAAATGTTTTTCCCCTTTGAGAAGTTGAAGGGGCATATCCCACACCTCTCCATGGAGAGATGACTGGGCTGCAGGGCAGGTGGTTCTAGGTGTGACACTGGAGGAGGACACAGTCCCAGCTCTCCCTCCCCTCCTGGGCAGAGGCCCACACCCAGAGGTGACCAGACAGGTGCAGAAACTTGCATGTGACTCAGATCTTATGGGATCACATGGACTGTCTCTGGGACTTATGACTACTTTCACATTTAACATTAATATTAGTAATAACTGAGCTGGGCATGGTTGCTGACACCTGTAATCCCAGCACTTTGGGAGACCGAGGCGGGCAGATCACCTGAGGTCAGGAGTTCAAGACCACCCTGGCTAACATGGCAAAACTCTGTCTCTACTAAAAATACAAAAATTAGCCTGGTGTGGTGGCGGGTGCCTGTAATCCCAGCTACTTGGGAGGCTGAGGCAGGAGAATTGTTTGAACCTGGGAGGCAGAGGTTGCAGTGAGTCCAGATTGCGCCACTGCACCCCAGCCTGGGAGACAGAGTGAGACTCCATCTCAAAATAATAATAATTATTAGTAGTAGTAATAATAATAATAACAGCAACAACAGGCTCTGGGGGCCTGAGCTTGAACTGTGGATTTTCTCTACCTGTAATTACATCTTTAGTTTTTAAACTCTTGACATCTTCTCCCTTGTTAAATTGCCCATTTAGATTTATTTTGCCTTATTTTGGTTATTCTAGCTTATCGTACTTATTCTTTTAATTTTCAATCTTCCTTACTTTGCCCTTTTACCTTCCTTCTTATTTTCTATTTTAATCACCTTTTAAATGTTCTCCCTTTGTGTTTTAGCTTTATCATAATTACCACTATTAAAATTCAGCACTTCTGGCTTTAATTCTTAATGCCAAATCTTTTTTCCCCCTTTAATTCTCTTTTTATCTTCCTATTTAAATTCCTAAGCTTCTGGGGCAGGGTTGGTCTTGGATTTACTGTTTTATTTCCTATTTCTTTTTAGCCATTGTCCTTCTTATGCGCTTTTATTTTGTTTACTTGACTGTTTATAACTGTAACTTTTCAGTAACCTAATTTTTTTTTTTTTTTTTTTTTTTTTTTAGATGGAGTCTTGCTCTGTCGCCCAGACTGGAGTGCAGTGGCACAATCTCAGCATCTCAGCTCACTGCAACCTCCACCTCCTGGGTTTGAGCGATTGAGCAATTCTCCTGCCTCAGCCTCCCAAGTAGCTGGGATTACAGGCACCTGCCATCATCCCCAGCTACTTTTCGTATTTTTAGTAGAGACGGAGTTTCGCCATGTTGGCCAGGCTGGTCTCGAACTCCTGACCTCAGGTATCCGCCCACCTCGGCCTCCCAAAGTGCTGGGATTACAGGTGTGAGCCACTGTGCCCAGCCTAATTCTGGTTCTTAAACTCCTATTTTATTGGTTCTATCAATACTTTATGGATAATATTAGTTAACTGTTTCTTCTGTTAGTCACAATCTTATATTGCAGCCAAATCTTTTTCTAATTCTTTTGAATTCTTAATGTAAGATGTTTACCTTATGGGCTGGCTCTGGGGAGGTGGTGAAAGCAGGGACTGATGGACCCATAAGCTTGTTTCTCTCAAATTCTCTCAAAACCCCACCTGTTCTGACCTTAGCAGGGCCCAGCCAGGTCCCTTCAGGGACAACCACTCAGAGTGGTTGAGCCCTGGATCCTCTTTATAGCAGCATGTGGCCTCGGGTAAATAAATCTTTGCTCTCCTCAAGCCTCAATTACCTCATATTTACAAGGAAAGGAGCGGCGTCTGAAACCAGCAAACACAGTAGACAGGGTCCAGCACATACAAGCACATGCTAAACTGCAGTCACGTTTGGGGGAGATTGAGGAAGGATATGTACAATACAGTTTCATTTCTGCAAAATTCAAAAACACGCCAAACTAACAAGGTAGCCAGCCCAAGATGCAAACCCTTCATCTAATATTAGAAAACACCAGAGAAGTCCCAATTGAGAAACATTCTGCAAAATATATTGGTCTGAAATCTTCACGAGTGTCAGAGTCACAAAACCAAGCAAAGGTCCTGCTTGGTGGCTCACGCCTATAATCCCAGCACTGTGGGAGGCCGAGGCGAGTGGATCACTTGAGGTCAGGAGTTCAGGACCAGCCTGGCCAACATGGTGAAACCCCGTCTCTACTACAAGTACAAAAATTAGCCAGATGTGGTGGCACATGCCTGTAATCCCAGCTACTCGGGAGGCTGAGGCACAAGAATTGCTTGAACTCAGAAGGTGGAGGCTGCGGTGAGATCGCACCACTGCACTCCAGCCTGGGCAACAGAGCGAGATTCTGTCTCAAAAACAAACCAACCAGCCAACAAACAAAAACAAGCAAAGACTGAAGAACTGCTCCCAGTTTAAGGACAGCAAAGAGCTGATCAGCAGGCTGCCATGATGATCCTAGACTGGGTCTTTTTACTCTAAAGGACATCATAGCAGACAATAGCAAAAAGCTGAATGGAGTCTGAGGGTCATTGGTGATACTATTTCAAAGCTGACTTCCTGGTTTTGATGGTTGTGTTTGGGTTATATAGGAGCTAGTCTTGGTCTAGAAAATACACACTGAAGTATTTGGGGATGATGGGATGTCAGGTCGGCAGCTGACCCTCCAACGGCTCAGGAAAAGTTTCTAAAAAGTTATTTGTACTGTACTTTACTTGCAATTTTCAGTATTCTTTTAAAATGTAAAAAACAATTAATATCTTGAAGGAAAAAAGACTGCAAGCTCTGGAGGGAGACTCCCAGACTTGACCTTAGGCAGGTTATTTCGGCTTTCTCTGCCTCAGTGTCCTCATCTTAAGTTGGGGAGAGTTAGAATATGAATAGGCGTATTACGAAGAAAAAGTAAGCTGTTATCCGTAAAGTGCTGAGAACAGTGATCGGCCCCCAACGTGCGTGACCTGTTACTATGTCTCGATGGTTGGAAAGTGTCCTCACCACAGGCCCTTTGCACCTGCTGTTCCCCCACCCACACTGGTGCCTGGATAGTTTCTATTCATCCTTCAGTTCTCATTTAGCTTCTTCTGCAAAGCCTTCCTCAACCTGCCACCCTTCCTTCATGCTTCCTGCCTCAGATGGCATTAGGAGCTCCTCTCTTTTTTTTTTTTTTCTTTTGAGACGGAGTCTCGCTCTATCACCCAGGCTGGAGTGCAGTGGCGTGATCTCGGCTCACTGCAAGCTCTGCCTCCCAGGTTCACTCCATTGTCCTGCCTCAGCCTCCCGAGTAGCTGGGACTACAGGCACCTGCCACCACGCCTGGCTAATTTTTTGTATTTTTAGTAGAGACGGCGTTTCACCGTGTTAGCCAGGATGGTCTCGATCTCCTGATTTCACGATCCGCCTGCCTCAGCCTCCCAAAATGCTGGGATTACAGGTGTGAGCCACTGCGCCCGGCTGGAACTCCTCTCTTAAGCTCCCACAGCATCCTACAATATCTCATCACCTAGATTAAAATGTCATTTTCTGGCAACTTATCCATCTTTTCTATTAGACAATAACTCCAGGGCTGGGCTGGTATCTTATTCACTGTCATATCCCCAGGCCTAAGACAGTTAATGAATGAATGAAAGCCTGGATACCCACCTCCCCTGTCAGAGAGAATAGAATAAAGCACCCTCCTTTAAGTCAAGGGTGTGATTCCAGGGCCCAGCTTGAGAGGGCTCCATTCACAGGGTCATCTATGTAAAAGATACCCCCGTAGTTGGACAGTGCACACCCTGAACTGCCTGACACTGCAGCCCTGACTCTCAACACAGCTCCCTCGGTAGACATTCGGCTCTGTTATCCTCACGCCAATAGGAAGAAAGGATTTTTTTATAGTTAGTGGCTCTAAAACAAAAATTGTTATTTTTGGCAAATGCTTCACCCCTGCAAACTTGAGGTGTCATTCATTTATGAGTTCATTCATTTAACAAATACTTATCAATCACCTCCACTGTCCTGAGTGCCGGTTTCTATCAGAAAATGTCTTATCTGGTGGCTCAAGGAGACATTTAGCCACCGCTTCCCCGGCAGCTTCCCAGGAAGCTCCAGTGCACCAAAGCTGGTGTTCCAGGGGCCTATTCCTGGACCTTAGTTTTGTGGCCCCTCTGCGTTCCTCCTGGAAAACGCTCCCGGGCCCCAGTCACCTCAGTTATGCTCCATAGAAGAAACCGCATACATCCTGGAGCACCAGAACTGCTTTTCTGGGAGAAGACCCCGGCTCTGGGCAGATCTCCCCCTAGGCAGGCAGCCAGGATACAGAAGATTTTGATCCCATTTCCTAATTTTCATAAAGGAATGTATATCAGTGTCATCAACAATGTATGTTAAACTTTTTCTTTTTTTTTTAAAAAAAAAAAGAATGTAAGTCAACTATCTTCTGGCTTTTTTTTTTATTTTTTGAGCATGTTGGTTGTGTAGGAGTAGCTGTCTCATTTATTAAAACTGAACAATATCAACAGGCAGACACACTGGTCACTTTTCTCTCTCTCTCTTTCTTTCTTTCTTTCTCTCTTTCCCTTTTTTTCTTTCTTTTTCTTTTTTTTTTTTTTTTTTTGACACAGAGTCTCGCTCTGTAACCCAGGCTGAAGTGCAGTTGTGTGATCTCAGTTCCTTGCAACTTCTGCCTCCTGGGTTTCAGCGATTCTCCTGCTTCAGTCTCCCCACTAGCTAGGATTACAGGCACGCGCCACCACACCTGGCTAATTTTTGTATTTTTAGTAGAGACAGGGTTTCACCATCTTGGTCAGGCTGGTCTCGAACATCTGACCTCGTGATCTGCCCACCTTGGCCTCCCAAAGTGCTGGGATTACAGGCGTGAGCCACTGCGCCTGGCCCCAATCACTTTGCTTTTTTGTTGTTTTTTTTTTTTTTTTTTTTTTTTTTTTGAGGGCTGTCTCACTCTTGTCTGCACTCTTGTTGGAGTGCAGTTGTGCGATCTCGGCTCACTGCAACCTCTGCCTCCGGGTTCAAGTGATTCTCCTGCCTCAGCCTCTGGAGTAGCTGGGATTACAGGTGACTGCCACCACACCCAGCTAATTTTTGTATTTTTTAGTAGAGATGGGGTCTCACCATATTGGCCAGGCTGGTCTCGAACTCCTGACCTCAGGTGATCCGCCTGCCTCGGCCTTCCAAAGTGCTGGGATTACAGGCGTGAGTCACTGCGCCCGGCTCACTGATCACTTTTCAAAGGTAGATTATTCAAGACAGTCAGAAAATAGATACCCCCAAAATATTGTTTAGTAAATAATAACACTTCCATGTAGAAATTGATATGTGGAGTTAAACAGATCTAAGATGAGAAAAATGTAGTAATCACTGTTAGGATAATCAATATCTCTATTAAAAGGCACTTGCTGCTCTTATAGATCATCTTCCAGAAATCCTGGAACTCACATCTACTGGTAGAGAAAACAATGTTCAAGAAAATGAAGTGAATGGCAATGAGCCAAAAAGTTCCTCAACTTCCTAAGTATTATCCTAACTCTACAAGGTTGCCAGGAGAAATCAATGAAAGAACGCATTTAAAATGGTTCTTGCCACGTAGGTGCTCTATAGATATCTGTTGGAGTCTGAATTTCCTCTACAATTCTTGCATCAAAATGATTCTTAAGTATTGTCCTTGGAATTTATATCCATATTCCCAGTTCCCACTGATATTACTCAGGCTTTATATCTGAAGATCCGCCTGAGTCACCATGCAGGGCGAGTACATACCAGGTCTCTGCCTGAGGCATGACCCTCACCCCGTCTCCAACAGAGCCCTGCTAAGACGGCTTGAAGGCTTTACAGCCCATTTATCCTTTTGATGATCTGCGTTTTATCCCTGGACCACACCACGCCTTCCTAGGGCTGTGTGCTTGGACTTCACCATTTTGTACTTTCCCTTTGCCCTTCAACTGTGGCAGAAACGTCTCCACTGAGCTGTATTTTGATAGCATGCCCCTGGCTTATGTTAAGAAATGCTATAAAAAAAAAATAAACCTGCCACTCAAAATTCCCTGTTACATTGACTATAGCAGTACCATTGAGCATGTCATTCTGCATGCAGTACAAGAACCCATGGGAGAAATTACTGGTTTTGCTCCTAAACAACATGTTGGGATTTCTTTTGCACAGGAGGAATGGGGAGGGGTTTCAGACTGCAGAGACAAAAAAGAGCAAGCGATGTGCACTGAGGAATCCTGGCGGTTCCTAGGTGCAGCCAAGCCCTAAAAGGAAGTGTGAAACATCTCTGATTCCCTTTCTGTCTCTGACATGGGTAATTGGCGCTGGCGGCCCCTAAAGCCTGACACTGCCGGTCACGCAATTGTAAAACCTCCAAATTAGGACCTCGACTCCACAGTGTAGAATAATAGCATGCTCCATTTTTGCCAAGTTTAATTACTCTGCCAAGACTCAGGTCTTCCCAGGTTGCAAATTCACGTGTCTGCAGAGAGAAGGTTGTCGTGCCTTGGACTGGGGAGACAGCTAAGAATCTGTGGGTGCGCAGCATCAGTGGGATGGCTGGATCCGAGTTCAAGGCAGAACATCAAATGACAGGTGGCTCGCTTTACAGAGGGAGGAGTGATATGGAAAGGGGACCTCAGGAGGTGCCAGGGATGATGCACATCTGAAAAGCCCTAGACATCGAGGTAGCGCGTGGCCACCAGAGAGGCTAAAGGCAGAATGGTCCTGGTGTCTGTCCATCTGGGAGCTGTTGTTCCGGTGAGTGCCACACTCACAAAATGGGGCAGTGGCACTGGTTGTCTTCACACCTTTCCTAGCAAAAAGCTGAAGGTGCCGGCCTCTAAGGCAGCCCACTGATTGCTTCAAGTCAGGAACAGCCAGCCGCATGCCGGACGCCGCTGGGTCTGAGGCCTGATCATCTGTCAGGGCTTGGAGATACTGGATGCTTAATAGCCACGCATTGAATAAATAAATTACTGAGCGGTTGGCAGTTAATGTACATTCATCAGCTGTTCCCCTTCCATGTTTTTTTTCTGAAGCATGTGGTGAAGTCAACCATATGTTAGCGAAAAAGACACAGACAAGGCAAGTCTGGCTTGGAGGGTTTCAGATCAAACTCTCAGACAGGGGTTGAGAGACAGGCAGTGGTGAGGGGACCTCCTGGAAGTGACCTGAAGTCACAGCAACTGTTCAGGACTGAGGAGCCTTCTTGCTCCCACCCAGTCCATGTGCACCTGGAATGGGGTATGCCCAAGGCCCAAGAGGAGGCTTTGCCCTTTGGTAGCCTTTTCTGGAAAATCAGAACACTGCTGTCTTGCCTGCCTGAAGGCAGGGGTGGACCAAAGGCCCTGGGAGGCTCCTCTCTGCCCCAGATCCTGGTCTCCTGGGTCAGTGAGAGTGACGGAGAGTCAAAACACCCATCACACAGTCCAGGGGCAAAGGGGGGTTGGGATTTGGGGGTGGGGGGTCCCACTGCCACACTCAGCACCTATCAGCCTATCACTGATATTTGATCTACAAATCCTTTAGAAAGAAGTTCCTTTTCCACAAAGCGGCCCTTGTTAAAACATATACATATCCTCATACCAATAACACCGCAGGCTGTATTCACAAATCAGTTAGAGAAACACAAGCATTGCTGAAATTAAAACCAGCAAAACTCATGAAGAGATCATTCATAAAGAAAGAATATAAAAACACAATTAACCAAAAAAATAAACTTCACTAGTAAAGAAAGAAATGTAAACTATAATGACAACATTTTTCATCCATCAAACTGGTACTTTAAAAATATTTCTGGCTGGGTGCAGTGGCTCATGCCTGTAATCCCAGCACTTTGGGAGGCCGAGGCTGGTGTATCACCTGAGGTCAGCAGTTTGAGACCAGCCTGGCCAACATGGTGAAACCCTGTATCTGCTAAAAATACAGAAATTAGCCGGGCATGGTGGTGGGCACCTGTAATCCCAGCTACTCGGGAGGCAGAGACAGGAGAATCACTTGAACCCAGGAGGTGGAGGTTGTGGTGAGCCGAGATGGCACCACTGCACTCCAGCCTGGGCAACAAGAGTGAGACTTCATCTAAAAAAAAAAAACCAAAAATTTATAACACTAAGTACTAGAGAGAGTGCAGAGAGCCAGGCGCAGTGGCTCAACCTGGAATCCCAGCACTTTGGGAGTCTGAGGCAGGCAGATCACCTGAGGTCAGGAGTTCAAGACCAGCCTGACCAACACGGAGAAACCCCATCTCTACTTAAAAAATACAAAATTAGCCGGGCATGGTGGTGCATGCCTGTAATCCCAGCTACTAGGGAGGCTGAGGCAGGAGAATCACTTGAACCCGGGAGGCGGACGTTGCAGTGAGCCGAGATCGCGCCACTGCACTCCAGCTTGGGCAACAAGAGCGAAACTCCATTTCAAAAAAAAAAAAGAAAGAGTGCAGAGAAACACACTAGCTGAGTATAAACCAGTATAATCTTTTGTAATTCCATAATATATGTGAAAAGCAGTAAAGATATTCCTAATCTTTGACCCAGAGTCTATCCTGAGAAGATACTCAGAAATCAGACAAAGATGTTTATTACTATCACTGAGCTATTTGCAGTTCATTGAGTCAGATGACAAATGTTTACAGAGTGCCCACTATGATCCAGGCTTTGTTTTAGGTACTGGGGATTTAGCAGTGAACAAAAGGGACCAAGAGCTCCGCCTTCATGGGGCTCACATTCAGGCAGGTCCTGGCTCCGCAGAGCTCCCAGGCTGGGCAGTGATCAGCAAAGTTCTCTTCCTTCCCTTGGCCTCTGCGACATCCCAACCTCAACATTTCATGCCGAACATCTGACTACATTTAAATTTGATTGGTTTTTTTTGTTTGTTTTTTTTGGGGGGTTTTTTTGAGACGCAGTCTTGCTCTGTTGCCCAGGCTGGAGTGCAATGGCGTGATCTTGGCTCACTGCAACCTCTGCCTCCTGGATTCAAGCGATTCTCCTGCCTCAGCCTCCTGAGCAGCTGGGATTACGGGTGCCCACCACCACGCCTGGCTAATTTTTGTATTTTTAGTAGAGACAGGGTTTCACCATGTTGGCCAGGCGAGTCTCAAACTCCTGACCTCAAGTGACCCGCCTGCCCCGGCCTCCCAAAGTGCTGGGATTACAGGCGTGAGCCACTGTGCCTGGCCAAACTTGATTGTTAATCCATTTCTTTCAATCAAAGTACTGCTTCTGTAAATACTTGTTTTCCCTTACCTCCAACTTTTTAAAAAGAAAAAATTTTAAACATGCAGAAAAATCAAAAGAATAGCACAATAAGCTCCCATATGGCCTCAATCTAGAGTCAAAAATCTATTAACTCCTCGCATGTTGGCATTCTCTCTCTTTTCTCTTTCTCCCTCCTTTATTTCCCCTAAACTGTGTGAAACTAAATTGCAGACATCATTATTCTTCACCCCTAAATACCCAGCATACAGCTTTTAAGAATAAAGACATCCTTCTATATAACCACAGTGCCATTATCACACTTAAGAAAATTAACAATCATTCTATATTTAATATCCAGACTTGTCAAGCATGGTGGCGGGCGCCTGTAATCTCAGCTACTCTGGGATTGTCTGAGGCAGGAGAATCACTTTAACCCAGAAGGCGGGGGTTGCAGTGAGCCAACATTTCGCGCTGCACTCCAGCCTGGATGACAGAGTGAGACTCTGTCTCAAAAAACTAATAATAATTATATACACACACACACACACACACACACACACACACACACATCTCCAGGCTATATTCAAATGACCCCATGGCCCCCAATTGTCCTCAAAATGTCTTTCACAGCTGGTATTTGTGAATCAAAATTTAATCATGCCACTTGGGCCGTATTAAAAAGATTGAATGAAACTCTAAATGCCCTGGCTGTAATTACACATTCTACATAGGTAACAAAATATCACATGTACCCTATAAGTATGTGTCAATACGTTTTTTTAAAAGATCTAGTCGAGTTTCAATCACTGCATTTGTTGGTTTGCTGTCTTTAGATTCCTGTAATCAAAAAAGGTCTCTTCATCTTTCTTTTTCTGTGACTGACTCTTTAAAAATACAGGCCTCTTATCTTGTAGAATGGCCCCATTGTGAATTTGTCTGCTTCTTAGTGTATTAACTTGTTCCTTTATTCCCTGTATTAGTCTGTTCTCACACTGCTATAAAGATACTACTCGAGACTGGGTAATTTATAAAGGAAAGAGATTTAGTTGACCCACAGTTCTACGTGGCTGAGGAGGCCTCAGGAAACTTACAATTATGGCAGAAGGCGAAGCAGACACATCTCACATGGCAGCAGGTGAGGGAGAGTGTGTGAGAGTTCAGGAAAAACTACCATTTATAAAATCACCAGATCTCGTGAAAATTCACTCATTATCATAAGAACAGCATGGGGGAAATCGCCCCCATAATCTGATCACGTCCCTCCCTCAACAGGTAGAGTTTGCAGGTCCCTCCCTCAACGTGTGGGGAATACAATTAGAGATGAGATTTGGGTGAGGACACAGAGCCAGATCACATCACTCCCTGTGTCTCCTTCAAACTGGGA
Organism: Homo sapiens; assembly: GCF_000001405.40. Taxonomy (NCBI): domain Eukaryota; kingdom Metazoa; phylum Chordata; class Mammalia; order Primates; family Hominidae; genus Homo; species Homo sapiens. Next base: position 232,947,332 of record NC_000002.12, on the reverse strand, counting down.
GTTGGGTCTACGCACTTGATTGGATTCAGGTTAAACATTTTCAGCGAGACTGCATCCGGGTGATGTGTACTTCAAGCTGCAGCCCATCTAAAGGCATTCATGTCAGCTTGGCCCATTATTTTTGATGCTACATTTGATCATTTGGTTAATTTGGAAGTTGCCAGATTGCTCCAAAGTAAAGGTACAATTTTTCCTTTTGCTACTAATAAGTTATCTGTAGAGTGATGGTTTGAGATCACTTCAATATACTCTTTCCTATTAGCCTTTCAACCATGGCTTTTAACATCCATTATCAATCTTTCCTGAACCAACTATTACATTTTTGCAAAATGGGAATGTTCTAGCACTCCTCATACTTACATTAGTTGATTTTCTTCTGTGAAGAAGACCCTTCCTTTGTTTTTTGGTTTGTTTTCTTTTGTTTTCGAGTATGACTATGGACTCATGGTCATTGTATTTTTAATTCAATGTGTTTTAATCCATGATTGTCATATTCCTTCTGAGGCTCAAACTGTCACATAGGAGCCCCTCCCAGCTGGCTATACTGTCCCTTGATATCTTCCCAGCTGTCTTTGAATACTTCCTTCACTTCCTTGCTTTCAGACACAGCATGCTTTCCTATGCTTTCTGTATCTCAGACATGGAATCAGCCATTTTTCCAAGGAGCCCTAGCTCCATTTAGTGGAGAATGCTGTTTAGAAACCAAGATCTGGGCATTAGATGTGCTCGTTACTACTGGTAGGTCACTGCTTCTAGGACTATTCAGCAGTCAGAGCTAGGAAATTGTGCCCATGTATGTGTGCGTGTGAGTTCACATGAATACCCTAATTCCAATCCAATACAGTGATGGTTACTCCCTGATTCTATATCTCACTTTTCTTTTTTTGAAAATTTTTTATTTCCATAGGTTATTGGGAAACAGGTGGTGTTTTGTTATATGAGTAAGTTCTTTAGTGGTGATTTGTGAGATTTTGGTACATCTATCAGCCGAGCAGTATACACTGCACCCAATTTGTAATCTTTTATCCCTCACCCCCTTCCCAACCTTCCCCCCAAGTCCCCAAAGTCCACTGTGTCATTCTTACGTCTTTGTATCCTCATAGCTTAGCTCCCATTTATGAGTGAGAACATACAATATTTGGTTTTCCATTCCTGAGTTACTTCACTTAGAATACTGTCTCCAATCTTATCTAGGTAGCTGCGAATGCCATTAATTCATTCCTTTTTATGGCTGAGTACTATTCCATTGTGTGCATATATATATATATATCAGATATATATTGCATATATCTATATTGCATATAGATATATATAGAATATATATATATGGATATCACAGTTTATCCACTAGTTGATTGATGGGCATTTGAGTTTTTTCCAATTGCGAATTGTGCTGCTATAAACATGGGTGTGCAAGTATTTTTTTTCGTACATGTTGCTTTTCTAACAGTGAGAACCAGGTCCTCAACATCAGTATGTTGTGAGACATTGCTCTATTCTACAAATGCACACAGAACAATTTCAGAATGACTCCACCTGTGCCATAATCAACAGTAAATCTATTGTCTTGGTTGCTAGGGCCGCTGGAACAAAGCACCACAAACTGGGTGGCTTTTAAACAACAAAAATTTGCCCTCTTGCAGTTCTGGAGACCAGAAGTGCCAAAGCAAGACATCGTCAGGACCACACTCCCTCTCAGAGCTGTGGGGAGAAGCTGCTCCCCGCCTCTCTCTGGCTTCTGGTGGTGGCTGGCACCCTTGGCACTCCTTGGCTGGCAGATGCCTCACCCCAAGCTCTTCCAATGTCTTCACATAGCATTCTCCTTTCTCTGTGTCTGTGTCTGTGTCTGTGTCTGTGTCTGTGTATCCAAATTTCCCTCCTCTTATAAAGACACCAGCCATTGGTTTACAGCCCACTCCAATCCACTTCAACAAGGATCCTATTTCCAAGTCAAGTCACAAGCATGGGTACCAGGCGTTAGGACTTGAGTATATATTTTTAGGGAACACAACCCACAACACCAACTAAACAAAGTGTAAAATTTGCCTCTTTTTTTTTTAGTCCTAGAATAGACCTCAGTCAGGGTATAAAAATAAAGTACTATGTTGAAAAATTACTTGAACTAAATTTTTTTTCCTGTGGGTTATGTTATCAATGTTATAATCACTTAGGTTCATTTGTTTTGGTTTATTTTCAATTCTAGAATTTATTTCATACTTTTAGATTTCTTTTATTATTTGAGCATATAAAACATATGCATGGTTTATAAGTCAAAACTATAGGCCAGGCGTGGTGGCTCATGCCTGTAATCCCAGCACTTTAAGAGGCCAAGATGGACAGATCACCTGAGGTCAGGAGTTCTGGACCAGCCTGGCCAAAATGGTGAAACCCTGTCCCTACTAAAAATACAAAAATTAGGCCGGTGTGGTGGCAGGCGCCTGTAATCCCAGCTACTGGGGAGGCTGAAGCAGGAGAATCACTTGAACCGGAGAGGTGGTGGTTGCAGTGAGCCGAGATTATGCCACTGCACTCCAGCCTGGGCAACAGAGCAGGACTCCATCTCCAAAAAGATATATATATATATATATATATATATATATATATATTCGGAAAAGTCTTATCCCCTAGCCCAACTCTGGAAGTAACCATTTCTATTAATTTCTCTTTTTTTCTTTCCTTATTTCTTTTTGGAAAAAAAAAAGAAGTGTGTGTATAATTGTTTCGCTTCCCTTTCTATCATTAGTTCACAAAAGTAGCACACAGCACAGATAACTCCATCCCTGGCTTCTCTCACTGAATTTGGGAAATCACTTAATTTCAGTCCCAGGACACCTTCTTCATTCTTATGTCTACAACGCCATAGCACTCCTCTGGTGACTATACCATGGTTCATTCAACCAGTCTCCTTAGGATAGGTACTCAGGTTGATTCCAATATGTTACTTTCAAAAATAATGCCACAATGAATAACCTTGTGCATATCTTTTCTTATTTCAGAGTGTGTGTCTGCAGGGCAATTATTAGATGTGGCGTCACTGGGTGGAAGGGTAAATGCACTTGTAGTTCTTTTTCTCTTCTTTTCTTTTTTTTAATTTTTTCCCAGACGGAGTTTTGCTCTGCCACCCAGGCTGGAGTGCAGTGGTGCGATCTCAGTTCACTGCAACCTCTGC